>NC_000019.10:37846934-38149964 GCF_000001405.40 Homo sapiens | reverse complement strand
CTGTGAAATCCTCAGCACTCAGGAAAAATGGCTAGGATGAGCCCGGGGAGGGCGGAAAGTCTGAGTGGCGGATGCTGCAGGCTGCTCCCCATGACTAGCCTCTCCTTCCTCCTTGGTAACAGAATCCCAACTGTATCTGGGGCAGCAATGAGACTGGATCACCAGACTACATGTCCCAGGATCCCTTGCAGCTCTGGCCAATGAGATAAAAGTGGAGGTGCCACACATAACTTCCAGCCTCGAAGCTTCCTCATGAGTGTGCTGTGGATGCCTTTGCCTCACCACCTCCTCAAGGCTACAGCTTGAACAGCCACTTTGAACCAGGAGGCAAAAGGCCAAGGACAGCAATACATCAAGGAGGGGGGGCCTGGTTTCCCGTCAATGTGGGGAAAGAAACAATCTTGTCAGAACCACTATTTTGTATACTATGCAGCTAAACCTAATCGTAATACATAGACCCTCCTCTTTAGTTGGGCATATTTTACCTTGTTTCATCTCTCAGCTACTTTCCCCAATCAGACAACCCGTACTTTATCCAACCATGTACTTCTCTTGTTAACAAGACTTTTTTTGTTTTTTTGAGACGGAGTCTTGCCCTATTGCTTAGGCTGGAGTGCAGCAGTGACGCGAACTTCCACTTCCAGGGTTCAAGCGATATTCTCTTTCCTCAGCCTCCCAAGGGAAGACAGGCACACGCCAAGGTGCCAAGCTAATTTTTGTATTTTTATTAGAGATGAGGTTTCACCATATTGGCCAGGCTGGTCTCAAACTCCTGGCCTCAAGTGATCTGCTTGCACCTGCCCACCTCGGCCTCCCAAAGTGCTGGGATTACAGGTGTGAGCCACTGTGCCCCACCCAACTAACAAGACTTTTTATTATCCCAATGCAAACTGACCTATGTTGACCATTCATTGGGATGCTGAATATATCCCATTTGAGACCATGTCTATCACTGTCCAATTTTGGTCAAACTGATTAGAAATCGGGACATTCCAGCATCTCATCACACACAGCTCTGGGGAAACATCCCCGGCAGAAGAGAAGATCAAATTGCTGTCTTTAACCTCATCTGAGTAATTTTAAAGTAATTATCTCTTCTTGGAAGATAACTCACTTTATAAAGGGTTTGGTGTTTTGGGATGAGCTGACTAGCTATGGTTTCAGATGTCTCCAGGCAGAAGCTGGAGGTACTGACTCTGGGGAGGAACCTTACGGGGAGCAGGGTTGGGCTACGGGACGCTGGCTTGAGCTTCCCTCTTGGCCACAGAGGAAAGCACCAAAACAGACAGGACTGTGGGCAGGAGCCTCGCCGGGCAGAGAGCTCCAGCCCGCTCTGTCAATCTCCCACATCAACCGATGAAACAATAGACAGGTGAATGACAGGATGCCTGGGCAAAATGACGGTCAGATGATGTAGCCTTGTTGGCTGCCACCCCAGCAGCCATCACCTCCGTTCCTGCTTGCCCAGATTCCACTCTGGCAGCCAGCCCTCTGTCTCGTGACTTGAGTAAATCCTCACAGTTAACACAGCCACAGAGGTGCAATGTGACCTTGCCAGGGGTTGAGGGGTGGGCAAGTGATCCAGTTCCTTCCCCCAACTTTTTTTTTTTTTTTGAGATGGAGTCTTGTTCTGTCACCCAGGCTAGAGTGCAGTGGCGCGATCTCAGCTCACTGCAACCTCCGCCTCCCGGGTTCAAGTGATTCTCCTGCCTCAGCCTCCCGAGTAGCTGGGACTACAGGCGCCTGCCACCGTACCCAGCTAACTTTTGTATTTTTAGTAGAGAAGGGGTTTCACCATCTTGGCCAGGCTGGTCTCGAACTCCTGACCTCATGATCCACCCGCCTCAGCCTCCCAAAGTGCTGGGATTACAGGCTTGAGCCACCGAGCCCGGCCCCTTCCCTCTTAATTAATTAATTATTTTGGGACAGAGTCTCACTCTGTCACCCAGGCTGGAGTGCAATGTCACACACCTGGCTCACTGAAGCCTTGACAGCCCGGGCCCAAGCAATCCTCCCACCTCAGCCTCCCAAAGTTCTACGTCAGGGTCAGCCCTCTGGAACCATAGTCCCGGGTTCTCATCTTGGCTCTGTTACGTCCTGGCAGAGTGACCTCAGCCAAGCAAATTCACCTCACTGAGCTGTAGTTTCCCTCTGTAAAATGAGGGCAATTAAACTACCCACCTCAAGGAGTTGCTGGGAGGACTCACTGAGATCATACGTATAGATCAATGGAACCCAGAAACAGATCCACACAAGGATATCCAATTAATTCTGCACTCCCCCATTTTTGCCTTAAGGAACAAAAGCAGTACAGTGGAGTGGGGGTAACCTTTTCAATAAATAGCACTGGAGTAAATCAGACAACCATAGGCAATAAAGGAACCTCAACCTAAACCTCTCACCTTACACAAAAATTAAAACAAACAAATCTCAAAATGGATCATGGACTTAAATGTAAAAGAGTAAAACTTCCAGAAAAAAAAACGAGAAAATCTTCAGGACCCAGCACTAAGCAGAGTTCTTAGACAACACCAAAAACCTGATCCATAAAATAATAATAAAAAAAAGATAATTTGGGCTTTATCAGAATAAAAAACTTAGGCTGGGTGTGGTGGCTCATGCCTATAATCCCAGCACTTTGGGAGGCCAAGGCAGGAGAGTCACTTGATTTAGCCCAGGAGTTTGAAACCAGCCTGGCCAACATGGTGAAACCCTGTCTCTACTAAAAATACAAAAATTAGCTGGGAGGGTTGTGCGTACCTGTAATCCCAGCTTCATGGGAGGTTGAGGCATGAGAATCGCTTGAACCTGGGAGGCAGAAGTTGCAGGGAGCCGAGATGACACCACTGCACTCCGGCTTGGGCAACAGAGCAAGACTCCGTCTCAAAATAAATAAATAAATAAAAATAAAAAATAAAATAAAAAACTTTTGTTCTGTGAAAGACCCTGTAAAAAAGACAAACTAAAGGCTGGGAGGAAATATTTGCAAATCGCATATCTGACAAAGGACTTGTATTTAGAATGTCCAAAGAACTCTTAGACACAGAACACCATCACACCCAATTAGAAGACGCACAAAAGACACGCACAGGCACTTCACTGAAGAGGATACAGGGGTGGCAAATAAGACATGAAAAGGTGTTCAATATCCTTAGCCATTAGGAACATGCAAATTAAAATCACAGTGAGATATCACTGCACACCTATCAAAAGTAGCTAAAATGAAAAACAGTGACAACGCCAAATGGTGAGGATGTGGAGACCCGGATCACTCACGCTCTGCTGGTGGGAATGTAAAATGATACAGACACTCTGGAAAACAGTTTGGCAGTTCCTTTTCAAACTAAAAATGGACTTACCATACGGTAAGCAATTGTACTCCTGGGCATTTATCCCAGAGAAATGAAAACTTATTTTCATGCAGAAACCTGTATGCCTGAATGTACATGTTCACCGCATGAATATTTATAATAGCCAAAACTCGGAAACTACCCAAATGTCTTTTTAAATCTTTTTAAAATATATTTTTAATATTTTAAAAAACTTTATTTCAACCCAGCAGCATAGATTCAAAGTGCCCTGAATATGCACTCCCCCAAATGTCTTTTGATGGGTGAGTGGTTAAACTGTGGTATATCTAGACCACGGAATAAACAGCATAATGAGTGAACTAGAGACTCGCGACAACGTGGATGAACCTTAAGGACATTCTGCTGAGTGAAAAAGACAACCTCTGAAGCATACGTACATCTGATTCTTTTTATCTAACATTCATCATGAAATAACAATAATTAAAAGACAGGTTGGGTGTGGTGGCTCACGCCTGTAATCCTAGCACTTTGGGATGTCCAGGTGGGAGGATGGCTTGAGGCAAGGGCTTCAAGATCAGTCTCAGCAACACAGCGAGACCTTGTCTCTATGAAAGAAAAGAAAAATTGGCTGGGTGTGGCGGTGCATGCCTGCAGTCCTAGCTAATTGCAAAGCTGAGATGGGAGGACTGCTTGGGCCCAGAAGAGTGAGGCTTCAGTGAGCTATATGATCGTGCCATTGCACTCCAGCCTGGCTGACAGAGTGAGACTTTGTCTCCAAAAAAAAAAAAGAGCCTCAGAACAGATGAATGGTGAATGGTTGCCAGGGGTTAGGCACAGGGGGAAGAGATGGGTGTGGCTATAAAAGGGTAGCATGAGGCACCTCGTGATGGTTACACAACACTTCACATGTGATAAAATTGCACAGAGCTACAGACACACACACACAAATGAGTGCATGTATAACTGGTGAATTTTGAATAAGCTGTAGGCCTGTACCCATGTCAACCTCTTGCTTTGATATTGCGTTATAACCATACAAGATGTTAACAATAGGGGAGGCTGCGTGAAGGGTTCAGGTTCACAAGACCTCCCTGTATTCTTTTTTTTTTTTTTTTTTTTGAGACGGAGTTTTTGCTCCTGTTGCCCAGGCTGGAGTGCAGTGCCACAGTCTTGGCTCACTGCAACCTGCACCTACCAGGTTCAAACGATTCTCTCGCTTCAGCCTCCTGAGTAGCTGGGATTACAGGCGCGTGCCACCACACCCAGCTAATTTTTTGTATTTTCAGTAGAGACGGGGTTTCATCATGTTGGCCAGGCTGGTCTCGAACTCCTGACCTCAGATGATCCACCGATCTCGGCCTCCCAAAGTGCAGGGATTACAGGCGTGAACCACTGTGCCCGGCCACCTGTATGTTTTTTTTGGCAACTTCCTGTGACTCAGTAATTATTACAAAATAAAAAGTTAAAATAATAAAGGCAGATACCAAGACTTTAGGAGAAAACAACAACAACAACAACAGTTCCCAAGAGCTTTCGGTAACACCACTGCCACCACCTTTGTTACTGGTGAGTCACTCTGACTGCCATTTCCAACCTCAGCCCCTGCTGTCACCTGGGTGCCCCCACACCCCATGTCCCGCACACACCCGATTCCTCTCTGATTCTCCTGTGTTTCACAGCATCCTGCTTGTTCATATCTGTGGCCTTTACTCTGTTTGGAATGACTTTTTCTCTCCTCTCTGTCGCAGACTCCTATTAGTCCCTCAAACTTCTGTTCAGATGTCACCTCCTCCAGGCAGCCAGTCTAGACCTCCAGTGCTGGGCTGTGTTCCCTCTTCCTCTATTAGAGTGCTCATCAGAGTGCACATGGTTTTTACGATCCTCTCCATCACAGTCAGCAAGGGCTGACTACAGAACCCCCTCGTAATTGAGTATCTCAAATACTCCTCCTGGCACGCCAGAAAGCTCTTGAGACCCTTTGCTGAATGAAAGCTGAATGGTGGCTACTAGAAGAAGAAACAGTGGGCGTGTTTCTCCAATTGAACAAGAGGCTTAGAATCTAACAATGGATGACTGTGGTGACTCTCAGAGAATGGTCCCTGGTGCAGCACCCCGAACCTACCAGGTCAGAAATTTGGGGCTCAGGCCCAATAATCTGTATTTTAACAAGTCCTCCTCTGGGTGATTCCAATGCCTGCTAAAGATTGAGAACCACTGGTTTGGTGGCCTGATCCCTGGTCTTAAGGCAGGTGGTTTCATTTTAACAAACCCACTCACTCCATCCTTTCATCCAATATATACCAAAGATCAGCCATGTGTCGGACTGTGTACTATGTGATGGGAGGTCTTGAAGAGCACGCTTACCCTCTCTGTCTCTCTCTCGCTCTCTTACAGGTGCACATACATGCACGTGCGCAAGCACACACACTCTTAGCTGGCTAATAAGGATGAAGAGTGCTCAAGGCCACAGTCAGGAAATACACAGGAATTGGGGGGCAGTGCCTTGCCTCAAGAGGGAGCTCCAGAGAAGGGTTCTGGAGAGGGGCACAGAAGCTTGAGTTGGTAGGATGGGGGGAGTGTGGGCGAGGAGTGTGAAGCATATTCAGGCCAAGGAAGGAACACCATCAAGGCTCTGAAATACAGACAGTCCCCCTAGGAAGCTGGGAGTGGCCAGTGTGGCTAAAGTGTGGCACTGCACGAGACTCGCAGGGGCCCTGGTGGCCACAGGGAGGGGCCAAAGCTGTGTCCTGAGGGCTCTGGGAGTGGTGGGAGGGTTTGGAGCAGGGGACAGGCATGTTCAGGTATAGAAAGATCTGGCCAGGTGCACGGGCTCACACTTGTAATCCCAGCACTTTGGGAAGCTGAGGCAGGCGGATCGCTTGAGGCCAGGAGTTTGAGACCAGTCTGGCCAGCATGGTGAAAATCCGTCTCTACTAAAAATACAAAAATTAGCTGGGCGTGGTGGCGAGAGCCTGTAGTCCCAGCTACTTGGGAGGCTGAGGCAGGAGAATCACTTGAACCCGGGAGGTGGAGGTTGCAGTGAGCTGAGATTGCGCCACTGCACTCCAGTCTGGCGACAGAGTGGTCTCAAAAAAAAAAAAAAAAAAAAAAGACACAGAAAGATCCCTCTGGCTGTTGAGTGTTGAGTGGAGGGTAGACCAGGGGAGGTGAGATGAAGGCTGGAAGCCCACTGTGGTGGCCTGGGCAAGAGAACAGGGAAAGGAGGAGAGGGTGGGTGACAGAGATGCTCAGGAGGAGGACCACTGCAAGGAGGAGGAGGAAGGGGACATTCACAGGATGAGGGCCACAGCTCAGGCCCAAGGACTAGGATTGATGTGGCTGCCCCTGAGACAGGGACCTGGGGGCAGAGGAAGAACAGAGGGCACGAGGGCTGAAGGCAGCTGGGGAATAAGCTCAGCCGGAGCCAGAGCCTGAAGGGCCTTGAATGCCAAGTTTATCCTGAGGGCACTGGGGAGCCATGGAGGGTTTGGGGAGATCTCTCAGGCTGGTGGGGAGCCATGGAGGGTTTGGGGAGATCTCTCAGGCTGCCAGGTTGCAGATGGACGCAAGTGGGCAGAACTGAATCCTGAAAGATCTCGAAAACTGGGTAATGCTGGCAGCCTGGTCCTAGGGGCTTAGGGCTGGAGAGAGTTAGATGCATGGCCGTGCTGGATAGTGGATGCTCTTGCTTGACAGGTGTCAAGAGAACAGCAATCAAAATTCTGCTGCAAGGAAAGCCAACGATGGGTCCTGCCCAGCCCGGCCCAGTTTTGCTCCAAAACTTGAGACATAACCACCCCATGGGGCTCCTCTGAGGACCTTCAGGGGTCCAGAAACACCATAAAATGGCAACTAGAATTGTGGGGGTGTGCATTTGCTGGGGAAGAAGGAGGCACAGCTTTCATCAGATCCCTTAACATGAAAAGAATTGAGGGAGGCTGACCTTTCTGGGGATGGCTTGTATCTCACGTAGGTGGCCGAACCGGGGGTGGAGAAGCTCCCAGAAGGCTGTCGGTAGGGAGGGACTCTGTCGGCCCCTGCTGGTGATACTGTGTAAGGGGTTTCTGGGAAGCTGACAGGCCTAGAAGGAGACAGGGGAGGAAGGAGGCAGAGGGTGAGTAGGAGGGTACCCCTGCCCTGGGAGGATGGACGGACAGACAGATGGATGGACAGACGGACAGACAGACAGACCAACCGAACTTTCCCCCGCCCAGCCACATCCCTTCTGCTATTCACTGCTCAGGATGAAGGGGAGGATGCTGAGCACAGGGCGAGAGAAGCTGGGATGCTCCTGGGCCCCCTCTTCCCGGATCCACTGCGGCTGCCCGCAACTCACAGCTTCTGCAGGCTGCTCAAGACCATTCTCGCCTCTGCCCCCTGGGGACAAGATGTCCCTCTGCAAGTTGGATTCCTTCATTTTTTGGAAAATTTTCTTTTTATCTTTTAATATATAATATCTTCAAAAGAGTATCTGTTAAGTTATATTTGTCATCATCATAAAACAAACTCCCTGAAGCTACCAGCCAACCCCAGGACTAGAACGGTGGTGCTAACATCTACCTGTGGGCTTCCCCACTTCCCATTTCCCTGCCTCCTCCAGGAAGAAGTCACTGTCCTAAATTTTGTGCTTATCAGTCCCTTCACCTTAAAAATAACAGTTTTATTTTATTTTATTTTTCAGAGATAAGGTATTGCTCAGTCTGGAGTGCAGTGGTGCAATCACAGCTCACTGCAGCCTCCAACTTCTGGGCTCAAGCCATCCTCCCACCTCAGCCTCTTGGGCAGCTGGGACCACAGGTGTGCATCACACCTGGCTAATTTTTAATAAATGTTTTTTATAGAGCCAGGGTTCTGCTATGTTGCCCAAGCTCTCTAACTCCTGGCCTCAAGCAATGCTCCTGCCTTGACCTCCCAAAATGTTGGGATTACAGGCGTGAGCCACCGTGCCCAGCCTAAAAAGCAGAGCTTCAGTCGTCTACTTAGTATAATGGATTTCTAACCCAGAGCTCCCCAGCACTGGGTCCCCAGACAAGAGGCCAACGGTGAAAGCTGAAACGAAGGAGGGAGGGAGGAACAAGGGAGACATAAGGATAAGAAGGAAGGTCGAAAGCTTGAGGCGAGGAAGAGGATGGAGGAAATAGTGAGGAGAGGGAGGGGCGGAGGATGGGTGTGGGCTGGTGGGGGTTGGGAAGTATTGGTCCCCCCAGCAGGTGCTTACCTCTTGCTGTGCAGTGGCTGGGACTCCCGGAAGGGGACTATGGGGGTCTGCTTCAGGGGCCGGCTCAGGGACTGGGCATGGCCGGGAGTGGTTGGAGTGGCCCACTTGGAGGCTGGTAGAGAGTTATGGGATGCGGGCCCGCTCCACTGCCAGGGAGCATTGCTGCGGTAGGGGGGCCGGCCCCCAGGAGTGATGCTTTCCTGCTCCGTCTTGGGCTCCGAGGTATTCATGTCGTAGGTCTCCGGCCAACCCCTGGGGAGAAAAACTGCATTACTCAGAAAGGCCCCAGCCCACCAACACGTGGGCCTGCTGTCTAGGCTGGGTTTTCCTGGCCCAATATAAACCGGGATGGCTTTTTTTTTTTTTTTTTTTTTTTTTGAGACAGAGTCTTGCTTTGTCGCCCAGGCTGGAGTACAGCGGCATGATGTTGGCTCACTGCAACCTCTGCCTCCTGGGTTCAAGCGATTCTCGTGCCTCAGCCTCCTGAGTAGCTGGGACTACAGGCAAGCGCCACTACGCCCGGCTAAGTTTTGTATTTTTAGTAGAGAAAGAGTTTCACCATGTTGGCCAGGCTGGTCTCGAACTCCTGACCTCAGGTTATCCACCCGCCTCAGCCTCCCAAAATGCTGGGATTATAGGAGTGAGCCACCGCGCCCGGCTGGGGATGGCCTATTTTAAAAGTCGAGTGAATACTCCTTAAAATGGTCTGAAACTTACCAGCTCAGAGTCTTCAACCAGGACGGGACCCAACACAGGGACTCCGACTGCCTGGCCCTTTCCACCTCATCTCCTCTTCCCTCCTCCCACTCGAATTCTCTGTTCCCGCCCCTCGCTTCTACCTGACCCAGGCCACACGGCTGCCAGGCCGCCAGTGTCCTCGACAGACCTGCCTGGCCCCCCTTAGCGGTACTCAGGGCCAGAAAGGCGGATGTCCTCAGAATCAAAGGACAGTAACTGCCTTGTTCCAAAGAATCTTAAAGGCAGCTGGAAGAGGAGCAGGTGACCTACTTTGTGGGGTGGTTAAAAAAAAAAAAAAAAGCCATGAAATCTACAACCTTGAAATAGATGCAGAGAGACCTGTGACTCCCCCTAGACCAGGCTGGCACATGCACCATGGTGCTCCTGGCTTGAGGCGGGGAGATCCGCCGGCTGGGCTGGCATTCTCCACTGCCACTGCAGCCCTGCATGGGAGGGGTCCCCGAGCCATGCTCATGAAATCCACCTCCTGGCAGCTGAGAGCTGAGCTCAGAGGAGCCTTCAGCCTGGAAGTGCCCATACCCCCATCGAGCTGATCCTCTGAGTGTCTCCTGAATTCCCTGGAGCCACCCCGTTCATGGCCACCCAGCAAAAGATCTGGTGGATATGGTGGTTCAGAGGCTGCTATGGTCTGGATGTGTGTTCCCCCAAAAGTCACGTGTTGGAAACTTAACCCCCAATGCCACTGTTGGGAGGTGGGGACTAGTGGGAGGAGCTTAGGGCAGAGCCCTCATGAATGGATGAATGCCACTATAGAAAGGGCTTGCGGGAGTGGACTCTCTCTCTTCTTCTCTTCTGCTGTATTTGGACGTGGCGTTCCTGTCCTCCAGAGGTCACAGCATTCAAGGCCCCATCATGGAAGTAGAAAGACCAGGCCCTATCCTGCCAGTGCCTGGATCTTGAACCTGCAGCCCCCACAACTGTGAGAAATGTATGTCTGTTCTTTATCCATTATCCGATCTCATATATTCTGTCATAGCAGCACAAAACAGACTAAGACAGAGGTGGATGCGCTCTGGCACCCAGGGCCCGACACACCGCACCCCTCGGTAGCGCCATGGCTGGAACTGACACTTGGCAGTGTCTTCTGGCTGTCCCTTTGGACTGGCAGCTGCCAATGTCTCACCAGGCACCAGGTGAGGAACAATAACAATATGAACGTCTATCAGAGCCTGTAGACATGCCAGGCCCGGGCAGAGGTGGGGAAAGGTACTATCACTGTCTCCAGGCAGTGCACACCTGCCATTCCTGCCTGCCTGGTGTCTCTCCCCACACCCCCTCTCCTGATAACAGGTCTTTGTTAATATGGGCTCTGGGTGGGGCTGACCCCACTTCCTGGCTCCAGGTATTAGCATGTGACCCAGGCCTGACCAATTAGAAGCTTTCTCCAAGCACCCACCCTGACACGATGACTAGCACAGAATTGTCATGTGCTCTAAGCAGGGCCAACGAGAGATAACGAGCATCAGTTGTTTGTTTTTTTTGAGATGGAGTCTTGCTCTGTCACCCAGGCTGGAGTGCAATGGTGAGATCTCGGCTCACTGCAACCTCCACCTCCCAGGTTTCAGCGATTCTCGCGCCTTAGCCTCCTGAGTAGCTAGGACTACAGGTGTGTGCCACCACACCTAGCTAATTTTTGTATTTTTAGTAGAGATGGCATTTCACCATGTTGCCCAGGCTGGTCTTGAATGCCTGACCTCAAGTAATCTGTCCTCCTCGGCCTCCCAAAGTGTTGGGATTACAGGCGTGAGCCACCACACTCAGTTTTTTTTTTTTTTTTTTGAGATAGAGTCTCGTTCTGTCACCCAGGCTGGAGTGCAGTGGTGCGATCTCGGCTCACTGCAACCTCTGCCTCCCAGGTTCAAGCGATTCTCCTGCCTCAGCCTCCCGAGTAGCTGGGATTACAGGCATGTGCCACCATGCCTGGCTAACTTTTGTATTTTTAGTAGAGATGGGGTTTCATCATGTTGGCCAGGCTGGTCTCGAACTCCTGACCTCAGGTGATCCGCCCACCTTGGCCTCCCAAAGTGCTAGGATTACAGGCATGAGGCACCACGTCCTATTCTGGAACTGTTTCGAAAACCCCCTGTGGGAGGGGGAGGCAAGAGACTGACTGAGAATGACAGCAAACATGGAAAGGTAAACAAGGGACAGAGACTCCTGGTGAGGGTGTCTGAGTCCCTGGATATGGCTATGCCTAAATGCTGTCCCATCTCCTAGTCTTGTCGGCTACGTGAGCCAGTGAAGACTCTCTTTTGCGGCGCCATGTTTCAGTCTGTTCTGTTGCTGGTACGCAGAGTCCTGATCAGTACATCACCTTTTAAAGACAAGTAAACCGAGGCACAGAGAAGTTAAATAACCCATCCAAGGTGAAACAGCCAGTAAGAAGTAGAAGTTGGATTTAAATATTTAGCACGTTGACTCCAAAGCCCACAACTTTAACCACCATGGACAATGGCCCCACCGTAGAGTGGTTTGGGAGCCAGTGGGTAGATTTCTTATGTCCTTGACTTTTCCTTTAGTTACTTTATTATTTTTTTTTTTTATTTGAGACAGAGTCTGGCTCTGTTGCCCAGGCTAGAGTGCAGTGGCGTGATCCTGGCTCACTGCAACCTTCGCCTATTGGGTTCAAGCAATTCTCATGCCTCAGCCTCCTGAGTAGCTGGGACTACAGGTGCCTGCCACCATGCCTGGCTAATTTTTGTGTTTTTAGTAGAGATGGGGTTTCACCATGTTGGCCAGGCTGGTCTCAAACTCCTGACCTCAAGTGATGCATCCACCTCGGCCTCCCAAAGTGTTGGGATTACAGACATGAGCCACCATGCCTGGCCTTTTCCCTTAGGTACTGATGGCTTCATCTTGGGCTAAGAGTCCCTGGGTACGACCTCAAAGAGAAAAACATAGCTGGGCAGTCCCAGCTACTCACACAACTCAGTCTGAGTTGGGAGGATCACTTGATCCCAGGAGTTCAAGGCCAGCCTGGGCAACACAGCAAGATCCTGTGTCCAAAAAAATAATAACTAAATAATAATTAAAATATAAAGAGGAAAATATTAATCAATCACTTTGAAGGCAGCATGGGCTGGGTGCAGTGGCTCACACCTATAATCCCAGCATTTGGGAGGAACAGACGAGAGGATCACTTGAACCCAGGAGTTCTAGACCCCATCTCCTAAAAAAAAAAAAATATGGGCCAGGTGCAGTGGCTCACATCTGTAATCCCAGCACTTTGGGAGGCCGAGGCGGGTGGATCACCTGAGGTCAGGAGTTAAAGACCAGCTTGGCCAACATGGTGAAACCCCATCTCTACTAAAAATACAAAAATTAGCCAGGCATGGTGGCACGTGCCTATAATCTCAGCTACTAGGGGGGTTGAGGCAGGAGGATCGCTTGAACCTGGGAAGCGGAGGTTGCAGTGAGCTGAGATCATGCCACTGCACTCCAGCCTGGGCAACAGAGTGAGACTCCATCTCAAAAACAACAACAACAACAACAAAAATGAAGGCAGCATGCAGCATGGAGAGGTACAGACCAGGGCTGCGGGGCCAGATGGCTGATCCAGATTCTAGCCCCGTTATCACCTACATGGGTGTGGGTGAGGAATTCTCTTCTCAGAGCCTCAGTTTCCTAATCTGTAATATGGGGCTGGCTGTGAGCATTCTCTGAGCGTTAGCAGAGTCTGCACATGACAACTGCTTAACAAATCAGAGCTGATGCAGTTGCCTCCTCCAGCTGATTCTAAGGACAGTTTACCTGCTTTTCCCACAAACAGAAGCAAAAGCCTCACTTCCACTTTCTGAAATCCAACCAAACCACCTTGGGGCTCTGGAAAAGATTCTGCCCCAGCTCCTCCCGGCTCTCGCCTTCCCCAGTGATCTGAAAATGATCATCATCGAAATTATCAGGAGCTCAGCAAATAATGAAGATTCCTGGGCCCCATCCCAGATTACACGCATCAGAATCCCCTGAGGCAGGGCCCAAGGATCTGCATTTGACTGAGCTGCCTGTGATGATGCTGATACACAATAACATTTGAGAAGGCCTGCTTCATTTATTGATTAAAAAAATTTTTTTTTGAGACGGAGTCTTGCTGTGTCACCCTTGTTGGTGTGTAGTGACGCAGTCTTGGCTCACTGCAATCTCCACCTCCCGGGTTCAAGTGATTCTCCTGCCTCAGCCTCTTGAGTAGCTGGGATTACAGGCGCCTGCCACCATGCCCGGCTACATTTTGTATTTTTAGTAGACACCGGGTTTCACCATGTTGTCTAGGCTGGTCTTGAACTCCTGATCTCAGGTGATCCGCCTCCCTCGGCCTCCCAAAGTGCTGGGATTATAGGTGTGAGCCACTGCGTCTGGCCCTTGAATTTTTTTTAAGGATTAAAATGATATAACACGCATCCCTGTCTCCCAATCCCATCCTCCAGTTTCAACTACCAGAAGCAACCACTGCTCCCACTTTCTTACGCATTCTTCTTTTTTTTTTTTTTTTTTTTTTTGAGACAGTCTCACTCTCTTGCCCAGGCTGGAATGCAGTGGCGTGATCTCACACCACTGCACTCCAGCCTAGGCACAGAGAGTGAAACTTCGTCTGAAAAAAGAAGAAAAACAAAACTAAAACAAACAAACAAAAAAACCCAAACAAAACTCCAGCCTTGTGGCCTGGGGGTAGGAGGAAGACCCCATGCATTCTCCTCGGTGTCTGAGAGCATGGGGTCAGCGTGCAAGCCATGCGGCCTGGCTGGTGGCAGCGAGGGCACTTCTATCCCGTCCTCACTGCTCGCCTCAGAGCTCACTACAACAGACATTTGAGCCAGGGTTGCATCAACAGGCTGGAGAAAGCCCAGAGCCTGGGTCATCAGCTCTGCAAATGAGGTCAGCTACACACCTCTGCATTTGAAGAACAACAAAAACCACCCAAGTCCTGACCCACGCCCACCCCTGCAAACGGGAGATCCTGTTTCAGCAGCTGCCTTATAAAGGGAACAGGAGGGAATGTCTTCCTCCTGAAAAGGGCAGGGAGAAGAACTCCTCTGTCTGGTTGCACTCTCCCTGGCCCTGTCTCCCCAAAGCTGGAGAACTGCAGACTTTTCTTTGCCTTTCAGTTTGTCCCTACCTGCATGTTTGGGGTGAGAGTCATGCGATGCGCAAGCTGGCTTATCGTGTGCACCCGTGGGAGTGTGTGGAGAGGGGTGCATGTCCTTCCTCGAGGAGCGTAGCCACCAGGGCACTTGCCTGTGGGGTTATCTGGCCTTGACTTGCCCCTGCAGAGATCTAAGCAGGTGTGGCTGGGCTGTGGCTCCGGGCAGGGTAGGAAGGTGGCAGGAGAAAAGGGCTGGGAACCGGAGACACCCGGGGCATGACTGGAGTCCTGAGGTTGAGCCATCTGGGATGTGGGTAGGGGTGGCCACACCCTCAGGTTCAGGGTTTAGGCCTGCCCAGAACTGTCCCCCACCAAGTGGAGAGAGAGCAAGCACGACTCAGGAAGGTGAGGGTGGGGACATCACTCGCATGCCCGTGTATTAATAGCTCGTGATGGCTTTCAGAGGCTGCAGAGTATAATGGAGACAGGCCGACCTGGATTTGAATTTTGCTTTGCTGCTTACTAGCTGTACAACTCTGCAAAGTGACTTGTTCACTCTGGGCCTCGGTTTTCTCGTCTACAAAGCAGAGATCACACCAGCCCTGGTGTGAGCCCAGCAAGGTCATATGTGAATATGGCACTCATCGTCACCCCATCTTGTGCCCTCCTCTTGGCTGAATCTGCTGCAGCCATGCAGGTCCTCTTTCTGGTCTGTCTCCAAGCTAAGGGCCTTTGCCCTCACCTTCGGGCCTTCCCGGACCACCCTATCCAATGTGGGTTATGTGCCCTTTACAGTCCTCACATCCAGTATCTTGGTGCCAGTGTCTCTCGAGCGCCTCCTATAGGCCAAGTACTGTCCCACGTGCCTTTTTTTTTTTTTTTTTTTTTTTTTCCTGAAACAGAGTCTCGCTCTGTCATCCAGGCTGGAGTGCAGTGGTGCAATCGGCTCACTGCAAACTCTGCCTCCTGGGTTCAAGTGATTCTTCTGCCTCAGCCTCCTGAATAGCTGGAACTACAGGCGCACGCTACCATGCCCGGCTAATTTTTGTATTTTTAGTAGAGACGGGGTTTCACCATATTGGCCAGGCTGGTCTCAAACTCCTGACCTCATGATCCACCCGCCTTGGCCTCCGAAAGTGCTGGGATTACAGGCATGAGCCACCAAGCCTGGCTTTTTTTTTTTTTTTTTTTTTTTTGAGAAAGCTTGAGTGCAGTGGTGTGATCACAGCTCACTGCAGTCTCAACCTCCTATCTCACCCTGAGTAGCTGAGACTACATGCATGTGCCATCACACCTAGCTGATTTTTAAAAATTTGGGCTGGGTGCAGTGGCTCATGCCTGTAATCCTAGCACTCTGGGAGGTCGAGGCGGGCAGATCACATGAGGTCAGGAGTTTGAGACCAGCCTGGCCAATAAGGTGAAACCCCGTCTCTGCTAAAAATACAAAAATTAGCTGGGTGTGGTGGTGCATGCCTGTAGTCCCAGCTACTCGGGAGGATGAGGCAGAAGAATCGCTTGAACACAGGAGGCGGAGCTTGCAGTGAGCTAAGATCATGCCACTGCACTGCAGTCTGGGCAACAAGAGTGAAACTCAGTCTCAAAAAAAAAAAAAATTTGTTGTAGTGGCGAGGTCTTGCTATGTTGCCTAGGCTGGTCTCGAACTGCTGGGCTCAAGTGATCTTCTGGCCTCGGCCTCCAAAAGTGCTGAGAGCCACCAGCACTCCACAGTCACAAATTCACTGGGTCTGGCCTGTCCTACGTGCTTTACAAGTTGGATCTCCTTCAACTTCACAAACGCTCTTGTGGAAAGGACGTTATTGTCCTTGTTTTACAAATGAGGAAACCGGGCACAGGGTGGTAAGGCCACTTCCCTAGGGTCAAAGGTAACAAGGGGAAGAGCTGGGATTCAAACCTAGACAGCCTGCCTCTCCTGCTATGCTCTCCTGCCTCCCCACTCTGTGATATAAAATCATCTCATTCATTTACTTGTTTACTGTTTGTCTCCCCTGACCCATTGGGGCCTCACTCCATGAGGCCAAGGCCTTGGCTGTCCTCTGTGCACTGTTTCCAGAGCTGAGAACATGGTGCGTCTCTCTCATTGGTCACTTCTGGAGGTTGCTAGGGACCAACTCATTATTCTGAAAACTGTATTTATCTTGTCTTCTCTGTACAAATTATACCTCAGGGTAACTAAACGGTTACTGAAAGAAAGCTCTTTTTAGAAGCATTCCAGCCAATATATGAAGAAGGAATGACAGAATGAAGATGGCACTCGTCTGCAAACCGTCATGAAATGATGGATCTAGGCAGGGCCTAGCAGTGGCTGCTGGGCTGTGAAACAGGACTGGAGGGGACATGTGGTGATGGCCAGGTGCCGCTGTCTGAAGCCTCTGCTTGCCCCTAGTGTCACTTGCAGGGGGAGACCAGGCACGCAGTGCCTTCTCACAGATGCATACCTAGGAGTGCTGCGGCCGAAAGACATCCCATTGGGGCCTAAGCAAGCTTCCATCTTTGACTCTAGTTTACAGAAAATACCAGTGGTGGAGCAATAGGCTAAAGGACACCATGGGGAGGCCGCCAGCTAAAGCCAGGAAGGGGGAAGCTCTAAGGACAGGTGACCTGGTTTCTTTCCAAAATAAACTGCAAGGAAAAGGCCAGGCGCGGTGGCTCACATCTGTAATCCCAGCACTTTGGGTGGCTGAGGTGGGTGGAACACCTGAAGTCAGGAGTTCAAGACCAGCCTGGCCAACATGGTGAAACCCCAGCTCTACTAAAAATATGAAATTTAGCCAGGTGTGGTGCTACATGCCTGTAATCCCAGCTACTCAGGAGGCTGACACAGGAGAATCGCTGGAACCCAGGAGGCGGAGGTTGCAGTGAGCCAAGATTGCGCCACTGCACTCCAGCCTGGGTGACAGAGCAAGACTCTGTCTCAAAGCAAAAAAAAAAAGAGCCTCAAGAGATACATGAATCAAATGCAATAGGAGAATTCTTTTTTTCTTTTTTTTTTTTTTTGAGACGTAGCTTCATTCTTGTTGCCCAGGCTGGAGTGCAATGGCACGATCTCAGCTCACCGCAACCTCTGCCTCCCGGGTTCAAGCAATTCTCCTGCCTCAGCCTCCCGAGTAGCTGGGATTACAGGCATGCGCCACCACGCCCAGCTAATTTTGTATTTTTAGTAGAGACAGTGTTTCTCCACATTGGTCAGGCTGGTCTTGGACTCCAGCCTGGTTCAGGCTGGTCTTGAACTCCCGCCTGGTGATCCGCCCGCCTCGGCCTCCCGAAGTGCTGAGGTTACAGGTGTGAGCCACCACACCCGGCCAATAGGAGAATTCTGATGAACAACTGTTTAAAAAACAAAGAGATGAGGTCTCCCTCTGTTGCCCAGGCTGGAGTGCAGTGGCACAATCATGGCTCCCTGCAGCCTCAACTTCCTAGGCTCAAGTGATTTTCCCACCTCAGCCTGAAAATAGCTGGGGCTACAACTGCACTGTTTTTTTTTTCTCCTTTAGGCAGAGATGCAGAGATGCAGAGACGGGGTCTCACTGTGTTGGCCAGGCTGGTCTTGAACTCCTGGCCTCAAGTGATCTTCCCACCTCAGCCTCCCAGAGTGTTACGATTACAGGTGTGAACCCAGTCTAGATAGTTGACACTACGAAATTGCTGTTGGCTGGACGCAGTGGCTCACGCCTGTTAACTCCAGCACTTTGGGAGGCCGAGGCACGTGGATCACGAGGACAAGAGATTGAGACCATCCTGGACAACATGGTGAAACCCCGTGTCTACTAAAAATACAAAAATTAGCTGGGCGTGGTGGCACGTGCCTGTAGTCCCAGCTACTCGGGAGGCTGAGGCAGGAGAATCGCTTGAACCCGGGAGGTGGAGGTTGCAGTGAGTTGAGATCACGCCACTGCACTTCAGCCTGGGCGACAGAGCGAGACTCCATCTAAAAAAACAAAAAACAAAAACAACAAAAGAAAAAACAAAACAAAATAAATAAGTCACCTACCAGCTTCCCACTGAGCATGGAATAAAACCCAAGCATGGAATAAAACCCATGAAGCCCACACCGCCTGCCTGGTCACCTCTCTGTCCTTTGCTCTCAGCTCTCACTCCTGCTCGCTCTGCTCCAGCCACATGGGCCTCCCCGTACTCCAGGAACACATCACCCATGTACACTGGGGAGGCTGTGCCCTGGCCAGCTCCTGTCTGGAGCCCGCTGGCCAGAAAACCACATGGCTGCCTCCCTGTGGAGCCTCGTGGAGCCTTCTCTGCCCGCCTTGTAAGCAGCTCTCCCATCGTGCTGCAGCCCCTTCATTACCCTGCTTTAATTTCCTTCTGAGACTTAGTACTACCTGATCCGGTATGACACACCTATTTCTTCACGGCCTGTCTTTCCCTGTAGAACACAAACCGCAAGGGAGCAGGCACTTTGTTGTGGTCACTTTGAACAGAGCTTGCACACAGTAGGGGCTCAATAAACACATTTTGAACAAATGAATGAAGTGTGGGGGGCCCACAGGCAAGCAACTATTAACATCCTGTGCTTCATGTAGGAAATGGGAAGAATGAGGCTCTCCCCTCACAGGGCAACTGTGGAGATTAAATGCGATCATGCACGTATGAAGGGCTAAACCAATAACTGGCATACAGTAAGCGCTCTGTAGATGTGCCCTCCCCGTCCTGTCACTGTTGCCACTATTCCTGCCTAGAAGGGCCTGCCTATCCCCCCTCTATTGGGACCTCAAGTGACAGTGCCAGGGAGGCCTCATGCCAGCGATCTGGGAGCTGCCACCCACCACCTGGCTGAAAGGTGGAGGCCCTTACCTCCGGGGAGTGCCGTCCTCAAAAGGCGGGATGATGACCACCTTCACAGTGACAGAGGTGCGCAGCAGGTCGATCATCTGGTCGTGGGTCAGTGTGACCACGGCCACCTTGCAGATCTCCACTAGTCGGCTGCCCTGCCGGAGGCCGGCCTGCCAGGCGAACCCATAGTCCTCAACCTCGGCCACCGTGCCGTCGTACTTCACGTGGAAGCCCAGCTGCCCGAGCCCGTTCCGCCGAAGCGTCATGTCCACCGTCTCCCAGCCACTGGTCATCACCTGCAGGCCACAGGCAGGATCGAGCCTCAGAAGCTGCTTGGGTCAGCTCCTCTGGAAGACCCCTGGTCACGTTCCCCGCTTTGAAGCCAAAAACCTGCCAACTCCCATCTATTAATACCTTCCCGGGTGATGGCAGGGGACCCGCAGGGGGAACACGCACCCGGTCCCAGCCTGGCTTCCTGATTTCTGGAGGGGAAATGTGGATATGCGACCCCGTGGCTTCTAACCTTGCAGAGACCATGGCAGTCATGAGCTGTGGCTCCAAAGGCCCCGAACTCCCTCCTTCCTGGGGTCAGTGGGATTGCACTTCTTGGCTCCCTTGTGGTTGGGTGGGGCCCTGGGACTTGTTTTGGCCAAAGAGTTGCGAGTGGCACTGCCATGTCCTCTGGGCTGTGGTATTTATTTCATCATTTTATTATTTATTTATTTTTGAGACGGAGACTTGCTCTGTCGCCCAGGCTGAAGTGCAGCGGCATGATCTCAGCTCACTGCAACGTCTGCTTCCTGGGTTCAAGCGATTCTCCTGCCTCAGCCTCCTGAGTAGCTGGGATTACAAGCGTCTGCTACCACGCCTGGCTAATTTTTGTATTTTTAGTAGAGACAGGGTTTTGCCATATTGGCCAGGCTAGTCTTGAACTCCTGACCTCAGATGATCCACCTGCCTCAGCCTCCCAAAGTGCTAGGATTACAGGTGAGAGCCACCACACCCAGCCAAACCTGCTTTAAGCCACTAATACTGTATCCTGACTGACACAATGACTCTAACTAAAATACACAAGGAAGCATGAGACCAGAAGTACTGGGACCTTTTCTAGGTTGGGAACTCACATTATATTCTTTTACTTCGTGACACCATTCTTTTTTTTTTTTTTTGAGACAGAGTCTCGCTCTGTCGCCCAGGCTGGAGTGCAGTGGCGTGATCTCGGCTCACTGCAACCTCCGCCTCCCGGGTTCAAGCAAGTATCCTGCCTCAGCCTCCCCAGTAGCAGGGATTACAGGCACGCGCCACCATGCCCGGCTAGTTTTTTGTATTTTTAGTAGAGACGGGGTTTCACCATATTGGTCAGGCTGGTCTCGAACTCCTGACCTCATGATCTGCCCGCCTCGGCCTCCCAAAGTGCTGGGATTACAGGCGTGAGCCACCATGCCCGGCCTCGTGACACCATTCTTGGAGGAAGAAACCCTTTCCCCATCTCCTCCTCAGACCTTCCCCCAACATGGAGCTGATCGGACCACGCAGGGCCTGGCCTCCAGGACTCCCTGCTTCACTGGGTGAGATATTCCCCTGGATAATGTGTTACCATAAGATCTGAGGACCTGCTGAATAGAGCCCTGCCCCCTCCCCCCAGCATGCTGTTAAGCGATCCCCTCTTCTTGGGATAAAAACAAGATGAATGTAACCAGCCATGGCTATTAAGCAAGTTGTCAAGAATGCCTGCCCTTTCCTAAAACTGCGTTATGGAAAGATAACGGAATGGCTTACATTTCCTGTGAGAAGTCATCCCCTGGCTAGAAATGATGCTATGTAACATACCTATCAGGATGCCCGCTTTCATACTTTTCTCACCACCACTTGAAGAAAGGAATAAATTTTTTTTTTTTTAAGACGGAGTCTCGCTGTCGCCCAGGCTGGAGTGCAGTGGCCCGATCTCAGCTCACTGCCACCTCCGCCTCCCTGGTTCAAGCAATTCTCCTGTCTCAGCCTCCCGAGTAGGTGG
Source organism: Homo sapiens (assembly GCF_000001405.40). NCBI lineage: Eukaryota > Metazoa > Chordata > Mammalia > Primates > Hominidae > Homo > Homo sapiens. The sequence goes on along the minus strand of NC_000019.10, from coordinate 38,128,779 downwards.
GATTACAGGCATCTGCCACCACACCCAGCTAATTTTGGTACTTTTAGTAGAGATGGGGTTTTACCATGTTGGCCAGGCTGGTCTCGAACTCCTGACCTCAAGTGATTCACCTGTCTCGGCCTCCCAAAGTGCTGGGATTACAGGCGTGAGCCACTGCGCCCGGCCAAGGAAAGAAATAATTTTATGTCACAAACTACTCTACAAATTCGTGTTTTAGAAATAATTTTACGTCACAAACTACTCTACACATTCGTGTTTTACACACATGCCCACAGACACAAATATTCCTTGCAATTCAAATCCGTCACATTCTTGAGTGTGGATAGCAAGAAGTAAGCATTTGGATGGTAAAGTACTTACCTGAAAATGTCACTGAATCTGTTTGGTTCCTGATTTGGACGGCGAGAATTTGGAAAGTGGGGGAAACGTGTGACCAAAACAATGCTTCATAAAATAGTCTTATCTTTACTCACTGAGGCACACTGTGACACTTTTTATTCTTTCCCATCCTATTACTACGGCAGAACCCTCATGAAGGGGATCAGTGCCCATATAAAAGAGGCCTGACGTGGTGGTATACGCCTGTAATCCCAGCTACTCAGGGGGCTGACACAGGAGAATCGCTTGAACACAGGAGGCAGAGGTTGCAGTGAGCCGAGATCACGCTACTGCACTCCAGCCTGGGCGACAGAGCGAGACTGTCTCAAAAAAAAAAAAAAAAAAAAAAAAAAAAGAGGCCCAAGGAACTTGTTCACCTCTTCCACCATGACAGCAAGAAGGTGCCATCCGTGAAGTTGAAAGGGGCCCTCACCAGATACAGAACCTGCGGGTACCTTTATCTTGGACTTCCTGGCCTCCAGAAATGCGAAGAAATAAATTGCTTTTGCTTATAAGCTACCCCACCTAAGCTATGTTGTTATATTCAGGCTAAGTGGACTAAGATATCTAACCTTTAACACTGTTGCAACTCGGGCTGAGTGCAGTGCCTCACACCTGTAATCTCTGTAATCTCAACACTTTTAGGAGGCCAAGGCAGGAGGACTGCTTGAGCCCAGGAGTTCAAGATGAGCCTGGGCAATATAGCAAGACTTCATCTCTACTAAAAATAAAATAAAAAAAAAATTAGCTGAGCATGGTGGCATACGCTTGCAGTCCCAGCTACTTGGGAGGCTGAGGTGGGAGGCAGGCTTGAGCCCAGGAGAGTGACACTGCAGTGAGCGATGACTGTGCCACTGCACTCCAGCCGGGGTGACACCAAGACCTTGTCTTTAAAAATTAAAGTTAAAATTAAAAATAAAAAAAATTACATCTCTGTGATTGATTTTATAGCCCACTCATGGGTGACAATGTGTTTATTTGACAATAAGGAATTATCGTTAATTTTTTATTTTATGTATGATGGCTATGTTATGTTTTAAGAGTTGTATCTTTTAGAAATAAATATTGAAAAATTTACAGATGAAATGATAAGATGTCTAGGATTTCTTCAAAATAATTGGGAAAGAGAGGGAAGGAAGAAAGAACAAGATCAGCCATGGGTCAGTAACTATTGTAGATGGTAATGAAGACTGGGGTTCTCTTTTTTTTGAGACGGAGTTTCGCTCTTGTTGCCCAGGCTGGAGTGCAATGGCACAATCTTGGCTCATCGCAACCTCCGCTTCCTGGATTCAAGCAATTCTCCTGCCTCAGCCTCCCAAGTAGCTGGGATCACAGGCATGCGCCACCACACCCAGCTAATTTTGTATTTTTAGTAGAGACGGGGTTTCTCCATGTCGGTCAGGCTGGTGTCGAAATCCTGACCTCTGGTGATCCAACTGCCTTGGCCTCCCAAAGTGCTGGGATTACAGGTGTGAGCCACTGCAGCCGGCCAAGACTGGGGTTCTTATATGATTCCCTTTGCTTTAGTGTATGCTTGCAATTTTCTATAATTAAAAAGTAAAATTGGGCCGGGCACAGTGGCTCATGCCTGCAATTCCAGCACTTTGGGAGGCTGAGGTGGGCAGATCACCTCAGGTCAGGAGTTCAAGACCGGCCTGGGCAACATGGTGAAACCCCGTCTCTACTAAAAATACAAAATTAGCTGGGCATGGTGGTGCACATCTGTAATCCCAGCTACTTGGGAGGCTGAGGCAGGAGAATCGCTTGAACCGGGGAGGCGGAGGTTGCAGTGAGCTGAGATTGCACCATGGCACTCCAGCCTAGGCAACAGAGAGAGACTGTCTTAAAGAAAAAAAAAAAGAATTGTCTTGGGCCTCACATGAAATACACTAACATTAATGATAGCTGATAAGCTTAAAAAAATCACAAAAAAACTCACAATGTCATAATGTTTTAAGAAACTTTATGAATCTGTGTTGGGTGCCATTCAAAGCCCTCTTGGGCTGCAGGTTGGACAAGCTTGCTCTAAATGTTAAACTGTGGTAACTAACTAAATACATCTGGGACTGTATCCAACCTGTGGATTTGAGACCTTCTCCTTGTCTGATTTAGCACCATCTGATAGGTTCTCCTGGCATCCTCCACACCCCCCTTTTAAGCTCTTGGCACTTCAATTGCGTGGTGTTTTTTTTTGTTTTGTTTTGTTTTTGTTTTTGTTTTTGAGATGGAGCCTCACTCTGTCACCAGGCTGGAGTGCTGGAGTGCAGTGGTGCAATCTCGGCTCACTGCAACCTCCGCCTCCCGGGTTCACGCCATTCTTCTGCCTCAGCCTCCTGAGTAGCTGGGACTACAGGAGCCCGCCACCACGCCCGGCTAATTTTTTCGTATGTTTAGTAGAGATGGGGTTTCACCATGTTGGCCAGGATGGTCTCGATCTCTTGACCTGGTGATCCACCCGCCTCGGCCTTCCAAAGTGCTGGGATTACAGGCGTGAGCCACCGCGCTTGGCCGAATTGCGTGTTTAATATCTGTCCCAGAGAGGAGCACCATGAAAGTAGGCCTGGGTCTGTTATGGTCATCACTATGTCCCAGCACTGGCCAGGCCAAGGCCAGGCGCATAACAACACTCATTCAATTAACCAGTGATGGGATACCGTTAGTTCAGGATGTCTGGGGCAGTTGAGTCAGCCTGCCGGGGAGAGTGTGGAATCTGTACCCTGTGGGTGCTTCACAAAGAGAGAGACTCACTGTCACAAGTCATTCAAAACGGGCCTGCCCCTCCACGGGAGATGGCTTATGTCACCATTCCCTGGCCCACTGGTTCCCCAGCAGGCTCTGGGGCACTGAGACTGGGGGTGGGGGTGGGGGTATGGCTGTGGAAATATGCTCCAAAAGGACTCCGCCAACAGTAGGCACGGGGGTGGGTGTGGGACAGAGTGGCACAGTGAGGATGTGGGTAAAACATGTCACCTGGCATGGTGCCTGGCATGGTCCCTGCTCAAGAAACGCGAGCTGCTGTCAAGATTAGGGGAGGCGGAGTAGCCTAGTGTTTAAGAACCCAGGCTTGGCCGGGCACAGTGGCTCAGGCCTGTAATTCTAGCACTTTGGGAGGCCAGGGAGGGTGGATCACTTGAGGCCAGGAGTTCGAGACTAGCCTGGCCAACATGGCGAAACCCTATCTCTATTAAAAAGGCAAAAATTAGCTGAGCATGGTGGCGGGCGCCTGTAGTCCCAGCTACCTGGGGGGCTGAGACAGGAGAAATGCTTGAACCCGGGAGGTGGAGGTTGCAGTGAGCCGAGATCGCTCTGCTGCACTCCAGCCTGGGGGACAGAGCAAGACTCCATCTCAAAAAACAAAACAGCTCCCTCTCCCTCTCCCTCTCCCCACGGTCTCCCTCTCCCTCTCTTTCCACAGTCTCCCTCTGATCCCGAGCCGAAGCTGGACTGTACTGCTGCCATCTCGGCTCACTGCAACCTCCCTGCCTGATTCTCCTGCCTCAGCCTGCGGAGTGCCTGCGATTGCAGGCGCGCGCCGCCACACCTGACTGGTTTTCGTATTTTTTTGGTGGAGACGGGGTTTCGCTGTGATGGCCGGGCTGGTCTCCAGCTCCTAACCGCGAGTGATCCGCCAGCCTCAGCCTCCCGAGGTGCCGGGATTGCAGACGGAGTCTGGTTCACTCAGTGCTCAATGGTGCCCAGGCTGGAGTGCAGTGGCGTGATCTCGGCTTGCTACAACCTCCACCTCCCAGCCGCCTGCCTTGGCCTCCCAAAGTGCCAAGAGTGCAGCCTCTGCCCGGCCGCCACCCCGTCTGGGAAGTGAGGAGCGTCTCTGCCTGGCCGCCCATCGTCTGGGACGTGAGGAGCCCCTCTGCCTGGCTGCCCAGTCTGGAAAGTGAGGAGCGTCTCTGCCCGGCTGCCATCCCATCTAGGAAGTGAGGAGCGCCTCTTCCCGGCCGCCATCCCATCTAGGAAGTGAGGAACGTCTCTGCCCGGCCGCCCATCGTCTGAGATGTGGGGAGCGCCTCTGCCCCGCCACCCCGTCTGGGATGTGAGGAGCGCCTCTGCCTGGCCGCGACCCCGTCTGGGAGGTGAGGAGCGTCTCTGCCCGGCCGCCCCGTCTGAGAAGTGAGGAGACCCTCCGCCTGGCAACCGCCCCATCTGAGAAGTGAGGAGCCCCTCCGCCCGGCAGCTGCCCCGTCTGAGAAGTGAGGAGACCCTCCGCCCAGCAACCACCCCGTCTGGGAAGTGAGGAGCGTCTCCGCCCGGCAGCCACCCCGTCCGGGAGGGAGGTGGGGGGTCAGCCCCCCGCCCGGCCAGCCGCCCCGTCCGGGAGGTGAGGGGCGCCTCTGCCCAGCCGCCCCTACTGGGAGGTGAGGAGCCCCTCTGCCCGGCCATCCGCCCCGTCCGGGAGGGAGGTGGGGGGGGGTTGGCCCCCCGCCCGGCCAGCCACCCCGTCCGGGAGGTGAGGGGCGCCTCTGCCCGGCCGCCCCTACTGGGAAGTGAGGAGCCCCTCTGCCCGGCCAGCCGCCCTGTCCGGGAGGTGAGGGGCGCCTCTGCCCGGCCACCCCTACTGGGAAGTGAGGAGCCCCTCTGCCCGGCCGCCACCCCGTCTGGGAGGTGTACCCATCAGCTCATTGAGAACGGGCCATGATGACAATGGCGGTTTTGTGGAATAGAAAGGGGGGAAAGGTGGGGAAAAGATTGAGAAATCGGATGGTTGCCGTGTCTGTGTAGAAAGAAATAGACATGGGAAACTTTTCATTTTGTTCTGTACTAAGAAAAATTCTTCGGCCTTGGGATCCTGTTGATCTGTGACCTTACCCCCAACCCTGTGCTCTCTGAAACATGTGCTGTGTCCACTCAGGGTTAATGGATTAAGGGCGGTGCAAGATGTGCTTTGTTAAACAGATGCTTGAAGGCAGCATGCTCCTTAAGAGTCATCACCACTCCCTAATCTCAAGTACCCAGGGACACAAACACTGCGGAAGGCCGCAGGGTCCTCTGCCTAGGAAAACCAGAGACCTTTGTTCACTTGTTTATCTGCTGACCTTCCCTCCACTATTGTCCTATGACCCTGCCAAATCCCCCTCTGTGAGAAACACCCAAGAATGATCAATTAAAAAAAAAACAAAAAAAACAAAAAAAAAACTCCAAAACCCAGGCTCTTTGGGCTCTGGGCAAGTCAAGGTATCTCTGGGCCTCAGTTTCCTCATCTGCGAAGTGAGGACCTCATCAGGCTTTTGTGAGCAAGAGACGCAAGACCACCCAAGGTGCTGAGCAGGGTCTGACGCAGAGCTGGCGCCCATTTGATCCTCACTATTGCGGCCACTATAGCATACGACGCATTTGTGCCTGCACTCGGTTCCTGCTCACTCAGCGGCTACTGTGCACCAGATGCTGGCCCAGGTGCTGAGGACACGGCAGTGAACAGATAACACACAGTGCATGGCAGATGGTGGTTAAGCAGGCAAAGCGCGTGAATGTGCTCCAAGCCAGGGGAGGGGGTGTGCAATCTTAGATAACGAGGCCTCACCGACAAGGCGACATGTGACCAAAGGCCTGTAGGAGGAAAGGGAGCGAGCCATGTGGTGATCAGAGAAGTGTTCCAGCAAGAGGTGGTACAAAGGCCCTGAGGCTGGACGCCGCCCTAGCATGCGCATGAAACCTCAGAGGTCTTCATGGCTGGGGCAGAGAGCGCAACAGTGACATGAGGTCAGAGAAGTCGACAGGGAGCCAGTTCACACCCGGCCTCATGGGCTTCTGTAAGGACTGAGGCTTTAACCTAGAGTGACCTGAGGGTTTAGGCAGAGAGGTGATGTGATCAGATTGCTCTCACTACCACGTCGAGAACAGGCCACAGAGAAGCAAGGGCAGGGGTAAGAAGGACCAGAAAGGACACCATCGAAAGTGTCCGGGAGAGACCAGGGTGGCTCGCTCCAGGGTGAGGGCTCTGGGAGAGGTGGCTGATGCCTGCCTACAGAAGTGGAGCTGACGAATGTGGGCATGAGAGAGAGTGGAGCCCAGGCTGATGCCAAAGCTCTGACATCCGCAAATGGAGGGATGGAGTCGACCTTTTTTTCCCTAAAACCTTATTTGAGTAGAGGACTTCTATTTTACAAAGTCAGGAAACCTCTGAGAGGGGTGGGGAGGAACACAGGAGTTTGCTTTTGTTTGTTTTTTTGAGACAGAGTTTTGCTCTGTCACCCACGTTGGAGTGCAGTGGCTCACTCTCAGCTCACTGCAACCTCTGCCTCTCGGATTCAAGCAATTCTTTTCCCTCGGCCTCCCGAGTAGCTGGGATTACAGGTGTGTGCCACCACGCCTGGCTAATTTTTGTATTTTTAGTAGAGATGAGGTTTTACCATGTTGGCCAGGCTGGTCTTGAACCCCTGACCTGAAATAATCCATCCACCTCGGCCTCCCCAAGTGCTGGGATTACAGGTGTGAGCCACCGCGCCTGGCCACTTTTTCATTTTTTTTTTTGAGTCCGGGTCTTTCTCTGTTGCCGAGGTTCGAGTGCAGTGGTGTGATCATAGCTCACTGCAGCCTCAAACTCCTGGGCTCAAGTGATCATCCCACTCAGCCTCCTGAATAGTTGAGGCCACAAGTGTGCACCACCATGCCCAGCTAATTTATTTTTTGTTTGTTTATTTATTTTTTTTTGAGACGGAGTCTCGCTCTGTCACCCAAGCTGGAGTGCAGTGGCAGGGTCTCGGCTCACTGCAACCTCCGCCTCCCAGGTTCACGCCATTCTCCTGCCTCAGCCTCCCGAGTAGCTGGGACTACAGGCACCCGCCACCATGCCTGGCTAATTTTTGTATTTTTAATAGAGACGGGGTTTCACTGTGTTAGCCAGGATGGTCTCAATCTCCTGACCTTGTGATCTGCCCACCTCGGCCTCCCAAAGTGCTGGGATTACAGGCGTGAGCCACCACGCCCGGCCTATTTTTTATTTTTATTTTTTGAGACAGAGTCTAGCACTGTCACCCAGGCTGGAGCGCAGTGGCGTGATCTCAGCTCACTGCAAGCCTCGCCTTCCGGGTTCACACCATTCTCCTGCCTCAGCCTCCCAAGTAGCCGGGACTACAGGCGCCCACCACCATGCCTGGCTAATTTTTTGTATTTTTAGTAGAGATGGGGTTTCACCGTATTAGCCAGGATGGTCTTGATCTCCTGACCTCATGATCTACCTGCCTCGGCTAATTTATTTTTTTATTTTTTTTTTAGAAACGGCATCTCACTGTATTGCCCAGGCTGGTCTCAAACTCCTGGGCTCAAGCAATCCTTTCTCCTCGGCCTCCCAAAGTGTTGGGATTATAGGCATGAGCCACTGCACCCAGCAATGCAGAATGATTCTTGTACCTGCTTTTCAGATGAAGAAACTGAATCACAAAGAAGCTAAATAACTTGGCTCAAGGTCATGCAGCTGGTAAGTGGCAGTGCTGGGACTTGAAGCCAGGCCTTCTGACTAGATCTTGTGCTCTGAACTGCCGTGTTATATGCTATCTCTATTTAGCACACATGGCACGGCGTTCTGCCAAACCCACTGCAGAGGCAATCACTGACCACAGTGTTCTTTCTTGTGGAGCTTAGATGGGGCCTGAGTACTTCTCAGCACAATGCTTCAGGCAGACAGCAGCTAAGCTATCACCAATCTGCCACTCTTGGTTTGTCCACGAGGGGTTTAGGGGAAGATTTCTACCTAGACTGTGAGTCTTTGTCTTTTAATAGGGCAAGTTAAACCATTCACATTTACTGTGATTACTAACATGGAACTCATTCCTGCCATGTAATTTTATGTTCCTTTGTGCTTTCTTGTATTTTTTCCTCCTCTCACCTCTGCCCTATCCATTAATGGTTTGGACATTTTTCATTCTATTTTAATTATTTTAGAAAGTACTCTTACACTTCTTTTTTTTTGTTTGTTTTTGAGACAGGGTCTCATACTGTTGCCCAGGCTGAAGTGCAGTGGCGTCATCTCAGCTCACTGTGGCCTCAACCTCTTGGGCTCAAACAATCCTCCCACCTCAGCCTCCCAAGTAGCTGGGACCACAGGCATGTACCACCATGCTTCCCTAATTTTCTTTTCTTTTTTTTTTTTTTGTAGGCAGAGTCTCACTATGGTTACCCAGGTTGGTCTGGAAATTCCTGGGCTCAAGCGATCCACCACCTCAGCCTCCTAAAGTGCTGAGATAGATTACAGGTATGAGCCATGGCGCCTGGCCTACATTTTTAACCTAAGCTTAAATTTATACTTTCTATCAGTGTCCAAGGTTAATAAGTATCTCTTGTCTTTCCAAGGTAATAGCATGAAGATCCACAGATCTCTGGCACAAACCTTCCAGAGGAAGAACCTAGCTACAGAACCCACAAGATGTCTAGTTTGTAAGTGACAACTGTGATTCTCTCCGGGCCAGTGCGTGTCTTAGCCTAACTGACTGGGCTAGGGAAGTATTTCAGTGGTTCCTGAGGCCGAAACCATACAAATCGCCGCCCTATCGCCGGGCTCTCTCCCTTACCTTCAGTCTCTGCACTATCTCCCTTATGTCCTCCACAGAACCCTCTGTCGCCTGTAGGAAGATGTGGTCTCCTCGTCCATAGAAGATTTTGAGTGTGGAGGAGTCTGGAGTCCAGCCAATGACATCCCCGCAGTAGCAGTTGAACACCACCTCCTTGGTGCGTAAGTCCAGGAGCACCACAAACTCATTGGAAATTCCCAAAATGCAGTCGATTTCCACCCCCTGGGCGTAGTCCTGGGCCACCACCCTCCAGGCGATGGCCCCTGCACTGTGCTGCTCAGCGCCAGCCCGTGCTTTTGTCTTTTCCTTCTTCTTGGAGGTCAGGGAGATGAGGTTGAATTTGCCGGTGGAGTCGATGGGGGTGTTGGAGACACAGTTTTCGGCCAGGTCCTTGAGATACTCCTGGCGGGTCCTGGTGGCCATGGTGTGGAACTTGTCGGACTTGTGCGCGGCGTTCTCAGCGTTAATCACCTTGGCCAGCAAGAAGTCTCTGAAGACGTCGGATTTGCGGAATGTGGTTCCACTGGGGATGGGGGGGCCGAAAGGAGGAGCGTCTTTGGATCGGGTCACAGCCATACTGTGGAGGGAGAGATTATTTAGATGGTGGGAAGAAAGGCACTAAGACACTTCAGAGAGAAAATATTCGATCAAAAAATAGGAATAGGGTTTTTTGTTTGTTTGTTTTATCGAGACAGGTCTCACTCTGTCACCCAGGCTGGAGTGCAATGGTGCAATCATAGCGCACTGCAGCTTTGACCTCCTGTCCTCAAGCAATCCTCCTGCCTCAGCCTCCCAAGTAGCTGGGACTACAGGCTTATACCACCATGCCCAGCCAATTTTGTTTATTTTTTGTAGAGACGAGGTCTCACTATGTTGCCCAGGCTGGTCTCAAACTCCTGGGCTCAAGCCATCCTACCTCCTGGGCTTCCCAAAGTGTTGGGATTACAGCTGTGAGCCACCACACGCGGCCAGTTTCCTTCTGAAGAATGAAAGTCCACATCTAATTAGTAAGTTGCTGGCTAACCAGATTCGAAATCTAATAAAAAGTCGGCTGGGCGCAGTGGCTCATACCTGTAATCCCAGCACTTTGGGAGGCTGAGGCGGGCAGATCACCTGAGGTCAGGAGTTCGAGACCAGCCTGACCAATATGGTAAAGCCCCGTCTGTACTAAAAATACAAAAATTAGCTGGGCGTGGTGGTGGGTGCCTGTAGTCCCAGCTACTTGGGAGGCTGAGACAGGAGAACGGCGTGAACCTGGGAGGCGGAGGTTGCAGTGAGCCAAGATGGCGCCACTGCACTCCAGCCTGGGGCACAGATCGAGACTGTCTCAAAAAAAAAAGTGTTAGGGCACATACACATTTTCTATAAAGCAGATGTCTGAACATCCTCTGACATCAAAGGGTAATCCTCCAAGGACTGTTCACTTATTCCTGTTTTAAATACATAGACCGTGTGGCAGATCTTACAGTTTGGCAAAAACCTACTCCCTCAGGGCAGTGGCGCAATCTCGGCTCACAGCAACCTCTGTCTCCTGGGTTCAGGCGATTCTCCTGTCTCTGCCTCCCCAGTAGCTGGGATTACAGGCGCCCACCACCACGCCTGGGTAATTTTGTATTTTTTGTAAGCCAGAAAGAAACATTAACGTTTGTCACTGAGCCCTTGGGTGGTTTGTTATACGGCTTTATTGTAGGAATAGCTGACTGATGTAGAATGTTTATGAGTTTTAGTTCTTTTGAACACTTGTGTTACACAAGTATACCTTGTAAGTCATCTTAACAAAGGTTATTTTGAAAATTCATTGCATTCCTCTGGTAGATGCTGAGGTTTAAAGAAGAAAAAAAATTAATAAAGGAAGTTCATTGTAACAGGAAGTTTTGATGGAGGCGCTATCAAAATCTGATAGCAACTCAGGAGAGCGTAAAGAGAAAATGAGGCTGGGTGTGGTGGCACAGGCCTGTAGTCCCAGCTACTCGGGAGGCTGAGGCAGGAGAATCACTTGAATCTAGGAGGCGGAGGTTGCAGTGAGCCAAGAATGTGCCACTGCACTCCAGGCTGGGCAACAGAGAGAGACCCTGTGTCAAAAAAAAAGAGAAAATGATCTGAAGACTCTGTTCCCCCAAGCTCTTATACCACATTTCCCACTATTTAAACTATGGAGAGAGAAAAGGAACTTGTGGAGAAAGCTGGTGGGTGAGCCCCATTCTCTCCCTTCCCCACCCCGCAGCAGGAGGGACCCCATAGGTAATGCTCTTTTTTTTTTTTCTGAGATGGAGTATCACTCTGTAGCTCAGGCTGGAGTACAATGGCACAATCTCGGCTCACCACAACCTCCGCCTCCCGGGGTCAAGCAATTCTCCTGCCTCATCCTCCCAAGTAGCTGGGATTACAGGCACCTGCTACAACGCCTGGCTAATTTTGTATTTTTAGTAGAGACAGGGTTTCGCCATGTTGGTCAGGCTGGTCTTGAACTACTGACCTCAAGTGATCTACCCACCCTGGCCTCCCAAAGTGCTGGGATTACAGGCATGAACCACTGCGCCCAGCCCCTAGGTGATCCTTATAGCAGCGAGCGGACTGGGATCTGTCTCCTGCCTGTGCAGGAAGCCCCTGAAGAGCCCGGCGAGCAGCCAGCCAGCTCCAGCCACAGTCCACATGGCACTTCCCTGCCTCCCTTTTCCTCCCTACACTCCAACCCTGGATGGGTCAGAAACTGGCAGTGAGCAGGGCTGGGAGGAGGAGAAGTGCAAGGTGCAGAAGCAGGAGAGGTAACCAGGCTCTCAACCCATCGAGGCTTCTGGGCGGAAGGAGCCCTGAGCCCGGACAGGGAGAAGATCTGTTGATGAGTCACATTTGGAGATTTGATGAATATCTTGGATGTGATGCTCTGATGACCAAATTAAATAGAGGCTCAGTGGCCTTTTGGCAGATTATTGCTAAAAGTGCACAAAAAGGCCAAGGCACCTGCCAGAATATTCACCCAGGGCAGGTGAGTTATGTTCTTCATGTTTCTTCTATTATTATTATTTTTTGAGATGGAGCCTCGCTCTGTCGCCCAGGCTGGAGTGCAGTGGCGTGATCTCAGCTCACTGCAGCCTCCACCTCCCGGGTTCAGTCAATTCTCCCACCTCAGTCTCTGGGGTAACTGGGATTACAGGCGTGCACCACCATGCCTGGCTAATTTTTGTATTTTTGGTAGAGATGGGGATGGGGTTTCACTATGTTGGCCAGGCTGGTCTCGAATTCCTGGCCTCAAGTGATCTGCCCGCCTTGGCCTCCCAAAGTGCTGGCATTACAGGTGTGAGCCACCGCACCCAGCCTGTTCTTTTTCTTTTCTTTCTTTCTTTTTTTTTTTTTTTTGAGACAGAGTCTTGCTGCTCTGTTGCCCTGGCTAGATTGCAGTGGCGCGATCTCGGCTCACTGCAACCTCTGCCTCCTGGGTTCAAGCATCTTGGGTTCAAGGGATTCTCCTGCCTCAGCCTCCTGAGTAGCTGGGATTACAGGCATGCACCACCACGCCTGGCTAATTTTTGTATTTTTAGTAGAGACAGGGTTTCACCATGTTGGTCAGGCTGGTCTTGAACTCCTGACCTCATGATCCGCCCGCCTCGGACTTCCAAAGTGCTGGGATTACAGGTGTGAGCCACTGCACCCGGTCTCTTTATGTTTCTTAATGGCACAGGGTGATGCAATAAGTTAACTATGCTTTCCTAAAAATGTATGGTATTTTCATCCTTGATTAAAACCTATTTGTCAGTACAGTGTCAAGACAGAATTCCTACTGTTTCTCTTCCATCTGTAGGATAATTTAAAAAAATAGAGATTATGGATTAAAAACACTCCATGAAACTCCAACCCAAAGTCATGCTTGCCCAGGTTTTGTTGATTCCCTCCCCTTACCCCCAACTCTAGACAAGGGCGACAGTGCGACACTCATCCATTTGTTTGACAAGCACTTCCTGGACTCCACGCTCTTAGGCATTGGGGATAACGTGGTCCCTGCCTTCCCAGAGCTTCTAGTCCAGGAGAAGGGACATACCAAATCAACACACAGAGATAAACTCATAAAGATGAGGAAAGGGAACAGGGCATGTTATGACAGAACTAGAGAAAGACCTGATTTGGACAGGGAGAATCTGGGAGGGCCTCTCTGAGCAAGTGATGATGAAGCTGGGATCTAAGGGCTGAGTGGAACCAGAGGAAGAGCTGGGGGAGAGTGCTGCAGCCAGGGGGTGCAGCACAGGTAGCAGCCGACTAGGGAAGGCCAGGGTGGGCATGGCCCGGAAGGCAAGGAGCAGGAGGCCATGAGGTCACCAGGGGCAAGGCCACACGGGGCCCTGGTGAGTTAGCACTTCCTATCCTTACCATGGGAGCAGGCAACCATTTAATGATCTGATCTGGTGGTGAAACCATTTCCTGTCTGCCCCCTCTGATCCATTCTGCCGTTCTCTGCCCTGCTCTGTGCTCAGGAAGGAAGATCTCTCTAGCTCTGTCACCTGGGTTCCTGTGCCCTGGGGCTTCCAGCTGAGTTTGGCCAATGAGAAGCACCAGCAGGGAATGGGAAGGTGGGAGGAGAGAGGCTGGAGTATTTATTTCTCTTCCCTTCCACTGTGAGGGGCTGTGATGAAACTGTCAGTGGCTGTCATCTTTGGTCCCTTACAGCTACTGCTCCTGTTGGGCCGCCCCTCTCCCAGGGCCACAGCTCTCATCAGCTTTCAGAAACATCTCCCGTCTCCCTCTGAGCCCATCAAGGCTTGGGGGTGGATAAAGGTTCCTGCTCTGGCTAGTCCCTGGATGCAGCATCTTCCCACATGGTTCCCGTAAGCTCCCCACACCTCTGTCAGTGGCATCAACTCCCTTTGGTTAAATCCTTGAGGGAGATCTGCTTCTCGCTGGGTTCCCAACAGAGGCAGGTGCTGGCAGAGGGACAACAGATTGGCAATCTGCGGAGACCACTGTGGCTGCCTCATGAAGAATGGACGGGAGGACAGGGCACATGCAGGAGACCAGTGTGGGAGCTACTGCGCGACCCCGGCCGATCAGGCCAGATCCCCCTCGCTCTCCATCTCTGGCGTTGACTGGCTAGTGATCCTTCATGCCCCAGGAGTGCCACGTGGCTGGATGCCGCCCTAGGCTTAGTGGATTCCCCAGCACAGTTGCTCAATGCTGACTAAAGTAATGGTTTAAACATGGACAGACGAAACAGGTTTCTACCAAGGTATGGTGGGCATAGTTTTAACAGAAAAAGGCATTTTCCAGAGCGGACATGCTTCAAAGAATGCCACACACACCAGGTAAATTTTCTTCTGTGGGAAATCTTGTGGACATGGCCTTACCCCAGGCAGGGGGATGGATGAGATGACCTCCCCTGTCCCTCTCTCTACTGAATGGGGCAGTCAGATTGTCAGATTGCACTTTACAGAGATGAAGAGCTTTGCAATTTTTTTTTTTTTTTTTTTTTGAGACAAGAGTTTCGCTCTTGTCGCCCAGGCTGGAGTGCAATGGCATGATCTCGGCTCACTGCAACCTCTACCTCCTGGGTTCAAGCGATTCTCCTGCCTCAGCCTCCTGAGTAGCTGGGATTACAGGCATGTGCCACCATGACTGGCTAATTTTATATATTTTTTAGTAGAGATGGGGCTTCTCCATGTTGGTCAGGCTGGTCTTGAACTCCCGATCTCAGGTGATCCACCTACCTTGGCCTCCCAAAGTGCTGGGATTACAGGCATGAGCCACAGCACCCAGCCGAGCTTTGTAACTTCTTTATTCAGCACTTAGCTGCTTATAGTGACAGATTTAGGCTTTTCCTATATTCCTGATTCATGATTTCACAAATCATAAAATTGCAAACGGCTGAAGGTTTTTGAGCCATCAGAACAGCTGGTCCCTTACTTCCCAGCAGGAGGGACTGGGTTTTGAGAGTCCACAGGCTGCAGGGATGATGCGGGTGGCCATTCGGAAATTGCACACTTGAAACAGAAAGGATGAAAACTCACGAAACAACCAGCAGACGAGGGGACCTGGTGGTCACCTGATCACCAGAGGGCAAGAAGCGTTGCTAGAACACTCAGAATTATTTATTCAACAATTATTTTTTCAGTGCCTGCAACATTTGGGCCAGGTGTCTTTCCAGCCAAGCAAAGATGGCTTTAGGGCCCACTATGTGCCAAGCTCTGTGCTGTGACAGATACAGGAAGCTAAACATGAAATGGGGTTACTGTCAAAGGAGGCAACAGCCACGTGATGTCTGTTTTTCCGTTTTTTTTGGTTTTTTTTTTTGAGAGAGTCTTGCTCTGTCACCCAGGCTGGAGTGCAATGGGGCTCACTCTAGCCTTGACTTCCTGGGCTCAAGCGATCCTCCCACCTCAGCTGGGATTATGGGTGCGTGCCAGCATGCCTGGCTAACTTGTAAATTGTTTTTTTAGAGATAGGGTCTCCCTATGTTGTCCAGGCTGATCTTGAACTCCCAGGCTCAAGTGATCCTCCTGCCTCAGCCTCCCAAAGTGCTGGGATTATAGGCGTGAGCCACTATGCCCAGCCCATCATATCATTTTTATGGTGTCATGTGTGCTATGACAGAAACATGTTGGGCAATGGCACATGGAGCAGGTAAGGAACCACTGGAGGGTGTCAGAGGCTCATCTGAGTTCAGTCTTTTTTTTTTTTTCTTTAATTGAGATGGAGTCTCGCTCTGTAGCCCAGGCTGGAGTGCAGTGGTGCAATCTTGGCTCACTGCAACCTCTGCCTCCTGGGTTCAAGCGATTCTCTTGCCTCAACCTCCAGAGGAACAGCTGTAATTACAGGCACCTGCCACCACACCTGGCTAACTTTTGTATTTTTAGTAGAGATGGGGTTTCACCATGTTGGCCAGGCTGGTCTCCAACTCCTGACCTCAGGTGATCTGCCTACCTCAGCCTCCCAAAGTGCTGGGATTACAAGCGTGAGCCACTGCACCTCGCCCTGAGTTCAGTCTTGAAGGACAATTAGAAATTCACTGAGTTGGGGGACAGGAGTTGGGGGTTTCAGGAGATGGTAAGCTGGAGAGCTGTGTCCGGGCTCCCTCCACAGGGTAGAGGCAGGGTCAGGTCTGTCCAGAGAGGAGCTGCCTGTGGGGAAAGAGGGATGGGAAGGGAGGGGGATGGCTGAGGAGCAGCTTTGGTTGTATCTCTAACATTTTCTTTCTTTAAAAATGAAGGAAAGAGGGAGAGCCGAAGCAAACAAAGCAAAATGTTAACATCTGTTAAAGCTGGCGGTGGGCACATGGGTCTCTGTTAAATGATTTTCTGCATTTTTCAGAATGGTTAAAATATTGCATAATAAAAATATTTTAAATTAAATTATAAAAAACAAGAAAGGTTTGTGTGTGAGAGAGAAGAAATCACTCTGGAGACCATGCAGAGGCGAGCCCGGAAGGGAGGGAGGTCAGCTGCAGGCTGATGTGATGACCCCAGTAGGAGAGGGGAGGTCAGAGTGGGGACGAAGAAGAGAAAGCAGCTCCCCCCACCAGCTCAACCCTCCACCTCTGATGCATCATAAGAAGGCTGCCTCCTTTTCCAGTGTGTGCATGTGTGTATGTGTGCGTGTGCATGTATGTGTGCATATGTGTGTGCATATGTGCATGTGCTTGTGTGTGCCTGTGTGAGTGCAGGTGTGTGCATGTGTTATGTGCATGTGTTTATGCGTGCCTGTGTGAGTGCATGTATGTGTGTGCATGTGCATGTGTGTGGATGCATGTGCCTGTGTGCAGGTGTGTACCTGTATGTGTGTGCATGTATGTGTGTGCATGTAGGTGTGTGCATGTGCGGACGCATGGTGTGTGCATACGTGTGTGTGCATGTGTGGACGCATGGTGTGTGCATACGTGTGTGTGCATGTGTGTGCCTGTGTGCAGGTGTGTGCCTGTGTGCATGTGTGTGCATGTACGTGTGTGCATGTATGTGTGTGCATGTGCATGTGTGCACGGATGCGTGCATGCATGTGTGTGTGTGCATGTGCCTGTGCACGTGTGCGTGTGCATGTGTGTAAATATCTCCCATCTCATCCAAGGGTCCTCAACCCCAAAAAGGGCCTGAGGTGCAGGCACTCTGTAGCTGCTGCTGCATGTTCCAGGAACCGATGGGCAGGGGGAGAGGTGGCCTCAGGTCCAGGGACATGCCTGTAAGGAGGCCCTGCCATGCAGTGTGCTGGCTCCCAGTAGCCAGCGGGCAACATGTGCAGCACAGAGGTGCTAGACAACCAGCGCTGCAGGCTGGGATGCCCCTCCCTTCCCTCACCCAGCCGAGGGAGGCAGCTGGTAGACCCGCGGTAATTTCGCGGTGACTACTGGTGCACATACACACGTCCTCTGCTCCAGCACCTCCATTTCTAGAATTTCTTTTACAGCTGTATGCTTGGACTCAGGCGCAATCAGACTATAAATAAGACTGTTCATTGCAGGCATCACAACCGTAATACCCATCAGTAGAGGACAGGAGATGACTCCACATCCATACAATGGAATATGAAGTATCAGAAAGAACAAAAAGCACTTCATGTACAGGTACGAAAAGATCTCAGCTGTGTGCGGTGGCTCACACTTACAATCCCAGCACTTTGGGAGGCTGAGGCTGGAAGATCACTTGAGGCCAAGAGTTCAAGACCAGCCTGGGTAAAACAGAGAGACCCCATCTCTACTAAAAAAAAATTTTTTTTTAATTAGCCAGGCATGGGGGTGTGCACCTGTAGTTCCAGCTACTCAGGAGGCTGAGGCAGGAGGATCGTTTGAGCCCGGGGGGGTCAAGGCTGCAGTGAGCTATGACTGCACCACTGCATTCCAGCCTGGGTGACAGAGTGAGACCCTGTCTTAAAAAAAAAAAAAAAAACCCAAAACAACAAAAACCTCCTCAATTCTACCTCCAAAGTGGGGCCTACCTCCACAGGTAGGCCCTGCTTCCCTCCGACTTTCCTCTGGGCCATCACTCGTGCCTCTTGGTCCTTGAAGCCCAGTGCCCAGGCCTGGCTGGTGATTTTGGCTCTAGGACAGGCACACGACTCCAACTGGGCCAGTGAGCCCCAATTCTGGGGCTTCTGATGCAACTCTTGGGAAAGAAAAGCTCTCATTTTGGGGGATTTGCAGCTGGTAGGATGTTCACCTCAGACCTGCTGGAAAGGTGACCCCCAGGAGGGCGGTGGCAGATCCAGCCAGGCCTAAAGGTGCCACTTTTGAGAGCCTATATACACAACTGTCTTTTTGTCTTAAGCCACATTGACATGGGTTTTCTGTCACTTGAAACAAAAGATTACAAGCAAATACAAATCCCTGATGGTTTCCTTAGCAAAAGTGGGGAGCCATGCCCCTTTCTGGCTAAAAACCACTCTCTGAGATGGTGTGGGGAGTATACGCCGAGCTCTTCTCCTGAAGCACAACGTGAGGTGTGGGGGGGCCCTGTACTGGGACCCACTTGGGCCAGCTGCCTGCCCCTCTCTCCATACGCTGCTGGGGGCCGGGTGTGGGGGGCATACCTGTAACAGACGTTATCAGTGCAGGGGTTGTGGACTCGGACAATGATGAAGACGTGCTGGAAGTGGGAGCGGATGTTCTTGGGGGTGAACGGTAGCGCGCCAGGCTCCTGGAAGATGATCGTCACGATGTCATTTCCTATGTGCCTCTTCCGTAGCAGCTGGGAAAGGGCAACAGAGGGGGACAGGAACCTGTCACAGGTCGGCCTGACGGGTCCTGCCTGGACCACTGCCACAGCTCCCCCCACCCACCCCCATTCCCACTCCCTGCTCACACACAGCCCAAGGAATGCCCGAGTCAGGTGACAAACCTTCCTGTGGTTCCCTCTCATTCAGGATAAAGGACAAAGGCCTCACCATGGCCAGAAACACTTCCTCGAAGCCTCTGCACCGCTGTTCCCTCTGCTAGGAACATTCTTCCTGAGTCCCCACATGGCTTCCTTCGTCACCTCTTCTGGTCTTGCATAAACCTCACCCTCCCAGGGAGGCCTTTGCTGACTACGTTATTCAGATCCACCCCACCACAACACTCCCTGATCTTTGCTTTTCTGTCCCCATTACTTAACACTTATTGACACTCAGCAGAGATGGCTTTCCCCACTTCATTTTGTTTCTTGTCTCTTCCCATTGAAGTGGCAGCTCCATGAGAACAGGGATTTTGTTCACGGCCAACTGCTGTATCCTCAGTACCCAGCACAGTGCCTGGCATACAGGAGGTACTCAATAAGTAAGATCCAGAGAGCACAGGCTGGTGGTCTTCAACTTGCTCAAAGCCACACCCATGGACAATGGCAGAGTCAGATCCCAGGTCACTGGCAGGGCCAGTTATAGGCGCCACCCCTTCCCTGGACCCTGACTGAGGTCAGGATGGCTGTGGCTTCCGAGTGCCCTATGGGACTCTCACCCTCTGATATGGTTTGGCTGTGTCCACACCCTACAATTCATCTTGAATTGCAGCTCCCATAATTCCCACATGTCGTGGGAAGGACCTGGTGGGAGGTAACTGAATCATAGGGGTGGGTCTTTTCCATGCTGTTCTCGTGATAGTAAATAAGTTTCACGAGATCTGATGGTTTTATAAAAGTGTGGTTCCCCTGCACAAGCTCTCTTGCCTGCCACCATGGAAGATGTGATTTTGGTTCTTCTTTGCCTTCTGCCATGACTGTGAGGCCTCCCCAGCCATGTGGAGCTGTGAGTCCATTTAACCTCTTTTTCTTTATAAACTACCCAGTCTTGGGTAAATCTTCATTAGCAGTGTGAAAATGGACTAATACACCTCTCCCCTGCTGGTCAGTCTCCGAGGAAGACTCTGTTATCTTCACAGGTGACGCCGTATTCACAGTGTTTGGCTTATTTGCTGAGATTATATTGTTCTTTTTCTTTTTTCTTTTTTTTTTGGAGACTGAGTTTCACTCTTGTTGCCCAGGCTGGAGTGCAATGGTGCGATCTCGGCTCACTGCAACCTGCACCTCCTGGGTTCAAGTGATTCTCCTGCCTCAGCCTCCTGAGTAGCTGGGATTACAGGCATGCGCCACCACGCCCAGTTAATTTTGTATTTTTAGTAGAGACAGGGTTTCTCCATGTTGGTCAGGATGGCCTCGAACTCCTGACCTCAGGTGATCTCTCCGCCTCAGCCTCCCAAAGTGCTGGGATTACAGGTGTGAGCCACCAAGCCCAGCCTATTATATTGTTCTTATTTACACAGTTCTAGCATTCATGTAGCTGTTAAAGAATCTGCCAATGCAGGAGATCCATGGACGGGAGTCCCACGGAGCTCTAAGTGACATGGCTCACAGTGTGAACTCCAGACACGCTTTGCAGCTCAACTCCTACTGTTGAATGGTTAGTTCTTTATGTGAGTTTTAAGTGGCATTAAATCAAATCGCTAAAGCAGCTATTGACTGTGGCTGGTCCTGTACTAAACACTGCACAGCCTTATCTTCAATTCATCATCTCAATGAATCTCTTAACAACCCCGAGAGGCGTTAACTCATTTTGCCCCATTTTACAGATGAGAAAACTTAGGCTCACAGAGGTTAAGTAATTTTACCTAAGTCACATAGTGATGGAGGGAAAGAGCCTGGATTCTAACCCACTTCTTAACTCTACGACTCAAGCTTTTCCCCAGCGCCCCTCCCACATACTCAGGAAAAGGCACTGCTCTCTGCGCCCCTCCTGTGTGTCGGGCCCTGTCACGCTCCGGTTGCCGCAGGAGTATATGGACCTTTCTCAATGACCCTGATTCAGGGGCACTACGATTATACCCATTTTACACAGCAGGGACTCAAGGCCCAGAGAGGTGAGATCACTTACCTGAGATCACACAGCTAGGAAGTAGCCAAGAAAGAACTCAAATTCAGGTCTAATTCTGAGATCAAAGCGCTTTTTTTTTTTGCTTTTTTTTCTCTTTTGAGACAGAGTCTTGCTCTGTTGCCCAGGCTGGAGTGCAATGGCATGATCTCAGCTCACTGCAACCACTGCCTCTTGGGTTCAAGCAATTCTCATGCCTCAGCTTCCTGAGTAGCTGGGACTATAGGCACACGCCACCATGCCTAGCTAATTTTTGTATTTTTAGTAAAGATGGGGTTTCACCATATTGGCCTGGCTGGTCTCAAACTCCCGACCTCAGGTGATCCGCCTGCCTCAGCCTCCCAAAGTGCTGGGATCACAGGCATGAGCCACCAAGCCTGGCCTAAGACCAAAGCTCTTAATAGCATGTTTTTAGATGAACCTTAGGAAATCAATATTTGAGCATTTTTGGCCTACAAAGTCACTTGTGCCAACTGGGAAAATACGTACACTTACTTCCTAAACTGTCAGCACTCTGGGGCTTCTGTTCATTAGGAACTGGAAGAATTGCTCTGTGGGCCCAGCCTGCAAGGTGGGTCCAAGAGAGGAGCCGGGTCACAGCTGCAGCCTCTTGGCAATGAGTGTTTGGTGGCGCTGCCCACCTGGTATCCCTGCCTCCTGCTGGCAGCCACACCCACCCAGTTCAGGAAAGCACCTCCCCAACCTCCATCCGTTTCAAGTTGAGCTGGCACCACTCACCCTCTCTAGGGTTGGGCATGAGCCTCGGGCTTGGCCAGTCTGCCCTTTCCACCCCTACCCCAGGCCCCAAGACTGGCATGTGAATAGTCCAATGAGACTCAGCTCTGAAACACTTCTGGGACAACTGGAAAAAACAGCACTCTTTCTGCTGAGGTGGCTAAGCTGGTGGATGTGAGCCTAGGGCTGCTAGGAGGTATCTTTGCTTTGCACCTGTGAATAAAGCTGCTGTAAAGAAAAGTGGAGGTGAGAAATGGGGAAGGATTCCTAATATTGTTGGAGTCCCTGGATCCAACCAGACCTGAGGCCAGCCCTCTCTACAATCTTAGAGTTATATAACCCATAAATCTCTTTTTCTAGTTAAGCCAGTTTGGTGTGAGTTTCTGTTACTTGCAGTCAAAATAATGTTGACTGATTCACTCTTCTTCTTAAGACCAGTGATGACTCAAGAGGCCCTGGAGGGGCGTCGGGCTAGCTGGGGCTGGGCAGGGCGCCCAAGAAGCAGCAGGAAAGACTGGGGCCAAAGTGACATCTCGAACCACACCTGGGCTGCTCTCTAACCCCCAGGGAAAGTGACCATAGTAAAGATGGCCTCCAAGGTCAAGGGCCTCCATATGATCCACAGGACAGAACTGGGAGGGCCAATGCTGGTGGGTGGGCAGCCAACATCCGGCAGCCGTGCCTCTGCTGAAAATCACTGACCTGCTGCCTGTTGTTGGGGGTGTAAGGGAGCAGGGTGGAGACATGGAACATGATCTCGTAGTCCTGGTACATCGTGTAGAGGGAGTGGGTTCCCGTGGAGTCGGCTGAAACAGAAATGCCAGTTAGGACCATGTTTCCAAAACCTCTGGGTTTTTGCCATATCCCACGTACCATCTGTGCTGGTTTTTAACTTGGTGCTTTCACTTCAATCTACTCTTAAAAATTAAATACACTGGCCAGGCCTGGTGGTTCACACCTATAATCCCAGCACTTTGGGAGGCTGAGGCAGGTGGATCATCTGAGGTCAGGAGTTCGAGACCAGCCTGGCCAACATGGTGAAACCCCGTCTCTACTAAAAGCACAAAAATTAGCCAGGCCTGGTGGCGGGTGCCTGTAGTCCCAGCTACTCGGGAGGCTGAGGCAGGAGAATCGCTTGAACCCGGGAGGCGGAGGTTGCAGCGAGCCGAGATCACGCCACTGCACTCCAGCCTGGGAGACAGGGTTAGACTCTGTCTCAAAAAAAAAAAAAAAATTAAATACATTTAGATAAAAAGGAAACCCCATTGCTATGTACCCACCAGACTGGTAAAAATTAAAAAGTCTGACAGCACCAATGGTTGGCGAGGATGTGGAGCAAATGGAACCCTTGAGGTGGCTGGTTAGGTGTGTAACTTGGTACAAGCACTTTGGAAAACTTTTTAGCAATCTCTCTTATACCTGAAGATAGGCTTAATTGATAACCTGGCACTTCCTTTCCTTGGACCACAGCCCAGAGAAATCATGCACACGTGTCCTGGGATATGGGTACAAGAATCTTCAAGCGTCAGTCAAAAGAATGGGTGAACACACTGGTCAATTCACACTGTGGAAAAATATACAGCCAGGAAAAGGAATGAGTCGCGGCTGCAGCATGGGGAAATCCTCTAAATGTTGAGTGAAAGATGCTGACACAAAGCAGCACACACAGTGTGATCCCATTCATGTGACATGCAAAAGCAGGTCAGATTATACCAGTCAGGGATGTGTAGGTAAGTAGCAAAACTATGAAGAAAAGCAAAGAAATGGTTATCATTGAGCATCAGGATATGAGTTCTCTCTAATAGGAGGGAGGGTTATGGCTAGGAAGAGGCAAACCTGCTTACTGAGCCCATGTTTCAGAGTGGGAAACTGAGGCATGGAGAGGGAGTGCCTTCCCAAGGTCACACTGTACTGAGTGGTAGCGTCTGGACCAGTACTCAGGCTGTTGGATTCCAGATCTGTTCTTTTTTTTTTTTTTGAGACAGAGTTTCACTCTGTCACCTAGGCTGGAGAGCAATGGCGCAATGTGGGCTCTCTGCAACCTCTGCCTCCTGGGTTCAAGCAATTCTCCTGCTTCAGCCTCCTGAGTAGCTGGGATTACAGGTGCCTGCCACCATGCCTGGATAATTTTAGTAATTTTAGTATTTTTAGTAGAGATGGGGTTTCACCACATTGCCCAGGCTGGTTGAACCCCTGACCTCAGGTGATCCACCTGCCTCAGCCTCCCAAAGTGCTGGGATTACAGGCGTGAGCCACTGTGCCTGGCCTCCAGATCTGTTCTTAATAATATTCAATGCTGCCTCAGTGTCTGGCGGGGACACTGAGGCCACAGCTGCCAGTGCCAGAGCCAGGTTGGGAGCCGGGTAACACCCAGGTATCTGCTCAAGCCAGGGCCATTCTTGCCTGTAATTTGGGGAAACTCATTCCAGGAGCACTATGCTTCCTGGGGTCCTCTAAGAGAACCCACTTCCTGGCCAGGCGCGGTGGCTCACACCTGTAATCCTAGCACTTTGGGAGGCCGAGGTGGGTGGATCACCTGAGGTCAGGAGTTCAAGACCAGCTTGGCCAACACGGTGAAACCCCATCTCTACTAAAAGTACACAATTAGTTGGGTCTGGTGGCACGTGCTTGTAATCCTAGCTATTCAGGAGGCTGAGGTGGGAGAGTCCCTTGAAACCAGGAGGTGAAGGTTGCAGTGAGCCAAGATCGTTCTAATGCACTCCAGCCTGGGTGACAGAGCGAGACTGTCTCAAAAAAACAAAAAAACAAAAAAACCAATACTAACACTCACACCTGCCAGCTTCCTCCACGCCAGGTGAGCCCAGGGAGGCCTGCTGCCTCCCCGCCCACCTAGGGGGACACCCACGCTGGCGGAGCTCTGGGAAGCACTCGGCACAGAGGGAGGGCTCAGGATGTTTGGGGCAAAGCTGACCCACGGAACCCTCACCATGCTTCCAAGATAAGCGCAATTATTACCTTCACTCTACAGATGAGGAAACTGAGGTCGAGAGAGGCAAAGCCACCTGTCCAAGATCACGAAACTAGCAAATGGCATAATAACATGCTCGTTCCTCCTACAGCCTCCTTCAGCGGAGGAGCAGGGGAAGGTGATGATGGCCCCAGACACCTGCCTAACACCTCACTTCTCTCTCTAAGATTTGTCTCCTGATCTGGGCTTCTGTTTTGTTTTCTAGAAGAGCAAACCGAGTCTTGGCGAGGTGTGGGGAAGAGCAATGTCTGACTGAGCCATCTTGGGGCCTTCTCACTCCCAGCTGACGAAAACCCACTCCCAAGGACAGTGGTAGTCCATTCCCCAGGGAGCTGTGACACCTGTGAACATTACCCATCCACCCACCCAGCTACTTCTCATGAAACATTTCAATCCTATATATCATATACATATATATATTTTTTTCTTTCCTTTTTTTTTTTTTTTTTTTTGATATGGAGTCTCGCTGTATCGCCCAGGCTGGAGTGCGGTGGTGCGATCTCGGCTCATTGCAAGCTCCACCTTGCGGGTTCACGCCATTCTCCTGCCTCAGCCTCCAGAGTAGCTGGGACTACAGGCGCTCGCCTGTATTTTAGTAGAGACGGTGTTTCACCCTGTTAGCCAGGATGGTCTCGATCTCCTGACCTCATGATCCGCCCACCTTGGCCTCCCAAGTGCTAAGATTACAGGCGTGAACCACCGCGCCCGGCCCCTTTTTTTTTTTTGAGATGAAGTTTTGCTCTTGTTGCCCAGGCTCGAGTACAGTGGTGTGATCTCAGCTCACTGCAACCTCTGCCTCCCAGGCTCAAGCAATTCTCCTGCCTCAGCTTCCCAAGTAGCTGAGATTACAGGCATGTGCCACCACACCTGGTTACATTTTTGTATTTTTAGTAGAGACGGGGTTTCACTACGTTGGCCAGGCTGGTCTCGAACTCCTGCCCTCAGGTGATCCACCTGCCTCAGCCTCCCAAAGTGTTGAGATTACAGGCGTGGGCCATTGCGCCCAGCCCCATATATCATATATATTTATGTACACATACACATGATAAGCACAGAGACTGCTGCAACAAATACGTCCTATGTGATACCACCTTAAGAAAAAGACCACTACCCACACTCTAACGTGAGCACCGTTTCCTAGACACACCCACCTCTCCCCAGACAGCCAACCACTATCCTGCATATTGTCTCCAGTATTCCCTTGTTTTTTTTTTTTTTCTACTGATTGATTGAGACGGAGTCTTGCTCTGTTGCCCAGGCTGGAGTGCAATGGTGCGGTCTTGGCTCACTGCAACCTCTGCCTCCCGGGTTCAAGCGATTCGCCTCAGCCTCCCAAGTAGCTGGGATTATAGGCGTGAACCACCACGCCCAGCTAATTTTTTTGTATTTTTAGTAGAGATGGGGTTTCACCATTTTGGCCAGGCTGGTCTCGAACTCCTGACCTCAGGTGATCCACCCGCCTCGGCCTCACAAAGTGCTGGGATTACAGGCATGAGCCACCATGCCCGGCCTATTTATTCTTGAGATGGGGCCTTGCTTTGTCATCCGGGCTGGAGTGTAGTGGCATGATCATAGCTCACTGCAGTCTCAAACTCCCAGGCTCAAGCAATCCACCCGCCTCAGCCTCCCAAAGTGCTGGGATCACAGGCATGAGCCACCACGCTTGGCTCTGTTTTTCTTTAGAGTTCCACTGTGTAAGAGCATATCCACCAACAATATATTGCTGGGTTTTTGTTTTTGCTTTTTTTTTTTTTTTTTTTTCAGAGACAGGGTCTTGCTTTTTTGCCCAAGCTGGTCTTGAACACCTGGCCTAAAGCAATCCTCCTTCCTTGGCCTCCCAAAATGTTGGGATTACAGGTGTGAGTCATCCTGCTGGACCTTTTTGCCAGGTGTAGTGGCTCATGTGTGTAGTTCCAGCACTTTGGGAGGCCAAGGATCCCTGGAGGCCTTGTGTTTGAGACCAGTCTGGGTAACATAGCAAGACCTTGTCTCTATAAAAAATAATAATTGGCCAGGTGTGGTGGCTCACGCCTGTAATCTCAGCACTTTGGGAGGCCGAGGTGGGCAGATCACGAGGTCAGCAGTTCAAGACCAACCTGGCCAATATAGTAAATCCCCATCTCTACTAAAAATACAAAAACTAGCAGGGAGTGATGGCTCATGCCTGTAATCCCAGTTACTTGGGACGCTGAGGCAGGAGAACTCCTTGAACCTAGGAGGCGGAGGTTGCAGTGAGCTGAGATTGCGCCACTGCACTCCAGCCTAGGCAATAGAGGCAGACTGTTTCAAAAAAAAAAAAAAAAAGAAAAGAAAAGAAAAGAAAAAAATTGTTATGTAAAAGACATCATTCAGGTCCCACTCTTCTGAGGCTTGCTGTCTTTGCGCAGCACGAAGCATGTGGCTCTCTTCCACGCTGATGCCTGTGGTGCCAGTTCATCTCCTCTGGGTGAACACGGCGCAACTCTGCCAGTGTGCACTGGGTGCACCGAGGTGCCGGTGGTTAGGGATATTCAGTCCTCTCCTGCCATGCACGTGCACATTAGACAGAGTGCATACCTAGGAGTGCAGGAGCTGAGTCACAGAGCAGCGTCTCTTCAAACTGGACTTGAATGTGCTGTACTGTTTTCCAAAGTGGCTGCACATGGCCAGGCGTGGTGGCTCATGCCTGTAATCCCAACACTTTGAGAGGCTGAGGTGGGTGGATCACTTGAGGTCAGGAGTTCGAGACCAGTCTGGCCAACACGGTGAAAGCCTGTCTCTACTAAAAATACAAAAATTAGCCAAGTGTGGTGGTGCACACCTGTAGTCACAGCTAGTTGGGAGGCTGAGGCAGGAGAATCTTGCTTGAACCTGGGAGGTAGAGGTTGCAGTGAGATGGGATCATGCCACTGCACTCCAGCCTGGGCCACAGAGTGAGACTCTGTCTCAAAAACAACAACAACAACAACAACAAGTACAACAACACGAAAAAATAAAGTGGCTGCACTTATTTGTGCTCCTACAAGTGAAGTCTGAGAGCTCCCACTGCTCCACGTCCCCACCGTGGCATCCCCAGGCCTTTTAAGCTTTGCCTGTTGAGTAGGAGTGCAGTGGTGGCTCACTGTGATCTAACCGGCCCCCTACTTACTCTTGACGTCCAGCTGGGCAGCGTACTTGGTGAAGCCCTTCAGGCAGACCTTCTCGCCGATGAGGGAGAGGAACTCCTCAAAGGCGGGGCCGGCCTCCTCATTGTTGTACATCTCCTCCTCGGAGCTCTGGCCGGCCTTGCAATAGAGGATGCCCACCTTGTGCTTCCGGCAGAGCTGCAGAGGCAAGAGTGGCTTTGTGGAGGCAGGCCAGGCAGAGATGGCAGAGGGAAGGGAGCAAGGGGTATGTCTGAGGCCTGAGGCCCTGGGAGCTGCTGGGACCACTCGGGAACCCAGAGCCATAGCCAGACAGGGGAAAACAGTGTTGGGGCATGGCAGCATGTCCCAGTTGTCCCTCCCCCTCCCTTCCACTCCAGAGAAGCACAACGAGGTATCCAGGCCGCCTCTTCTCGCTATGGCGGGTGGAGGACGGCTGGTGATGCCACACTTGCATGAAAGAGACTGTTGCCTTGGCCGGCATCCCACAGTAGGTGGACTGGGATGGGCTGAGATTCTGCAAAAGCAAAATCTGGAGGGCTCAAGGCTTATAGTCAATACCTTTTTTAGGGAGTGGGCTCCCAATAACTATGTTTGCTTTAGGTATCCCGGATCCCCCTGGTCACTGGTGACTGGGCCATGGACAGCCACCTGACCTACGCCATAGCCCAATCGATGGCTCTCCTGTGACCAGGGTCAGCCTGCTGGGGTCTGCATGTGGCTGTAATTCTAACAGACTGGGAGCTGTGGGAGAGGCAAGAGAAGCAGAGGGAGCCAGCATGTGGAGCGGGGAGGAAAGACACACTAACCCCCCACTATAGACACATATATGCATGCACACATGGGGACCTAGCAGCTATCTCACCCCCAGACAATCTCCCTCCTTTAGGAGACCCAGTTACATTCTTGCTCTTGGCACCACTAGAATTTGATTTGAATCCCTCCTTTTGCTGAAACCAGCTTAAGTAGGTTTCTGTTACTTGCAAAGAAAAAAGAAAGTGACCAAGATAGAAAAAGCTACCAGGAGTGGGGTTGCAAGGTACTGCCCCAGCAGCACCCCCACCTCCAGCCCCTGACTCACCCCTTGCTCATCGAGCTTCAGCAGTTGCTCCGTCACCTTGGGGGTGTTGAGGGCCAGCCGCAGGCAGTGGATGTTGAGCTCGGGGATGACATACTCCAGGGCATCCTTCAAGGGCAGGCCCCGCCCGGTCCCATGCTTGGTGGCTGTGGGCGTAGCATCTTCCAGGATGGAGCCCCGCAGGGTGATGAGCTACTCAAGGGAGAGAAGGGAAGGTTAGGGGGCTCTCGAGACCTAAAAAGGGATAAGAGCATAGCAGAGGTATCTTGTTTTGAAAGAGACATGTGTGATGATTGGAAGTTTGTGCTCTAAGGTCAGAAAGCCCTAAGTCTGAGCCAGAACTTGAACCTGCTGCCTCCTGGCTGTGCGGTCTTGACCAAGTGACTTCATATCTCTGAGCCTCAGCTTGCTCTTTTGTGAAATGGGTACAGGATGGTATCGTAACCTTGAAGGGGTGTTGGGAGGATTAAATGAGACAATAATGTAAACTACCTTCATTTGTTCAACATATACTGGCTGAGTGCCTCCTGTGAGGCACTGAGTCCTACTCTAGGTGCAATGAACAAAGACCCTTGTCCTTGTGGAGCTGACACTGGAATGGGGGAGATGAATTATGTAAGGCAGTAGGGAGTATAATGAAGAAAACAGGTCCTACCAGGAGGTGGGCTCTTGTCATTATTACAGTAACACTGTATTATGTACACATTACTGTAAATGCTCAAGTAAAACACCCACCTGCCTTGAATACTGGCATCATCTTGGATCTTGAACTGTGGCACTGGTTTCAGACCAGTTTCATTTAAAAAAAAAAAAAAAGGCCAGGCGTGGGTGGCTCACACCTGTAACCCCAGCACTTTGGGGAGGCCAAGGTGGGCGGATCACTTGAGGTCAGGAGTTCAAGACCACCCTGGCCAACATGGTGAAACCCCATCTCTACTAAAAATATAAAAATTAGCCAGGCATGGTGGCATGCACCTGTAATCCCAGCTACTTGGGAGGCTGAGGCAGAAGAATCACTTGAACCCAGGAGGCGGAGGTTGCAGTGAGCCAAGATCGCGCCACTGCACTCCAGTCTGGGCAACAGAGCAACACTCAGTCTGAGAAAAGAAAAGAAAAGAAGAAGAGAAGAGAAGAAAAGAAAGGAGGGAGGGTAGGAAAGAGAGAAGAGAAGAGAAGGGAAAAGAAAAGAAAAGGACAAGACAAGACAAGACACCACCAGTGATTCTAATTTGGTTGGTCTGGGATGGGGCCAGACATGCATGTTTGCATACATGGCATATTTTTAATCCTTCTCAGGTGCTTCTGATGTGCAGTCAGGGATGAAAACCTTTAGTCAAAGCCAATCACAGCCATCTCATTCCCATTCCCCAGATGTTGCTTCCCAAGTTTTTCCTATAGGCAACCATGTGATCAATTCCAGGCAATGAGATATGAGGAGAATTGTGCTTGGTGAGGACTTCTGGGGCAGATTTCCCTCTAATAAAAGGAAAGCCCCCTTTGGGAGGCCGAGGCGGGCGGACCACTTGAGGTCAGGAGTTTGAGACCAGCCTGGCCAACATGGCAAAACCCTGTCTCCATTAAAAATACAAAAATTAGCTGGGCCTGGTGGTGCATGCCTGTAATCTCAGCTACTCAGGAGGCTGTGGCAGGAGAATTGCTTGAACCTGGGAGGCGGAGGTTGCAGTGAGCCAAGATTGTGCCATTGCACTCCAGCCCGGGTGACAGAGCGAGACTGTCTCAAAAAAAAAAAAAAAAAAAAAATGAAAGCCCCTTTCCACCTGCCCACTTCTTTGTGTGATGGGCAGTGGTATGAGAATGAAATGTTTGGAGCTGTGGCAGCCAGATTGCAATCATGAGGAAAGAGACAACAAAAAGTCACAGAAGTTAATCCTTGCAGCTGCCTACGTCCAGACTTATTAGATGATTAAAGTAACCTCCCTTTGTTTTAGCTACTGGTAGTCAGGTTTTCTATCGCTTTGCAGCCAAATAAATGTCTAACTTATATACCTTAATAACAAGTCACATTTATGAAGGTGCAGTTCACTGCACTGTGCTCCAGGTACTATAGTAATAACTGTATGTATAGGTCTATTCAAGGGAGGTTTTATCTCTGATTTACAGAGAAGCAAATTGAAGTTCCAAGAGGTTACGTGCCTTATCCAAGGTCACCACAGCTGACAAAATGGCAACCAAGATTCCAACCCAGTCCTGACTTCTCCGAAGCTCGTGGTTTGTTTTGAGATATATATATTTGGTATGTGTATGGTGAGGTATATCCAAATATATAAAGTATACAGGCCAGACACAGTGGCTCACACCTGTAATCCCAGCACTTTGAGAGGCCGAGGTGGGCAGATCACCTGAGGTCAGGAGTTTGAGACCAGCTTGACCAACATGGGTGAAACCCTGTCTCTACTAAAAATACAAAAATTAGCCGGGCGTGGTGGCGCATGCCTGTAATCCCAGCTACTTGGGAGGCTGAGGCAGAAGAATCGCTTGAACCCAGGAGGAGGAGGTTGCAATGAGCTGAGATCGTGCCATTGCACTCCAGCCTGGGCAACAAGAGTGAAACTCCGTCTAAAAAAAAAGTACATAACACATAGATGTGAGGCCAAAGAAAGTATCAGAAAGCAAATACCTGGGTAATCACTATCCAAATCAAGAAATGTATTTCCAGCACCCACAGCCCATTTGTACCCCTTTTTCCTCAAAATTAACTCTATCCTGACTTTCAACACCATCATTTATATCTGTCTATTTTTGAACTTCAGGCAGTTTGTATTTTTTTATTCTTTTTTTCTTTTGAAGACAGGGTCTAACTCTGTTGCCCAGGCTGGAATG
This sequence comes from Homo sapiens, assembly GCF_000001405.40. NCBI lineage: Eukaryota > Metazoa > Chordata > Mammalia > Primates > Hominidae > Homo > Homo sapiens. The sequence goes on along the minus strand of NC_000019.10, from coordinate 38,097,312 downwards.
GAGTGGCACAATCATGGTTCACTGCAGCCTCGACCTCCTGGGCGCAAGAGATCCCCTGCCTCAGCCTCCTGAGCAGCTGGGACTATAGGCATGTGCCACCATGCCTGGCTAATTTTGTATATTTTTTGTAGAGACAGAGTCCCACTATGTTGCCCAGGCTGGTCTGCAACTCCTAGGCTCAAGTGATCCTCCTGCCTCGGCCTCCTGAAGTGCCAGGATTACAGGTGTGAGCCACTGCGCCCAGCCAGGCAGTTTGTATTCTTTTGTTATCTAGCTTCTTTCTCTGAATGCTACATATATGAGCTGCAGCTATGCTGTTGCGAGAGGCTGACGTTTTACTCCTTTTCACTGTTGATGAGCACCAGAACTGCTTCCAGTATTTGCCAACTGTGAATAGTGCTGTTATGAACCCTCACAGAAGCACCTCAGTGCACACGAACACCTTTTCTTTTGGGTTTATGCCTAGGATAGAAATTGCTAAATCACCAGGCATGCTAATCTTCAATTTTACTGAACTGCCAAACAGTTTTCCAAGTGGTTGTACCAATTTACACCCCACCAGCCCTGTCTGAGAGCCCCTGCTGCTCCACATCCTCACTAATACCAGCTCATGCTTGTAGCCACAGCATGCTGCTGGCCACCAGGTTATGCCATGCACTGGACCAGCACCACACCAAGAACGCACAAAGAAAAATCCCTCTCCAGGGGGCTTGTTACAAGCACCCAAAGTACACTTGGGGCTGTGGTTTAAAGACTAAGGAGGAGGCCAGGTGCGGTGGCTCACACCTCTAATCCCAGCACTTTGAGAGGTCGAGGTGGGCGGATCACTTTAGGTCAGGAGTTCGAGACCAGCCTGGCCAACGTGGTGAAACCCTGTCTCTACTAAAATAGAAAAATTAGCCAGGCATGATGGCTCATGCCTCTAATCCCAGTTACTCAGGAGGCTGAGGCAGGAGAATCACTTGAACCCAGGAGGCGGAGGTTGCAGTGAGCCAAGATTGTGCCACTGCACTCCAGCCTAGGCGACAGAGTGAGACTCCATCTCAACAACAACAACAAAAAGACTAAGGAGGATAAGTATTAACTGCAAAAACATGCTTGCCTAAGTCGACAAACACAGGAGGTGGCAAAAATAACATGTCATGACTTCGCCTCTAAGCACACAACCCACCCTCACCAAAGAGCACCTGGGCGAGAGGCATGTGTGGAAGGAATAGAATGATCCCACTTCTGGCCCCGGTAATTAACAAACAAACAAATCTCTCTTATCACAAGCACGGTAGTGTCAAAACCAATCATGAAAAGCAATGATGTTGGGGGCTTTGCCCTGTCAATCTGGGTGGCCCTGGGGTTGTGGGTTTCAGTTAAGACCAACAGGATCAGTGTCTTTATATCCTACTGACACTGTCCCACAGTGCCCTCTGCTGGGAACGAGGGACAGCACGGACCAGAAATCTTCCTTCTTCCTCCCTGGAGACGGGTGACTTACAGTCACATTTTGGCTCTGACCACCTCATCGGCGCGCACTACTTGAAAAACTCCTTCAGCACTGGCGACAGTAAGTGGGACACTGGCAGGTCATGAGTGGCCACCTCACTCTCCACCTGGTCACCCCCACCATCACCTCCCACCTGGACAGCAGCCTCCTCCAGGTCTCCCTGCCCCTGCCCTGTCCCCAGTCCATTCTTTCTACAGCTGCCTGAGTCAGATCACAGCCTTCCTCTGCTCAGAGCCTGAAAACATCTGGCATCAGCTAGTCGAGGGCAACAAATCAAGTGAGCTGTGAAAGGCACACAGTACCATGCAAACAAGGAGGTTCCAGCTGGTACAGGTTATCCCCACTCACTCCTGACTCAGACGTACTCCCCGCTTGACTCTGTGCTGGGCGGCAGGTGTACCCTTCAAGAACATTTCCTAGGAGGTTACTTAGGAGGTGGTCTGCCTGGGTTTGAATTCTAGCTCTAGCTCCTCCCTAGCTGTGTGACTCTGGGCAAGTCGCTTAATTTCCCTATTTCCTCATTGATAAAATGGGGATAAAAATGCCTGCCTCAAGGCAATGAAAGGATTCAAAAAGATCCGTGCATAATGCTTAGTGCTGTATCTTGGGTACAGAGTGAGAGCTCAATGTGTGTTAACCATTATTATCTGTAGATGTGTGTTAAATGTTTATGTACAAAGCCACATGCATAGTTAATAGTTTTAAAAATATTATTTCTTTTTTATTTATTTTGTTTTTGGAGACAGAGTTTCGCTCTTGTCGCCCAGGCTGGAATGCAATGGTGTGATTTTGGCTCACTGCAACCTCTGCCTCCTGGGTTCAAGTGATTCTCCTGCCTCAGCCTCCTGGGATTACAGGTAGCTGGGATTACAGGTGTGTGCCACCATGCCCAGCTAATTTTTGTATTTTTAGTAGAGATGGAGTTTTGCCATGTTGACCAGGCTGGTCTCGAACCCCTGACCTCAGGTGATCCACCTGCGTAGGCCTCCAAAAGTGCTGGGATTACAGGCGTGAGCTACCACGCCTGGCAATTAATTTATTTTTAATAGAGATGGGGTCTCGCTACGTTGTCCAGGTTGGTCTCAAATTCCTGGGCTCAAGCAATCTTCCCGCCTCAGCTTCCCAAAGTGCTGGGATTACAGGTGTGAGCCACTGCACCTAGCTGAGTTTTAAATTTTTTAACCTTAAGCAGGAAGCTACATTTTTTTGCTTTTCCCCCTACTTAACAATATGCTTTGGAGATTGTTCATTTAAACATACACACAGCCAGGTGCAGTGGCTCATGCCTGTAATCTCGGCATTTTGGGAAGCCAAAGGAGGAGGGTCACCTGAGCTCAGGAGTTCAAGACCAGCCTGGGCAACATAGTGAGATTCTGTCTCTAAAAATAAAACAAAATTATTAGCCAGGCATGGTGGTGCATGCCTGTGGTCTCAGCTACTTGGGAGGCTGAGGCAGGAGGATCGCTTGAGCCCGGGAATTCGAGGCTGCAGTGAGCTATGACTGCACCATTGCACTTCAGCCCAGGGGACAGAGTAAGACCTTGTCTCAAAAATAAATAAGCAAATACACACAGACACACACACAGTCAGATGTACCTATTGAACAAAAACGGGGTCACACTTGCTTTTTTCACTAATGAAACTTTCCTTTTTCTACTTTGCATACTTATGTATTGTCTAAGTTCTTAATAATGAGCGTTTGGTACTTTTTAAATAAAAAAGAAAAACCAATAAAATAAAAACCCAAATCTCTAACCCTATCAGAACTAAAGCCTGTCAAAAATCACGTGTTCTAGGCCAATGAGAACCACTGGGCCTTGTGGGGGGGTGCCACACAGTTCCTGGCTGGTTGCCATCCCCACTCTGTCCCCAGTGTCCTGGGTGAGACAGTGCCAAAGGGACCTGAGACAGGGCAGCCCTGGCCTGGCGCTCACCCTGTCCAGGCTCTCTGGGGTTTGGACAAGCAGTGCCAAAGCCCAGCTCCAAGTCTGTTCCTGCCTTGGTGGGGAGCCTGGCACTGCCAATGCTCATATCCCATCTGCTGGGAGATGCAGGTCCACTCGAGACTGTCTGCTTGGCGGCTGGGGACGGCCATCTGGGGCAGGCTGGCTGGCTTGGAAGGCAGCCCAGACCTCTCGCTCTGGCCCCTATGCCCTGGTTTACAGGACCCCAAGGCATGTGTGTGTGTGGATATGAGAAGGACAGAACCCCATCCGTGAGCTCAACCTATGCTTCCCAGCATGGGGCTCTGACCTCCTGGGAAGGAACATCGGCTGCAACAGTGGTGCCGATCATAATCACTTCCAGTCAAGTGTCAGGTCCCCCACTGCCTGCTTGGTATGTGCAACCTCACCGAGCCCACAACACAGTTCTGTAAGCTGAGAATTTCCAAGGGGGAAACTGAGGCTCTGAGAGGAAAGGAGCCATGTGCCCAAGGTTCTAGAACTGCTGAGTGGTCAAACTAGGACTCACAGGACGTCTCCAACCCACGGAGCATGGCTCCGCCTCAGGACCTCTGCACTGGCTGTTCGCTCTGCCTGGAATGCTCTTCTTCCAGTTGTCCACACGGCTCCCTCTCCCCTCCTCTAGGTTTACTCCAGTGTTACCTTCCCAGTGATGCCTCCCTTGACCTTCCTGTTAAAAATCTAAGCACCTGGGCCAGGTGTGGTGGCTCATGCCTGTAATCCCGGCACTTTGGGAGGCTGAGGCGGGTAGATCACCAGGTCAGGAGATTGAGACCATCCTGCCTAACACAGTGAAACCCCGTCTCTACTAAAAATACAAAAAATTAGCAGGGTGTGGTAGTGGGAGCCTGTAGTCCCAGCTACTCAGGAGGCTGAGGCAGGAGAATGGCGTGAACCTGGGAGGCGGAGCTTGTGGTGAGCAGAGATCACGCCACTGCCCTCCAGCCTGGGGAACAAAGCTAGACTCCGTCTCGGGAAAAAAAAAAAAAAAAAAAAAATCTAAGCACCTGCCACACTCATCATTCCTCCTTGCTTTGTCCCCCACCTTGTCACCATGGGAAGCACCTACAGCATAATTTGCTAAGGTGTTCTGCGTCCTTTTGTCTCCCCCTCAAACACCCAGTCTCACGAGCATCTTTGCTGCCTTGTTTGCTACGGTACCCTCCATGCCCAGCATAGAGCTGGGACGGGGGAACGCTGAGCAAATGTCTGTGGAATGGATGGATCCCAGGCCTGTGGCTGTGAGACTCAAAGAGTCCCCGTGCTGTCATCAGGGATGGATCAGAGTCCCCCACGGCTAGTTTTGTAGGTGCTGGGGGTGGGAAGTGGACGGGAGCAGGTACACACTGGGAATGGCATCAAGCCAGTTTCAAACTTAGTGAACAGGAAATCACAGCAAAAAATTATATAACCCAGTATCCATGCACTAAAGTCTCACGACTCTCAGTATGTGTGACATAGTCTGGGTTTTTTTTTTTTTAATATTATACTTTAAGTTCTAGGGTACATGTGCACAACGTGCAGGTTTGTTCCATAGGTATTACATGTGCCATGTTGGTTTGCTGCACCCATTAACTTGTCATTTACATTAGGTATTTCTCCTAATGCTATAGTCTGGTATTTTTTATTTTTTAGAGACACGGGTATCACTATGGTGCCTAGGCTGGTCTTGAACTCCAGGCTTCAAGCAATCCTTCCGTCTTAACCTCTTACCCCAAAATGCTGGGATTACAAGTGTGAGCCACCATGCCTGCCTATATATTGTATTTTCTTTTTTTTTTTTTTTTGAGATGGAGTCTCACTGTGTCACCCAGCCTGGAGTGCAATGGAATGATCTTGGCTCACTGCAACCTCCACCTCTCAGGTTCAAGCGATTCTCCTGCCTCAGCCTCCTGAGAAGCTGGGATTATAGTCACCTGCTACCATGCCTAGCTAATTTTTTTTTTTGTATTTGTAGTAGAGACAGGGTTTCGCCATGTTGGCCAGTCTGGTCTCGAACTCCTGACCTCGGGTGATCCACCCGCCTCAGCCTCCCAAAGTGCTGGGATTACAGACGTGAGCCTCCACGCCCCGCCTATTGTATTTTCATTACGAACAAAAACACAAACGCTAGCACTGAGTTGGTTGAGCTCCTAACTCATGAGTGGGTCCAGTGTGCAGTCTAAGCTGACTTAGTCAAAACCCAGAGGCAGCCGAGTGCGGCGGCCAGAACACAGGCAGGCACCCTGCCCTGCCACTCCCTGGAGGGTGCTTTGGGCAAGTCTCTTAACCTCTCTGTGCCTGTTCTGTCATCTGTAAATGAGGACAACAGGGTCTTCACCCTAGAATCGTGATGAGATTTAAGTGAGTTAATAGATATAAAAGGTATAGAATATTGCCTGACACACAGTATAAAGGAGATTTGCAGTAATAATAGCCTTCATAATAAATATTTTATATATACATATGTGTATGTATATATTTTTGAGACCGAGTCTCACTGTGTCACCCAGGCTGGAGTCCAGTGGTGTGATCTTGGCTCACTACAACCTCTACCTCCTGGGTTCAAGAGATTCTCATGCCTCAGCCTCCCGAGCAGCTAAGACTACAAGTGTGCACTAATATACCCAGCTAATTTTTGTGTTTTTAGTACAGACAGGGTTTTACCATATTGGCCAGGCTGGTCTCGAACTCCAGGGCTCAAGGGACCCACCTGCCTTGGCCTCCCAAAGTGCTGGGATTACAGGTGTGAGCCGCTGCACCCAGCCTATTTATAAGTATATGACTGTAGGCGTCATTTCACCACCCAGCAGTTGCCCATATGTCCTAAAACAGCCAGATGCAGTGTGAGCTGTCACCTCTCATTCTGCTCTGGTGCTCATCTGGCCAGAAAGGTGGGTAGAGGGAGGAGAGGGCTGGGGAGACAGAGGCTGGTGACCACCTGTGGTTTGGCGCACATGGCTTTAGGGCTGCCTCTTCCTGGCTACTGCAAAGCCTCCATGCCATCCCATTCCCCCAACTCAGTGGGAAGGTCTTGGTCAGGGGATGGGGCGAGGGCACTCCGAGCTGCATCTGCCAGCCTGGATGAGGTCCAGGACTTGGCTGGCCCCACAGTCAAGTCCTTGGCAGCCTCAGCCTGCTAGGCGTCCATGTCTGGGCAAAGGCCAGGCCCAAGGGGCTGGGGCAATGCAGGCTGAGGGAGACCCATTTTGGAGGGCCTGCCTAGCTGGCAAATGCCACTTTTCTGAAAGGTCTTCCTTATTTGGGTCTTCTGGGCCTCTCTGTCATTTCTGCTTCCCTGGGTCCCCTCTTTTTGCTGAGGATCTGCCCTGCCTCCTCCTCCAGGGAGCTCTGGTGGAACTGTCAATCACAGTGCCTGGCCCTGCCCCTGGACCCAAGGTGGGTAACACATGCTAGACCGGGCAGTTTCCTCTACCACCCCTGATCACAGCGACTGGCTCAGGACTTGGGCTTGTGATCTAAAGCAGAGCCAGAGTTCTTCCCAGATAAATCAGTGTAAGCCTTTTTTTTTTTTTTTTTTGAGATGGAGTTTTGCATTTGTCACCTAGGCTGGAGTACAATGGCGCGATCTCAGCTCACTGCAACCTCTGCCTCCCGGGTTCAAGCAATTCTCCTGTCTCAGCCTCCTGAGTAGCTAGGATTACAGGTGCCTGCCACCACGCCCAGCTAATTTTTGTATTTTTAGTAGAGACGGGGTTTTACCATGTTGGCCAGGCTGGTCTCGAACTCCTGACCTCAGGTGACCTGCCTGCCTCGGCCTCCCAAAGTGCTGGGATTACAAGAGTGAGCCACTGCGCCTGGCCAGTCTGAGCCTTTTGGAAGAGACAGTGCAAAGAAGTAGATTTGAGCAGCCCATCTCCATGTTCCCATGACATGGTGAGAGCTTGTTAGTGGCAGAAGAAAATGACACTCGCGATGCAAAAAGCAGAGCCAAGCAGAGAGTTAAAGAAGCAGAGTTCTGGAGACTGCATTTGAGTCTCTAAGTCCAGCTATGCCGGAAGTTTGCCCTACCCCTAGATTTGCAGTTACATGAACCAATGAATGCTATTTCTGACTTAAGCAAGTTAGAAATAGATTTCTGTCACTTACAATTTAGAGTCCTAATAGAGCATGGGTGCCCCAACAGGCCTTCCTCACTAGCTACAGTTGACATTTAATCCAGGGGAAGGCTTCCAGCCAGGACCATGGGCTTCTCTACTCAGAATGGAAAGTGACACATTGGGAGTACCTTGAGCTGATTGGCATAACAGCAGTACCTGTGGTTGAGAGTCCCCAGTTCCTGTCCTGCCTGAGGCTTGTTGCCTTAATTCTTTCCATTACGTAGGACACCTCATGTTCCTAAAATGATCCCTTACCTTCCCTTTTATTTCTTATGCTTATTAGAGCTAATCTCTTGCAAACAGGTTTTGTAATGTTGGGCTCTGAAGTCAGACACCCTGGACTGAAATCTTGGTCTGGCTACTGGTTCACTGATCCTATAGAAATCATTTAATTTTTTTTTTCTTTTTTTTTTTTTTTTTTTGAGACACAGTCTCACCACTCTGTCACCCAGGCTGGCAGGCTGGAGTGCAGTGGCATAAACTCAGCTCACTGCAGCCTCTGCCTCTCAGGTTCAAGCAATTCACCTGGCTCAGTCTCCCCAATAGCTGGGATTACAGGCGCGTGCTACCACACCTGGCTAATTTGTATTTTTGGTAGAGATGGGGTTTCGCCATGTTGGTCAGGCTGGTCTTGAACTCTTGATCTCAAGTGAGCCACCCGCCAAGCTTCCCAAAGTGCTGGGATTACAGGCGTGAGCCACCATGCCTGGCCAGAAGTCATTTAAATTCTGCGTCTTAGTTTCTTCCTCTGTGAGATGGAGAGACTAACAGGATTGCTCTCCCGGGGTTGTTGGGAGGATTCCATGAGATGAAGCTGGGGAAGCGTTTGCCCCCAGAACCTGGCTCGAGATGTGAGTGGCTATGATTTCTTTAATAAGAACGAGAGTGATGGGACCTACCTCGCGGGTCCGGAAGATGATCCTGTACTGGTACTGAGGTCCGTGCTCCTTGTGGTCTTCCAGCTTCTCCCGCTTAATGCTCACAGCCACTGGCCCCAGCTTCTCATCCACGCCGAAGTAATTGGCATGTTCTAAGAAGGAAGAGCAGGCGAGTTCAGGCTCAGCTGTCTGGGAAGGAGGGGCCCTGATGCCCAGCAGGCCTGCAGACAGGGCGACCAGGCAGGGTCCTGTGCAATCTGTGGGATGCTGGTCACGCAAACCTCATGCCTGGTCACAGACACCCCCAGTGGAGACACTGTAAGAGGCAAAAGCCCACCTTACTGTACCACCTGCCAAGCCACAGAACTTTTCTGAGCCTCAGCGCTCTCATCTGAGAAAACAGGACCTTGATGCCACCCACAATTCAGAGAGTGGATGTGAAGGCAAAAATGAAGCTACAAATATGAAACACTTAGTACAGTGCATGGCATGCCATCAACCCAGCATCACTGCGATTAATCCCGTGTTTGCAAATGGTCCACTTGGTTTAACTGCGGATTAGCCCTTGTGAAACTGTTAAGAAAGATTCTAGAGAGCCTCCTCACACCTGGGCTCTGCCCCTTAATAGATGTCTGGCCCCAGCCAAGTCGCTAGATAGCATTTTCAGCCGTAAAGTTAAAGGTGGACCCAGCCTTCAGCACCGTGCCAGGCACATAGTACGCACATGATGAGTGTTGGCAATGACCATCCCCAGTTGTTGGTGCCTGTCAGGGACCACGATAGGGGCCCCTAGGCATCACCTTTATCTCACCATGTTTCTTTACCTAGGTAACTTCAACACTGCTTTTTTTCTTTTTTTTTCTTTTTGAGACTGTTGTCCAGACTGGAGGGCATTGGCGCGATCTCGGCTCACTGCAAGCTCCACCTCCCGGGTTCACTCCATTCTCCTGCCTCAGCCTCCCGAGTAGCTGGGACTACAGGCGCCCGCCACCGCGCCTGGCTAATTTCTTATATTTTTAGCAGAGACGGGGTTTCACCATGTTAGCCATGATGGTCCCGATCTCCTGACCTTGTGATCTGCCCACCTCGGCCTCCCAAAGTGCTGGGATTACAGGCGTGAGCCACCGTGCCCGGCCAACACTGCTGTTTTTTCCCTTAGGGTAACAGAGGCTTTAGCCAGGCATGGGACACACCTCCTGCTCCCTCGTCTACCTGACAGCTGCCTCCTCTTTTTTTCTAAAACATGCTACTATCTTATAACCCTTCCAGGCAAATAGTTCTTCCTGATGTATAACCCAAGTATCTCATGCTTGTGTGGGTATCCGCCAGCGGTCTGTCTTGATCCAAGTCCACAAAGTTAGCATCTACCCACCACCGGAAATTGTACTGGTACACTGAATGTTTAACTGATGGTTCTGGTTCTCATGAGATGCTCTTGGCAAATCAAAGGCTAGTCTAAGGGCAAAATACTGTGTGGTAATTAATGACCCCGATCAGAACAGCATCTGCAGGGGGTTCAACAATCTCCAGCTGATCAGAGAATGGAATAAACATTGTACTCTACAGATCACAAATACCAGCTTATTCCTGAAGCAGCTACAGGGGTTGTTGCTTTTTCCATCAATGCATATCTAGCTCCTTGCGAATCCTAGCATATAGTAGGCACTCAATAAACACTGACCAATGACTTATTTACTAGCTTTGACAAAGATTCTTTGCTTGGCCAAACTTTAGTCAGGCTTTGGAATCTTCTCCTAGGCCCATCTGTGCACCTCCTTGTAAAATCCAGTTTTAACAAAGAACCCTGCGCTAAGTCAGTTTAGCAAGAACCCTGCCCCCCAACCTTATCCTCAATATCTGGACATCTTCAACACCTGATCAAGCTCTTCATCTTCCACCATCCAAAGGTGATGTCTGATCATCCTGGCGTGTCATCAGCAACATTAGGTTGGTTTAGCCAGAATCTTCCTTACCTCTGACATTTCTTCTTAATAGTTTCTTCCATGCACTGATCCCCACCTTGCTTCTTGGCTATAAATTCCTACTTGACTACGCTGTATTCAGAGTTAAGCCCAATCTCTCTTCCCTACTGCCAGACTCCGCTGCAGTGGTCCCTATGCCTGCTGTGATGGTTCTGAATACATTCTTTACTGTGCTTTAACAAATATTATTGAAGAGTTTTTGTTTTTTGAGACAGGGTATTGCTGTGTCACTCAGGCTGGAGTGCAGTGGTGCAATCATGGCTCACTGCAACCTCTGCCTCTAGGGCTGAAGCGATCCTCCCATCTCAGCCTCCACAACAGTTGGGACTACAGACATGCACCACCACACCTGGCTAAATTTTTAACCTTTTTTTGAGGTCTCACTATGTTGCCCAGGCTGGTCTCTAACTCCTGGGGCAAGTAATCATCCTACCTCGGCCTCCGAAAGTGGTGGAATTACACTTTCAGGGAGCCCTTGTGCTTGGCCAGAACGTTTTTTTCTTTAACAGCTTTCAGGGCTACAAAGAAATTTTTAAAAAGAAAACGGCTTTTTTTTTTAAAGCTCCAGGATGAGTACTTCCTACCTGCCTAACAAAGAACTAAGTATTTTAATGTATAATCTTATTTGATCTTTATTTGATCCACATTCCTTTCATGTACGTATTTGTACGTGTAGGTTGAAAAGAATGTGTTCTTTGTTGGTTAGGTACAAAGTTAATACATATACAGTGTAAAATCAAGTTTTCATTAGGTTATCTAAATCCTCTAAATCCTTATTTTTCAGCTACTAGATTCTGTCAACTTCAGAGAGATAATCTGTGCACTTCTCCCGCTATGGTTGTGAGTTTTTCTACTTCTCCCCGTAGCGTTTTTTTTTTGTTTTGTTTTGGTTGAGGGGACAGAGTCTCACTCTGTCGCCCAGGCTGGATTGTGATGGTGCGATCTCGGCTCACTGCAACCTCTGCCTTCCAGCTTCAAGCGATTCTCCGGCCTCAGCCTCCCAAGTAGCTGGGATTACAGGCACCCGCCACCACGCCCAGCTAATTTTTGTATTTTTTAGTGGAGACAGGGTCTCACCATGCTGGCCAGGCTGGTCTTAAACTCCTGACCCCACGTGATCTGCCCGCCTCGGGCCTCCCAAAGTGCGGGGATTACAGGCATGAGCCAATGCGCTCAGCCAGCCTGATCCATTTTTTAAATCTAGGTACCCCTAAACCAAGTTGCCAGGTATACGAAGGTTCACAACTACCAGAATTTCTTGGCGAACTTTAAGAAACATGAAATGGCCTCCTTAGTTCCTCTAAAAGGTGCTTTCAACCTTTACATCTATTTCATGTGATACTGACATTGCCTCATTGGCTTTTTCCTTGTAAGCAACTGTCTGGAACTTCTTTTTTTTTTTTTTTTTTTTGAGACGGAGTCTCACTCTGTTGCCCAGGCTGGAGCGCAGTGGCGCGATCTCGGCTCACTGCAAGCTCTGCCTCCCGGGTTCATGCCATTCTCCTGCCTCAGCCTCCCGAGTAGCTGGGACTACAGGCGCCCACCACCATGCCCGGCTAATTTTTTGTATTTTTAGTAGAGACAGGGTTTCACCGTGTTAGCCAGGATGGTCTCAATCTCCTGACCTTGTGATCACCCACCTTGGCCTCCCAAAGTGCTGGGATTACAAGCGTGAGCCACCGTGCCCGGCCTGGAACTTCTTTTTTATCCCTTTCTTTTCAATCTCTGTGTCATTCTGTTTGTGCATGTGATATTGATATAATCATCTTCATTTGTCACACAGTCTGAAGGGTAAAACGTATCACGTGGATCAGCTATGGAACAGATACCCCAAACCGAGGGCTGTCTGACTCCAAGTTGGAGCTCCAGTGTCCTGTGGGATGACTTAACTGACATTTGTTATGTTTGACAAGGATATTACTTTAAATATTTTTAAAAACTAGTTGCTGTGAGCTGGGCATGGTGGCTCACGCCTGTAATCCCAACTCTTTGGGAGGCCAAGGTGGGTGGATCACCTGAGGTCAGGAGTTCGAGACCAGCCTGGCCAACATGGAGAAACCCTGTCTCTACTAAAACTACAAAAATTAGCTGGGCATGATAGCGAGCGCCTGTAATCCCAGCTACTCAGGAGGCTGAGGCAGGAGAATCGCGTGAACCCAGGAGGCAGAGGCTGCAGTGAGCTGAGATCGCGCCACTGTACTCCAGCCTGGGCGAGGCGACAGAGCGAGACTGCCTCAAAAAAAAAAAAAAAAAAAGAAAAAGAAAAAAACAACAAAAAAAAACCTAGCTGCTGTGGGGTACTAGCTGCTAGTACTTCGTCTTTTTTTTTTTTTTTTTTTTTTAAGAAAAGCCCTCTATTCTTGGAAAAGAAAAACTTTGTCTAGCTAAAAACCTGCGTTTCCCAGCCTCTTTTGCACACAGGTGTGGCCACTAAGTGCAAGTAGTTGGACCGGGCTTCTGAGAAAGCTCTTTAACGCATTTATGCCGGAGGCTGCAATTTTTTGAATTTTTCCACAAGTAAAAATTCAGACCCTGGCAATGTCCTTGAGCAGTAGGCTATAACTCCCACATGCTTAGCGTTCCAATAATGAAACACTAGGCATAAGGGCATAAGGGGGTTGACTTGACAAGAGGTCTGCCTTTTTGTCCTTACCCTTTCCTCTTTTTCTCTGCCTGGAAACACAGATGTGACGCCTGGCACTCCAGCAGCCATCTTGGTGTGGAGCAGTGGGGGATCATGCCATGCACTAAGGCTGACCATACTGATGCTTAAGACTGACCATACCAGCCCTGGGCTGCTGAACTCTGGATTTCTTCACAGGAGAGTCCCTTCTATGTTGTTTAAGCCTGTTACTAGCAGTTACAAGCAATTCTCAATTTTTTTTTTTTTTTTTTTTTGAGACAGAGTCTCACTCTGTCACCCAGGCTGGAGTGCAGTGGCATGATCTCAGCCCACCGCAACATCTGCCTCCTGGGTTCAAGCGATTCTCCTACCTCAGCCTCCCAAGTAGCTGGGATTACAGCCACATGTCACCATGCCTGGCTAATTTTTTTGTATTTTTAGTAGAGATGCGGTTTCACCATGTTGGCCAAGCTGGTCTTGAACTCCTGACCTCAAGTGATCCGCCTGCCTCAGCCTCCCAAAGTGCTGGGATTACAGGCGTGAGCCACTGCGCCGGGCAGTTCCAAGACTTTTGTATTCGCTGCTCTGTTCTGGGAACAGTGTCTGCAATTTGCACATGGTGACTTCAGCTTGGTACTCAAACTGCACCTGCCTCGGAGGCCCCCTCTGACCATCCCCCACTGGGATCTGCCCCCACCCTCCGACACTCCATTTCCTTCTTCCCTGCTGTACTCTTTTCCACTGCATTTAGCAGCCTACAATCCCTTGTGTATTTTTCGTATTTATCCTGTTCTATGTTTGTGTTACCCATGAAAACATTATAAGTACTAGGAAGACAGAACATTTGTTTTAAGCTGGTTGATACTACATCCCCAGGCTCTAGAGAGTGCCTGGCACTGAGCTGTCCCCAAGTCCATATGTGCTGAGTAAATGCAGAGCTGTGTCCTGTAGCTCAAGGTTTATGGAGTGCTGCTGTGTCAGACACAGGGCTGAGGCCCGGGTGGCTCTGCTCACCGGATCCTCACAGCCCTCCAGAAGGGAGGTCTCTGTTCCCGCCACATCCTCAGTGCCAGAGCAGGGCCTGGCACAGAGTGAATGAATGAGTAGTGGGGGTCTCGGAGGCAAGCCTCGGCCCACCCAACCTTCCCACCCACACGCCATCCGTCACCTTTGCCCACGAAGTAATCCTGGTAGTAGCGGGCGCCCAGGTCCACATGCTCGATGCTGTACTGCCGGGGCCGACTCTGCGTCCGCTGCTGCTCCTTGGGAACTTCCAACACCGAGATGCTGGCGTTGGTGCGGTAGGCGCTCAGGGCGGGCTCTGCCAGGTGGCCCTCGCCGCTGCTCGGGGAGCCCACGGAAGCCCGGGAGAAGCTCACGTTGCGCTCACACTCGCCCCCGATCTCATTGCGGAAGTGCGGGCAGCTGAGCAGCAGGTCGTTGCTGTTGTCATCGCCGAGGTCCTGCTCCAAGTTCTCCTTGCAGTTTAGGTCCTCTGTGCTGGTGAAGGCCGGGTCCAGGCCTCCGAGGCTGTGGGCCCGCGAGGCCGTGAGGGAGGCCATGGCCGAGGCGGCGGAAGCGGCCGAAGCACCCGTGGTGGTGTTCCGCCGCTGCGACACCGACACCCTGTTGGCGGCCGCCTCGTTGAGGTCGAACAGCATGCTCTGCACGTCGAAGTGGGCGAAGCTCTTCTGACACACCCACGGCCTGCTGGCTTCCGGGGGGCTCCGGCCCTCGTCGGCCTCCCCCGGGGAACGCCCAGCCTCCCCCTCGGGTTTGCTGCTCCTTAGCTTCCGAAAGATGGACGAGTCCACCGTGTCCCCGCCGCCGAGGCCCCGCGCAGGTTTCTTCCGGGCCTTCTCCTTCTCCTTCGTGGGCTGCAGTGGCAGGAGGCTGTCCTTGGCGGGCTGCCCGTTGTGGGAGTCCCCCTTGGCTCCGCCGCCGCCCCCCATGAGGTGTGGGCCAGGATCTGCCCGGAGGAGCTCGGTGAGGGCCTGGCACCCTCGGGCGTCGGGCTGCTCGCTGCGGAACTCGTTCAGGATGTCGAAGAAGCTCTGCTCGGGCATGCCCTGCACGTCGATGGACGAGGTGCTCCCGTACTCGCGGAAGAGGGGCAGCGCCCCCGTGTGCCGGGCCCCCCGCGGCTCCCCCGCGTCCTCCGCGTCACACTCGCTGAGGGTGATCTCGCTGCTGCTGCGGTGCCGAAGGGGGAGGAAGGCCCTGCCGGGGGACCGGGGCCACCCGTCCTGGAACTCCACGTCTTTGGACCTTCTCCTGGAGAGTCGGTGGAAGGCTTTGGACCCTGAGGAAGCCGGGGTGCTGGTGGGGGGCTGTCCGTTCTGTATGCTCCTCATGGAATGGGCCATCTTGGTGGCCTTTGTGCCATCTGTGTCCTGGGAGGGGCTTGGGTTGCTGTGCTCTCTCAGGGCCTCCCGCTTGGGCGGCCAGTCGGCCACCCTTGCGCGCACGCCCATCTTGGGCATTGCGGGAGTGGTGGGGCTGGGGCGGGTGGTGGCGGTGGCGGTGGCGGTGGCGGTGGCCGGGCTCTCGCCAAGAGGCTGGGACATGCTGCCATTCTGGGCCCAGAATCCCAAGGGAGCGTAGTCCCCTGTGTGTGGCCCAGGGAGGACATCGCCCACCCTGGCGCCACAGCTGGCTGCCAGGTCCACACCATCGCTGGGGATGGCCCGATAGGTGGTCATAGTCCACGGGCACTGGAGTGCTGCTGGCCCCGTACGCTGTGGTGTCACTCTATGGGGTCCCCCAGCCCTCAGCCATTGTTCAGGGCAGCCAGGCCCAGGATGAAGGATGCTGGGCCCTGAAACCTGACAGGAAGGTTGTGAGCCTGTGGAGTCCAGTTCTCCACCATCGCTGTGCACAGCTGAGCCAGGACAACCTCAGGAAGCAGGTGCTGTCCTGGGGGCTCCAGACCGAGTGGCTCAGTAGCGCAGAGCAGGCAGTAGCTGTGGTCGCCCGCCAGCTGGAGGCAGCAAGGATGTTGTCCTCGCCATGCTGAAATGGAAGAAAAGGAAAATATGAGCTGCGATGGCCGTGTTACTGCTCCCAGAAAGTGGGACATGTGACTTTTCTTGACAGCCTTACTCATTTAAAAAATCTTTTTATTATGGAAATTTGCAAACATACTCAAAAGCAGAGAGGAGACTGAGTCACCCATCAGCTCCAACAACCACTAACTATTTTCCATTCCCATTTCATCTATTCACCCAGCCTTGTGACCTTCTTTGTTTCTGATAGAATGTTTTAGAGTAAACCCCAGACATCATTTTTTTTTTTTTTTGAGACAGAGTCTCGCTCTGTCACCCAGGCTGGAGTGCAGTGGCATGTGCTTGGCTCATTGCAACATCCACCTCGAAGGTTCGAATGATTCTCCTGCCTCAGCCTCCCAAGTAGCTGGAATTCCAGCATGTGCTACCATGCCCGGCTAATTTTTCTTATTTTTAGTAGAGACGGGGTTTTGTCATATTGGCCAAACTGGTCTCAAACTCCTGGCCTCAGGCAATCCCCGCCCGCCTCAGCCTCCCAAAGTGCTGGGATTACAGGCATGAACCACCATACCTGGCCAGACATCAGGTCATTTCACCCATAAATATTTTAGCTTGTATCTCTAGTACATAAGATTTAAAAAAAAAAATCACAGTAACATTATCATACTCATCTACATTAACAAGAATTCTTTAATGTCATGCACTACCCTGCCTGCATTACATTTCCCATCATTGTCTCGCAGGTGTCTTTTGTGAGCTGGTTTGTTCGAAATCATCCTCTGCTTATGCAGGTATTTTCTCAAGTCTCCTCTACTCTACAATGGCCACCTTCCTTTATTTTGATGCTCTTTACTTGTTGAAGGAAAGGGGTCACCTGTCCTGTGGATTTCCCCACTTTCAGGATCCCTGAGGTGCCACTTAACATGTTCCTCTGCCCCCTGTATTTCCTGTGAACTGGTGGCTTCATGCAGAGGCCAGACTATTGTCCACCTGCTCTGTTGTTTGCTCAGCTCAGCTACTCTGCCAGAAAGGAAGTGAAAATGACAGATGAGTCAACATGAGCACCAGTGGAGTTTGGGGAGGAAAGCTGCAGAAGGAATGTCTCTAGAAATCCATGTGGTTACTGCAGACTATGACTGGGTAAATCAGAGCCCATCACTTTTTCACTGAGATCTCCCCAGTGACTACTTACTGCATTAAAACACCATCCAAACTCCTTCCCCTGCTCCACAAGCCCCGCAGGATCTGGCTTCCATGTCTCTCCCCATCCCTGACTAAGCTCTGATCATACTGGCCTTCTTTTCTGTTCTGATGCACCAAACCTTATCCAGGACATCTGATATCCTTCCTCAGTCCTTCTTGGGGCTGGTTCCTTCCCATGATGTCAGTTCTTCCATGGGGACTTCCGGCTGGGCACGGTGGCTCACACCTGCAGTCCCAGCACTTTGGGAGGCCAAGGCGGGTGGATCACTTGAGCCCAGCAGCTCAAGACCAGCCTGGCCAACATGGCAAAACCCCATCTCTACTAAAAATACAAAAATTAGCCAGGCATGGTGGCATGTGCCTGTAGTCCCAGCTACTCAGGGGGCTGAGGTAAAAGGATCACTCGAACCCGGGAGGTTGAGATTGCATGAGCCACGATCACACCACTGCACTCCAGCCTGGGCAACAAAGCGAGATCCTATCTCAAAAAAAAAAAAAAATCCCCAAAAACAAAAACAAACACAAAAACCTTCCCAAATCACCCTATAGAGACAGAGAAGCCCGGTCTTCTGGAAGCCTTTCTTAATTACCCACTCTACTTTCTTCCAATTTTTCTTAGCAGTTGTTCGTTCTGTCTACTGGCTAGGTCCACCACTCAAATGTTGGCTCCAGAATGGCAGGGATGTCTGTGTTGTTCACTGATGCATTCCCAGTGCCTAGAACAGTTGAGACGGAGTCTCGCTCTGTTGCCCAGGCTGGAGTACAGTGGCGCGATCTCGGCTCACTGCAAGCTCCGCCTCCTGGGTTCACGCCATTCTCCTGCCTCAGCCTCCTGAGTAGCTGGGACTACAGGTGCCTGCCACCATACCTGGCTAATTTTTTTGTATTTTTAGTAGAGACAGGGTTTCACCGTGTTAGCCAGGATGGTCTCGATCTCCTGACCTCATGATCCGCCTGCCTTGGCCTCCCAAAGTGCTGGGATTACAGGCGTGAGCCATCTAGAACGTCCAGGACGTTCGTTTAGTATTATACATATGAGTGAACAGATGGCCTCTGCCTAATTGGAGGTGTAAGTACCTCCTGATTTGCAGGCCCCTGGGGAAGGGAGTCTGTGCTTCTGTCCAGCATATAAAACACCCTGCGGGGTCACTTCCCTTTGTCTCCACCTTGAACTTCTAGAAGATGAAAATCCTGCTGGAGAGGAAGGGGAAAGTGGGTCGCCGTCTGTGATGGAAGCTGTTGACTGCCCAGCAGCCGTGCCCGCTCCCTCCTGCCAACGGAACTGATTTTGCTCAGGGCAGTGGAGTGCTGCTTTGGGCCACGCACTTGGTTCAAGGTGACCTCTAACTTTTCTTTCCCTGGGAATCTAGAGCTGGATGCAGCCGTTCTTGATCAATGGCTATTGGAGCTTCCTGTGTGAGAAAGTAGCAGGCCTCTTCTGCGTGTATGTGTCTGTGTGTGTGTGTCTGTGTGTGTGTGCGTGTCTCTGTGTATGTCTGTGTGCGTGTCTGTGTGTGTGCGTGTCTGTGTGCGTCTGTGTGTGTGTGCATGTCTGTGTGCCTGTGTGTGTGTGTGCATGTCTGTGTGCCTGTGTGTGTGTGTGTGTGTGTGTGTGTGTGTGCATGTATGCGCATGTGTAGGGGGGCTTTTCCTAATTTATGCCCAGTTATGGAGCGCACTGGCAGAGATCACAAGGGAAGCTCAAAGCAGATTCAAGGAGCAAATAGCAAGGGGAGCCTGAAGCCTCTGAAAAAGTGAGCACCAGAAGAGGGCAGGTGGAGAGTGGGGAGCAAGGGGGAGCCCCTCTTCCTGGTGCCCCACGAGAACACAAACGATCCTGAAGATGTTGCCGGGAGGCAGCACAGGGATGGGCTACAGAAGAGAGAGGAAGCTGGAAAGCCCTCAGGGTCGAGTTGCCTAAGGGAGACAGGAGAGAGGCCAAGAGGAGCCTGCACTGACCTGGATGGCAGGGCATCTTCTGACAATCAAGGCTTGCGGGAGTATGGATGTCAGATCATCTGATTTTCCAACAGAAATCAGAAATCTAGAGTTGCATGTAACATTTCCCAATTGGAAAAGCAAAAATATTGGCCAGGCGCAGTGGCTCATGCCTATAACCCCAGCACTTTGGGAGGCCGAGGTAAGTGGATTGCCTGAGGTCAGGAGTTCGAGACCAGCCTGGCTAACATGGTGAAACCCCGTCTCTACTAAAAATAGAAACGTTAGCTGGGTGCGGTGGCGCACACCTGTAGTCCCAGCTACGTGGGAGGCTGAGGCAGGAGGATTGCTTGAACCTGGGAGGTGGAGGATGCAGTGAGCCGAGATTGCTCCACTGCACTCCAGCCTAGGCAACAGAGTGAGACTCCATCTCAAAAAAAAAAAAAAAAAAAAAAAAAAAGAAAAAGAAAAAGAAAAAAGAAAAAACAACAGAAACAACAACAAACTATCATGCAGAGATGATCGGAAGAATTTTCAAAAAACTAATAGTGCTTGCCTCTGTGTGTCTATCCCCACCACTCCCAGGCCCTTCCTCTGCTCCATTTTTCTCCTTAGCACTTATGAACAGGCTTACTTCTTTTTCTTATTCATTTTTATTATTATTTTTTTTAGAGACAGGGTCTTTCTCTGTTGTCAAGGCTGGAGTGCAGTGGTACAATCATAGCTCACTATAGCCTCAAACTCCAGGGCTCAAGTGATCTTCCTGCCTCAGCCTTCTGAGTAGCTAGGACTACAGATGCACGTCACCATGCCCAGCTAATTTTTAAATTTTTGGTAGAGGTGGGGTCTTAGTATGTTGCCCAGGCTGGTATCAAACTCCTGGGCTCAAGTGATCTTCCCACCTCAGCCTCCCAATGTACTGGGATTACAGGTGTGAGGCACCGTACCCAGCCTCCTCAATGACTTTCTCACTGGCATCTGGGAACTCATCTGCTGCCTCTGGTTGGCAGAAGCTGCTTCTCCTGCCATCTTGACATTTTTTAAGCCATACTCTTTCTAAAATTATCAAACCATCCTTTGCTGGCATTAAATTCCCCAGCTTGAGATCCTCCTTCTTCCTTTTGCTTTAGGTTGCCATGTAATGACTTCACTTTTTCTCGAAGCAAATTACAATCTATAGGTATGCCTTATAGCAATCCTGTACCCACATAGAAGCTGCATTTGCAACACGAGATAAAAATATATTTTGTAAACAGTGCAAGGTTTTTGTGCCTGCTGGCATACAGGCAGTGACAGCTTCATGAATTTCCTTTTCATTTTTTACGATGGTCCTCACACTGGATTCATTTATCTGGAAATGGCGGGCAACTGCAGCTGCAGATCTCCATCGATGGCACATATCAAGCAATTGCATATTTTCTTGTAATGTTATGACTTTTCTCTGCTTCTTGGGACAACTTCCAGCATCACTAGTGGCACTTTGTACGGGTCCCCTGAGGTTATTCAGGGCTTACAGTATTGCACTAAACACGATGAAAACTAGGTGAGAACCTCTAGGGATCATTTTTTACTGCGATGTGCAATTTGCTGGAGAGACAAACTGCTCATGCGGAGATGATGAGTGTCACACGGTGTTTCAAATGGATACTCACAACACTTGAGCTCACCGCAGTAGCAACAGGAGGTGGTCGCGAAACTATGACGGTAGTGCAGTGTGTACTGCAGTTAATTTCATGCAGTTATGATTTAATTCTGCATGTTTATGTTTGTTTACATTTCTCTTGGCTTGGCAGTGTGTTTGTGTGTGTGTAAGTTTTGATAAATTTTAACTTTTTAGAATGCATTTGTGTATATTTTATGGTAGC
Source organism: Homo sapiens (assembly GCF_000001405.40). Taxonomy (NCBI): domain Eukaryota; kingdom Metazoa; phylum Chordata; class Mammalia; order Primates; family Hominidae; genus Homo; species Homo sapiens. The sequence goes on along the minus strand of NC_000019.10, from coordinate 38,076,256 downwards.
AAATGATAAAATAGAAAAATAGACTAATGTACATATATTTTATGTATTCATGACATACCTAACATTTTATTTTTATTTATTTATGTATTTACTTATTTATTATTATTATTATTTTTTGAGACAGAGCCTTGCTCTGTCGCCTAGGCTGGAGTGCAGTGGTGCGATCTCAGCTCACTGCAATCTCCGCCTCCCAGGTTACGCCATTCTCCTGCCTCAGCCTCTGGAGTGGCTGAGACTACACGCGCCCGCCACCACGGCCAGCTAATATTTTTTGTATTTTCAGTAGAGACGGGGTTTCACCATGTTAGGATGGTCTTGATCTCCTGACCTTGTGATCCGCCTACCTCGGCTTCCCAAAGTGCTGGGGTTACAGGCGTGAGCCACCGTGCCCGGCCTTAACATTTTATTTTTTAAAAAATATTTTTAGGCTATGTGGTTCACCTGCAAGATCTTTTCTTTTCTGTTTTTTTTTTCTTTGAGACAGAGTGTTGCTCTGTCACCCAGGCTGGAGTACAGTGGCACAATCTCGGCTCACTGCAATCTCTGCTTCCCAGGATCAAGTGATTCTCCTGCCTCAGCCTCCTGAGTAGCTGGGATTACAGGTGCACACCACCATGCCTGGCCAATTTTTGTATTTTTAGTAGAGACAGGGTTTTACCATGTTGGCAAGCCTAGCTCAAACTCCTGGCCTCGAGGGATCCGCCAGCCTCGGCCTCCCAAAGTGCTGGGATTACAGGCGTGAACCACCGCACCCACCCCTGCAAGTTCTTTTCAAATAGTTGCAAATCTCTTTTTTTTTCTGAGACGGAGCATCACTCTGTCACCCAGGCTGGAGTGCAGTGGCGCCATCTCAGCTCACTGCAACCTCCGCCTCCCGGGTTCAAGCGATTCTCCTGCCTCAGCCTCCTGAGTAGCTGGGATTACAGGCATGTGCCACCACGCCCAGCTAATTTTGTGTCTTTTGTAGAGACGGGTTTTCTCCGTGTTGGGCAGGCTGGTCTCGAACTCCCAACCTCAGGTGATCTGCCTACCTCGGCCTCCCAAAGTGCTAGGATTATAGGCGTGAGCCACCACGCCCAGTAAATAGTTGCAAATTTCTAAAAAATTTTCCAATATATTTATTGAAAAAAATTCATGTATACATAGATCCACGCAGTTCCAACCCATGTTGTTCAAGGGTAAAATGCACTTCCTAAGAACATTAACAATAAAAACCTCAATGAAGCCGGGCACAGTGGCTCATGCCTGTAATACCCGTACTTTGGGAGGCTGAGGAGGGAGGACTGTTTGAGCCCAGGAGTTTGACACCAGCCTGGGCATTACAGTGAAACCCCATCTCTACAAAAAATTTTAAAACTTAGCCAGGCGTGGTGGCGTATGCCTGTAGTTCCAGCTATTTGGGAGGCCAAGGCTGCAGTGGGCTGTGATTGTGCCACTGCACTCCAGCCCAAGTGATAGAGCAAGACTCTATCTCAAAAATCAAACAACAACAACAACAAAACACCACATACACACACACAATGAGGGTAAACAAAATAAGTATGTGTGGGTCACACTTCAGCAGGGGTTGCTGGTTTGCCAGAGAAAAGTGCAATTATTTTATCTATGGTGTTTATTGTCTCCACTCTAAACTGTCAGTTACAGAATGGCAAGACTGTTTGCTTGAGAGCCTGAACCCTGCCCCACAGTCCGCTGTGCTGGGCACCAGATCCCAGGTCAAGCTGGGATGATGGCCCGCCTGAGGGCGCTGCCTGTCCTCAGCAGCCCAGCCTGTGTTGTGGCTCTGCCTTCAGAGTGCAGAGTGCGGAGGGAGGATTAGTCCTTTGAGGCCACACTTAAGGCTGGGTTGGGAAAACCAGTGGCCCAGATGCGACCCTGACTTGCTTATGCAAGCACCTCCCGACAGATGGGCTTTGCTGATGGCATTTGTTTCCAGCTCAGTCAGAAACCCTCAATCCATTCTGCTCCCTTCTGTGCACACACACAGATGTTCTTGCAGGCCTTCGTCTCTCTGAACAAATCCCTTCTCCTAGCAGCTGCAGTCGAGTCTTCCTGTGACATTCAGAGGCTGAGTGGCACCCGCAGCCTCTGGGACTCAGAGGGTGCACACTGGTCTCTTTCCAGCTGTCTTCTACCGAGCTCCTCCTCCCTAAAAGCACTTGGACCTTCCCGATGGGGAACCCCCGTGATGAGAGAAGCACAGCATAGGCAGGAACCAGACTGCCTCCTGGGCTCAATCCTCGTGTGTCATGGACGGGTTATGGAAATAGTGACTCAGTTTCAATCTGTAAAATGGGTATAATACCACCTGCTCTTACTACAGTTCTGTTGTGTATCTTTGGCAGAAGTGCTTCCCCTTTCCCCCCACAGAAGCACAGTTGGAGTGGGCACAGGACGTGGGCTTGGTCGGCCCAGGGTCCTCTCCTAGGACTCCGTGCGAGGTTTCTAAGAGCATGTGAGGCTGGAAAGTGTCCTTGCAGGGGCAGGCACAGTGGACCTGGCTTCTCCTGTGCAGTGACTTTTGCTGGGGACCCCTGGTTTCTTCCCTCCAGGGCTTCCTTGGCTCCCTCCCTGTTTTCTAAGATTGCTCCTCTGGCCTCGTGTTCATTCTGTACATCCTCAGTGAATTGTGATTCGGCCACAGACTGCCAAGCGTGGCTTCTGCTGCTGGCATCAGAGGACCCCGAGTGACACACGGTGCTGTGTGAAGGAGGGCAGCTGGGGAACTGTATATGGGGAAAACTAGGGCAGCCTGGGAGACAGCAGCAAAATGAGGAGTGAGTGGCAGTGGGAGACAGTCAGTTGGGATGTGTTTGGCTGCGAGTAACGGAAGACTATCCAACGGTGCTTTGCACGGTGAAGACATTTAGTCATCTCATGTCACCAGGAGGCCAGATATGGCGGCTCCAGGCCTGGTGGGAAAGCTGGAGAGCGATGTGAAGCATGTCCCCCCATTCCCTCTGCCTCCCTCCTGTGCTGCAGGATTGAGCAAGTCTTCTGGCTTGCTGCGTCACGGTCACAAGCTGGTGGCCACAGCCACACTTCCCACTGAATCATGGGCAAAGGGGAAAGATAGGAATGGTGAGGGCACCGGTCTGACCCTAATCAGGAAGGAGAATCTTTCCCAGAACATTCCCCTTGCTGCAATCCTTTCTTTTATGTCCCACTGGCTAGAATGTGGATACACGGCCACTCCGGTTGCAAGGGAAGCTGGGAGAGCCAGCATCTGTAGCCATCCTGATTGCCTCTGGGCCAGTGGGGACGCATCAGGGTCTGTTAGAAGAGCAGGCAACCAGTGATGTATCTGTGGGTGTAAATGCTCCCAGATTGCCCCTGCGACAAGCAAGCAAGCCCCACAGCCTTGGTGTCTTGGCTCCAAAAGGCCCAACTCTGTGAGGGCTGCAATGTCTGCCAGAAGCTCACAGGACACAGCATAGGGAAACACAAGAGCCCTCCAATGTGGACAGTTGTGGTTTACTTTCCCTGTCGCCAGGACTCCTTTTTCCAACAGTCCCGACTTCCCTTTGGGAGCCTCCCCTCTCCAATGGCCACCCAATGGGCTAGAGGTGGGGCTCCTTCCCCAGCTCTGGAGCAACCCATGTGGCCTGATCAGAACCAGTGAGACCGTGATGTCTTTACCAGGAGTGCTGGAGCTGAAGGCTGCGCTTTTCCCTTTAACCCTAAGTCTGAGAAGATGTGAGGGATGGAGTCGCTGCAGCTGTCTCGTAACCATGGGAGAAGAACTATCTGTGAAGGGGACTGGGAGTTAGAATCTGGGGCTGTAGTCATCATTTGAGTCTCTGCATCAAGTTGGACACAAAGTCAGCCCTATTCCATTTCCCACCACTGGACATTTTAGTTATAAAACAAAACAACAATGAAAACATACACAAAAGCCAGTATCTACGACAGCAACTACCATGAATAGAATCCTTCTATGGTCCAGGTCCTTTCCAGAGCACTTCACACCTGTCAATTGCTATGTGTTAACCCTTTCAACAACCCCATGAGGTGGGTATCATTATTACCTCCATTTTACAGATGAGGAAAGTGAGGAGCAGACAGAGGAAGTAACTCATAGCCACATGGCTATGAGTTGACACAGTGGGGACTCAACCCCAGCCCCTTCTTACCTCAAGTCAGACAGTCCTGAGTTCAAGCACCAGCCTTCCTTGCAATCACAGGCAGCGCCTGGACCTCTGTGATTCTCATTTAAACGTGTGTCGCCAATGCGGAAAACATCTCCAGCTCCCACTGCTCTTCTGAGTTCCAAACCCCCCTACCCACCTGATTACTTGACATCACCACTTACACATCTCACATGCACTGCAACTGAACATTCCCAACCTGAACTCTTGATCACTCCCCATCCACAAAATGTGTTCCTTCTTGGGACAGGCGGGATGAGCTAAGCTATGCTGCAGTAACAAATGACCCCAGATGCTCAGGGGCTTTCACAACTGAGGCTTGGTTCTTGCTCACATTTCCTGTCCATCACAGGCTGGCTGAGAGCCCTGCTCATGCCAACTTCACTCCCAGCAGACAAAGCAGCCCTTACCTGGGACCCTGCTGATCACAAAGGAAGGAGACAGGGTTGAACCACGCACTCCAGCCTGGTTGCACAGTGAGACCCTGTCTCTAAAAAAATTCTTTTCTAAATAAATATCTGATTGGGCACAGTGGCTCATGCCTGTAATCCCAGCACTTTGGGAGGCCGAGGTGGGCGAATCAACTGAGGTCAGAGGTTCGAGATCAGCCTGGCCAACAAGGTAAAACCCCGTGTCCACTAAAAATATGAAAAAATTAGCGAGGCATGGTGGTGCATGCCTGTGGTCCCAGCTACTTGGGAGGCTGAGGCAACAGAATTGCTTGAACCTGGGAGAGGGAGGTGGCAGTGAGCCGAGATCACGCCACTGTACTCCCGCCTGGGCAATAAAGTGAGACTCTGTCACTACATAGATAGGTAGGCAGGTAGGTAGGGTAGGCAGGCAGATAGATAGATAGATAGATAGATAGATAGATAGATAGATAGATAGATAGATAGATAGATAGATAAAACAACATAACTATTAAATGACTGGATGGATGACAACCTCACTCAGGACCAGGGAGCACTGGCTCAGTTGGGGTCTGTGACCCAAGGCAAGCAGGGCCTGCTTGGTGCCCGAGTGTGCCCTTCCCTGGGAAGCAGCACGCCCAAGAAGCTGAAAGCAATGCTTGGAGATAGCTTGTAGGGGTGGGATGGGCTGTCCTTTCACAGGCCTTTGCTTAGAGGTAGAGGGACCCCCTGGGTGTTCAGGGCTGCCCTGATGTGCTCCAAGCATCTCCCTTTCAGGGAAACATGATCTAGTCACGGCCATGGAGGCTAAGTGGGGCTCAAGCACTCTGGAGGGCTCAGGGATGTGGCATCAAGTCCGAGGGTTCCTCTCTAAGGCCCAGGTGGAATGAGGACTCCTCCAGGCATGCATCCAGTGACTCAGCAGTTTCTGGGCACGTACAAGTCATTTGTTTATCCAGGAAGAACTAGTTAGTCCTTAAAATGCATCCATTCATCCATTCACTCACACAACAAACACCTACCATGTTCTTATAAATCCCTCAAAAAAGTTCTTCCAGCCAACAAAGCCCTAAAAACATATTCATTTATTCACCATTTCCCAGTCATGTATAACTCATTCATTCATTCTACAAGCACCAAACACTCGAAATCCATTCATTTACTCAATCTATTTCTACTACACGCCACTGCTGTGGGTGCTAAAGAAAATCTCTGAGCAGGACAGACTGTGCCCCTGCTCTCATGAATGGACCTCCAGTAGAGAAACGCCAGAGAAATAAAATAGAATTTCCAAGGGTGGCCAGCATTGTAAAGGTCATAAAATGGCTGGGTGCAGTGGCTCATGTGTGTAATCACAGCACTATGGGAGGCTGAGGTGGGAGGATCGCTTGAGCCCAGGAGGTCAAGGCTGCAGTGAGCTGTGATCACGCCACTGCACTCCAGCCTGGGTGACAGAGCAAGACCCTGTCTCAAAAATAGATAGATAGATAGATAGATAGATAGATAGGACTGAAGATCACTATAGTTGGGAGGGGGTCAGGAAGACTCCTTGAAGGGTGGTGTCTAAACCAGGATCTGCAAGAAGAGAGGGTACCTGCCGTGGATGAGCAGGGAAGCTGGGAACAGCCAGTATCCAAGGCCAGATGGGGATGCTCGGGGGACTGGTCTTCCTGCCAGCATACAATAGAGGTACAGAGGAGCTTTATAAAAATATAGGTGTCTGGGCCAGGCATGGTAGCTCGTGCCTGTAATCCCAGCACTTTGGGAGGCCAAGGCAGGCAGATCACTTGAGGTCAGGAGTTCAAGACCAGCCTGGCCAACATGGTAAAACCCCATCTCTACTAAAAATACAAAAAAAAAAAAAAAATTAACCAGGTATAGTGGCGCGTGCCTGTGGTCCCAGCTACTTGGGAGGCTGAGGCAGGAGAATCGCTTGAACCCAGGAGGTGGAGGTTGCAGTAAGCCGAGATCGCACCACTGCACTCCAGCCTGGGAGACAGAGCAAGACTCTGTCTCACAAAAATAAAAAATAAAAAAAAATATATAGGTATCTGTCCACACCCCACTCCCAGAGATTCTGAATTAGCTGGTTGGGGTGGGGCGCAGGCCTGAGTGCCTCTTAAAAGCTCGGCAGCTGATTCTACTGTGCAGTCTTAGGTGAGGACAGAAGGAACAGAGAGAGCAGAGAGAAGAGGGTCTGCCTCCGAGCTCGGAGAGGCTGTACATCCAAGTGGGCAGGTGGGTGATGGGAGCCAGGACATGAGATACAGCAGGCCCAGCAGGGAGGCTGGAGCGCAGGTGTGGTTGGGGAGGACCAACTGTCAACAGGAGTGGACGCTGCTCAAAGAGTCACGTATGGTGGCAGTTATAGGTATGAAGGGCACTGGTGACCTTTGCAGGAGTTATTTCAGGGGTTCACTGATTCAGAGCGCCTTGTCCTCGCCTCCCTCCGATTGTCCCCCCATGCTGTCTGTCCCACTAAAGCCAGGCAGAATTCCCCCTTTCCTCCCTCTGCTGAGCTCCCGGGGATGTACATGCACCCTTGATATGGGACTTAGCCCACTGGATTTTTAAGCCTCTGAGCATCTTCTGTCTTCCCCAGACTGTGAACAGATGCATGTCTGGGGTGGACTGGGATCTAACATATTTGTTCTCACATGTGGGCGGGGCAGTGGAGAGGGATAATACGGTGATGACGGTATTAAACATAAGGTCAACACTGATGAGCTCTCCTGATGCGCCAGATTCAGGGCTACACACTGGCGTGTGTTAACTGGTGTGTTCTAACAACTGTATCAAGTAGGGGCTTCTTTTCCTTTTTAAATAAATTTCTCTTCTCTTTTTTGAGACAGGGTCTTTGCCACCCAGGCTGGAGTGTGGTGGTACAATCATAGCTCACTGCAGCCCTTAAATTCCTGGGCACAAGCAATCTTCCCACCTCAGCCTCTTGAGTAGCTGGGACTACAGCTGTGTGCCACCACAACCGGCTAATTTTTTACTTAAAAATTTTTTTTTGTAGAGATGAGGTCTCACAAAACCTCAAACTCCTGGCCTCAAGTGATCCTCCTGCCTTGGCCTCCCAAAATGCTGGGGTTACAGGTGCAAACCACCATGCCCTGCCAAGTAGGGACTTCCATCATGACCATCTTACAGATGAGGCAAAGGTTACGAGGGGCAGGTGGGATTCAAACCTCAACAGTCTGCCTGCCACCCCTTTGCCCTGTGCTCCAAATAAGATGAAATCGTTCAAATGAGTGTGCTGTGGGAATACGTGAATGACGCTGACTGTCTTTAAAATCCATTCATAAGGACAAAATTCCAGCAAGTCAGCAACAGCTCAGCAGATTGCACGTTAAGAATCTGATTTTTCGGCCGGGCGTGGTGGCTCACGCCTGTAATCCCAGCACTTTGGGAGGCCGAGGCGGGCAGATCACGAGGTCAGGAGATCGAGACCATCCTGGCTAACACGGTGAAACCCCGTCTCTACTAAAAAATATGAAGAAAAAAAATCAGCCGGGCATGGTGGCGGTCGCCTGTAGTCCCAGCTACGCGGGAGGCTGAGGCAGGAGAATGGCGTGAACCCAGGAGGTGGAGCTTGCAGTGAGCCGAGATAGCGCCACTGCACTCCAGCCTGGGCAAAAGAGTGAGACTCTGTCTCAAAAAAAAAAAAAAAAAAAATCTGATTTTTCCCCTCTATGTCTTCCCCAACCTTACTGGGAGTTTGAGCATACATGGGACCACTACAGAGCTCCCTCAGGAAATAAGATGGATGAAAATCTTAGAAATCTCATTAGCTAGTGCCATGGCAGAGACTCTGCTCCACTGGCTGGAAGAGCAACGAGTGGAGTCTCAGCCACGGCTGTGAAAGCCAGCACTTCCACATTTAACGTCAAAGAGCCCAGAGGACTAGTGTTTCTTTCTTTCTTTTTTTTTTTTTCAGACTGAGTCTCACTCTGTCATCCAGGCTGGAGTGCAGTGGCATGATCTCGGCTCACTGCAACCTCCACCTCCGGGGTTCAAGCGATTCTTCTGCCTCAGCCTCCAGAGTAGCTGGGATTACAGGCTCGCACCACCATGCCCAGCTAATTTTTGTATTTTTAGTAGAGATGGGTTTTGCCATGTTGGCCAGGCTGGTCTTGAACTCCTGACCTCAGGTTATCTGCCCGCCTCGGCCTCCCAAAGTGCTGGGATTACAGACTTGAGCCACCACGCCCGGCTGAGGATTGGTGTTTCTAAAACAAATCTCCTCCAGCATCCAGAAGGAGCCCAAATTCCTACCCAGGGACCCAGGGCAGTCCCCACAGGAGAGAGGGAGGCCACGTCCAGCTGTTACATTCAAATTGGCAAGGCTCCCACACAGGTCAGGGTTCCTGCATGACCTGTTCTGCTTTTAAGGGTGTTAAATCAGTAGAGTTTTCTCCCCTTGGGGGAATAGAAAGAATAAGTTAGAACTGTGCATCAAAATTTTAAATTACTCTGTCGCCTGGTCTGGAGTGCAGTGGTGTGATTATGGCTCACTGCATCCTCAACCTCCTGGGCTCAAGTGATCCTCCTGCCTCAGCCTCCCAAGTAACTGGGACTATAGGGGTGTGCCAGCACACCTGGCTAATTTTTAATTTTTTTTTGTAGAGACTGGGTCTTGCTACGTTGCCCAGGCTGGTCTTGAACTCCCGGGCTTAAGTGATCCTCCCATCTTGGCCTCCCAAACTGCTGGGATTACAGTTGTGAGCCATCACATCCATTCTGCTTTTAAGGGTGTTAAATCAGTACAGTTTTTCCCAACTAGGGAAAGTCAAGAGAGAGAGCTGGAATTATGCATCAACATTTTAGGTGTGCATTCTATTTATTTTATTATTTTTATTTTTACTTTTTTGAGATGGAATCTTGCTCTGTCGCCCAGGCTGGAGTGCAGTGGCGTGATCTCGGCTCACTGAAACCTCTGCCTCCTTGGTCAAGCAATTCTCCTACCTCAGCCTCCTGAGTAGCTGGGATCACAGGCATGTGTCACCATGCCCAGCTAATTATCGTATTTTTAGTAGAGACAGGGGTTTCACCACATTGGCCAGGCTGGTCTAGAACTCCTGACCTCAAGTGATCCACCCGTCTTGGCCTCCCAAAGTGCTGGGATTACAGGCGTGAGCCACCGCGCCTGGCTTCATTCTATTTATTTTAATCCAGCAATTCCACTTCCAGAAATCTGTCTCTCTGATAATAACACCAGTCTACGTCAAGAAAGGTACACGATGCTTTGACTGTTTTACATTGCTGTAATACAGAAGAACTGAGAACAGCCCAAATGCCCACCAGCACAAGAAGGGTTAAGTGAATCCGGGTGCCTCTATTCCAGGGAATACAATGTATCTGTACAAAAAGAGCTAGGCCAGGCCAGTGGCTCAGGCCTGTAATCAATTTCAACCCTTTGGGAGGCTGAGGCAAGAGGATCCCTTGAGGGTGGTAGTTCGAGACCAGCCTGGATAACATAACGAGACCCTATCTCTACAAAAATTTTTTTTTTAAAATTTGCCAGGTGTGGTGGTGCATGCCTATAGTACCAGCTACTCAAGAGGCTGAGGCGGGAGGATCACCTGAGCCCAGGAGTTCAAGCCTGCAGTTAGCCAGGATCTCCTCAAGAGATCAAGCCCAGGCAACAGAGCAAGACGTTGCCTCAAAAATAAATAAATAAATAAATAAATAAATAAATAAATAAATAAGAGATCAAGCCCGGGCAACAGAGCAAGACGTTGCCTCAAAAATAAATAAATAAATAAATAAATAAATAAATAGATAAATAAATAAGAGATCAAACCCGGGCAACAGAGCAAGACGTTGCCTCAAAAATAAATAAATAAATAAATAAATAAATAGCAAGGTAGAGCTATGTGTAATGCATGCAAGATGCCCACGCAGCCCCAAGGGAATGAACACAGCTTATACTTAGCGTGTGCTCACTGCACGCCAAGCATGGTGTGAAGTGCTTTTAGTGCAGTAACGCATCACGCCTGTAATCCCAGCACTTTGGGAGGCCAAGGCGGGTGGATCACCTGAGGTCGGGAGTTCGAGACCAGCCTGGCCAACAGGGTGAAATCCTGTCTCCACTAAAAATACAAAAAAAAAATTAGCTAGGTGTGGTGGCAGGCACCTGTAATCCCAGCTACTCGGGAGGCTGAGACAGGAGGAATTGCTTGAACCCAGGAGGTGGAGGTTGTAGTGAGCCAAGATCGCACCACTGTACTCCAGCCTGGGCAATAACAGCGAAAGTCCATCTTAAAAAAAAAAAAAAAAAAAAAGTCAGCATGTGAGGGAAAACATGAGCAGAGTGAGAGTCACCCCTTGCAAGGCCCTTACCTTCTAGAAGTCAGAATGGGGAGAGACTTCCAAGCTGCACAGTTAGAGCTCTCTACTTGAGGGCCCATGGAGTCTGAACAATTTGCATGTTTCCAAAGGCAGAGTCCTCCGTGGCCTGGCGACAGGCTCCCACGCAGAGCCAATGAGGGAAGGACAGTGCACCCCACCTTGTGTTCACATATTCCCCAGGGAAATAGAGGCTGTAATCACCCCAAATACTTAAACTGAAATGTCTAATTTTAATTTTGCTACCTGGTATAACTGAACTTTATTTATAGGTTAAATGTTCATATGATTACACGCCTGCGTAGAGAGATGAAATTTTTAAAAAAATAAATGGGTGAATACCTTCACAGCTGCCTCTCTCACTTATCACCAGATGCTGGAGGTCTTCCCTGGTGTGGTGGCTGCAGCAGAGTGGATAGAAGCAAAGTCTATCTTGGTTCAATTCCCAGCTCCATCACTTAACTAGCTAGACCTTGGGCAGGCAACCTAGTCTCTCTATGCCTCAGTTTTCCCATCTGTAAAATGGAGATAATAATACAGCTTAACTCTTAGGAAAGATGTGGGTTAATAAATGCCATGGCTTAGAATATCCCTGGCCTGCAGTGATAAACGAGAATTGGCTATTATCATTTTTTCTTCTTCTTTTTTTGAGACAGAGTCTGGCTCCGTTGCCCAGGCTGGAGTGCAGTGGCGCGATCTTGGCTCACTGCAACCTCTGCCTCCCAGGTTCAAGCAATTCTCCTGCCTCAGCCTCCCAAGCAGCTGGGATTACAGGCACCCACACCACCACGCCCGGCTAATTTTTGTATTTTTAGTAGATATGGGGTTTTGCCATGTTGGCCAGGCTGGTCTCAAACTCCTGACCTCAGGTGATCTGCCCGCCTCGGCCTCCCAAAGTGTTGGGATTACAGGCGTGAGCCACTGTGCCCGGCCTTCATTTTTTCTTATATAATAATACTTTTTAAAAAATCTCAAGCAAACCAAATGTGACCTGGCAAGGAACCCTTGTTCCTCTGGGCTCAGGGGCCAGACAGCCCAGGGTGGCTCACCTTGAGCAAAGGCTCCTTTCTGGCAGCCCCAGTGCCAGGGCCGGGTGGGGCGCCCCTCTGAGTCTCTGTGGGGTTGGCTGGGTTAAGGGAAGCTGTCGTGACCTCCCCTGAAGCACATGTGGATGAAGCAGCTTGTTCCAGTTCTGGGCACAGTCCTATTCGCTCTAATGAGCCTTTGAAATGCAGAAGTGGAATGGGATGCTTCTTGGAGTATGGGCACAAATGCCAGGCCCACCCAGCAGCTACAGCCATGTTTGTAGAGTGGGGATGATGGGATGCAGTCAGGCGAGGGGCCTGAAAGCGCAGGTGAGAGGCCTCTGTTGTTGGTGTGGCCCCTTCTGGGTACTTAACTGGGGGCATCATCAGGGCTCCAGGCTGCCCTGCAGGGATCTCCCCGGCTCCAGCCAGGCTCATGATCAAGCCGCAGGCCCTGGCGTGGCTGTGCTGCTTCTTTTAGTGTTATTATTATTATTTTTTTCTCAGTGAACAGCTGCTGCCCTAAACGGGCTGAGTGTCCCCACTATCATCATGGGGGGAACACTGGGGCCCCACAGGGGCTGCTATGACCCAGCCTGCGGGCCTGCTCCCGTGGGCCACTGCCCGGGCTAGACTGATGGTTAAATACTTAGTACGCGCCCTCCTCCAGGGCTCACTCCTGTGGCCAGGCCAAGCCTCCTTTAGAAGACAGTGTCTTGCCAGCACGGAGCCTGACCTGCAAACTGATCCCAGCTAATTGCCACTGAAACCTGCTAAGACCGCATCTGTTGGGCCTGGAGATTAAATCAATATTCGACAATCTTGATTAAATAGAGCCAGGGAATCCTTGTAAAAGAACATCTGTTAAAGTCCCACTCTTTCCATCCTGCCGCTGGGGGCCGGGCTGAGGGTGGCTCCGGCTCTGCTTATCCTAACCTGAGGATGGCTCTAGGCTGAGGGGATGGGGGGCGGCAGTGGGGCCCACCCGGAACACCACAGCCAGGAAGGCTCCCTGCCGTGGGAAGGCTGGCAGGGATGGGAGCTGGGGGCCGGCGGGGGCGGTGCAGGTGCTGGACACACACAGCTGGGCCTTGTTATCCAGGTTGGAGTGGGGAGGGGGGTGGAGGGGAAACCCAGCTGCTGGCAGTAATCATCCATCATCCTAACTGGCCCCTGACCCAGGGCTGTCGGGGAGCCAGGCCCTGTGCAGAGCACATGACACCATAACACAAACCATTGCACTGAAGCTTCTAATCACCTGCTACTGTCACCCGTGCTTCACAATGGGGTTCAGAGAGGGCCACAAAGAGAAGGGGAGGAGGAGCCGGAATCTGAACCTGGGATTGGCTGACTCGAGTCTGCCCTCGTGACAACTCATGGGGCCACCCCATTTGAGAACATCTGTTGTCAAAAATGAGAGCAGGCCGTAATCCCAGCACTTTGGGAGGCCACGGCAGGCGGATCACCTGAGGTCAGGAGTTCAAGACCAGCCTGACCAACATGGTGAAACTCTGTCTCTACTAAAAATACAAAAATTAGCCGGGTGTGGTGATGCACGCCTGTAATCCTAACTACTCAGGAGGCTGAGGCAGGAGAACCGCTTGAGCCCGTGAGGCAGCAGTTACAGTGCGCTGAGATCACTGTAGTGCCACTGCACTACAGCCTGGGCAACAGAGTGAGACTCTTTCTCAAAAAAAAAAATAATAATAATAATAAAATGAGAGCAAAAACTGGCATTTACAGAACCATGAGCCCAAGTGGGCATCCTGCCCTGTGGTCAAGCTCCCTAAGCTGCACATAGCAATGGCAGCCCCCACTCAGGACTGGCCTCAAACCTGGCTCCACTGAGCCCACACAGCATCCTGAGGAGGAAGGCCCTACTGTTCTCCCCACTTTACAGAAGGGAACAGGGAGGCTCAGAGCAGCATGTTCCTGTTGAAGAGCACCCAGTGAGGGAAAGCAGAAGAGGGACTTGAACCCAGGCAGGTCAAATCTATGGCCATTAAAACCACTGTCATCTCTAAAGATTGGGGATAGAGCCATGAACACCGGGGCACTTAATAAATGCCTGCACTCCACTCCTGGGTGACTTAAGGCAGAAATTAGGCTTATGCTTTGGAGCCAGATTGCCTAGGATCAAATTCTGGCCCTAATATGTACCAGAGGGGGTAAGTGCCACCTCGTGAGACTGCTGGTAGATCCAGCAAGATGATCCCCATAGGGCACTCCCATACTAAGGGGCACATGGCAAGCACGCGATACATCCTTTCAACAGCACCTGCACTCACAGTGCACTCATCGGGGTGAGGGGTGGGGAGCAGCAATCCAACACCCAAATGCCAGCAAGCCACCATTCACTGGTCTATCTCCAGCATCCAAAACAGGGCCATCAACAGGGTGAATCTTCCACTAGTATTTTCTGAATCCATGAAAAAAAAAAACAAAACTCAAAAATCCCAAACCAACCAGATAACCAATTAGCCAGCCAACTAGATAACCAACCGACCAGTTAACTAATCCATTACCCAAACAGCCAACCAGCTAGTTAACCAGCCAACAGGTCTCATGTCTCAGGGGCCTGTTCCCATCTCTCTTCATCTCCGCCCCATCTCTGTCCCATGTTTCTTGTCCCTGCTCCATCTCTCTGTACTCCTGTCCCCCTACCCCTCTGCATCCCTGTACCTGTCTCTCCACGGCCCTGTCCTTGTCTGTCTCTCATTCTGTTTTTCTCTATATCTCTTGCACACGTGTGCACACAGATGGCCAGGGCCCTGCACATTTCTGGCTTCTGAGTCACAACCCCACGTCAACTCACCACTAAGGATGTGTCCCAGGCAGCTTCTGCCTGGCCCCTCTGGTCACCTCCTCCCAGATTCCAAGTTCTCAACATCTGCAGGGAGGGAGGGAAGCTAAGGAATTGGCCAAGATTATTATAGAAAACAAAAGAAAGAAAAAGAAAGGCTGGGCACGGTGGCTCACACCTGTAATCCCAGCACGCTGGGAGGTCGAGGCAGGCGGATGACTTGAGGCCAGGAATTCAAGACCAGCCTAGGCAACATAGCGAGACCCCATCTCTAAAAAGAAAAAAAAAATCAGGAGGCAGATACCAAACCATGTGCTAAATAAAAGAGTCACTGGCATGTGCCGCATTGTCCTGGCCCCTGAGTTCCCTGTATTCCAGGCAGGGTCTGCCTGGCCCATTCTTACCCCACCCTGAAGTGCAATATTACAAGGGATTTGGTTACTTTAATCAGAGAACAAACCTAGAAACCCCAAGAAGTACTAATTCGGAAGAAAAGCATACTCCCACATTTAAGAAGTTAGTACTTAAGGCTGGGTGAGGTGGCTCACGCCTGTAATCCCAGCACTCTGGGAGGCTGAGGCGGGCAGATCACCTGAGGTCAGGAGTTTCAGACCAGCCTGGCCAACATGATGAAATCCCGTCTCTACTAAAAATACAAAAATTAGCTGGGTGTGGTGGCACACCCCTGTAATCCCAGCTACTCGGGAGGCTGAGGCAGGAGAATCACTTGAACCCGGGAGGCAGAGGCTGTGGTGAGCCAAAATCAGGCCATTGCACTCCAGCCTGGGCAACAAGAGCGAAACTCTGTCTCAAAAAAAAAGTTAGCACTTAAAAATCTTTCAAGCTACATATTTTATACTTTTATCTACCTACCAAGCTCATTGCAGAGCAAAGATCTGGGAGGCAGAGGCCCAGAGGTAACAGTGGTTTCTCAGGGAGGGGAGCGACGGTGTGTGCCATCTGTGCATTCATTCTGTCCTCACCACTGGGGCTCCCAAACTGTCCAAAGTCACGCACCTCTGCTCAGGCATAGCCGCAGCCCACCTGTACTATTATTTACTGAACGTGATCCTTTCAACCAACTCACTGCCTAAACCCTTAAGAATATCCATGTTGGATTCGTTTTATTTTTTTTCTAATACTCATTAAACAAAATGTACAAATATTAGAACTCATAAAGCTTGTCTGTTTATCAAGGAAAATGGGCTTTAGGACCAGAAATGCATTAACTCCAAACTAGAATGCACCTCTCGGACATGATACTAAGTGAAAAAGCCAGACAGAACAACATATACAGTTCACAACTGTTTTTATATAAAGTTCAAAACTAGGTAAACTGGAACCACGTTATTTAGAGTTGCTCATCTAGGGAACACAGCTTTCACAATGCCAGGAAATGGTGACTGTGAAGTGCAGAGAGCAGTTGCTTTTAGAAAGAGGGTTCTGGTCACGTGCGGTGGCTCATGCCTGTAATCCCAGCACTCTGAGAGGCTGAGGTGGGCGGGTTACCTGAGCTCAGAAGTTCGAGACCAGCCTGGCCAACATGGCAAAACCTCGTCTCTACTAAAAGTACAAAAATTAGCCAAGTGTTGTGGCAGGTGCCTGTAATCCCAGCTACTTGGGAGGTGAGGCAGGAGAATTGCTTGAACCTGGAGGCGGAGGCTGCAGTGACCGGAGATTGCACTACTGCACTCCAGCCTGGGTGACAGAGTGAGACTCTGTCTCAAAAAAAAGGAAAAAAAAAGGGTTCTGGTGGCCAGAGCCCATGGGGGTTCCAGGCTGCCAGCAGGTTCTCTTTCTGGACCCGGGTTACCTGAGTGCTTGCTTTGGAATTCTTCGGTAAACTGTGTATTCACGTTTTACATGCTTGTCTGTATGTATGTTCCATTTCACAATAACAGAATTTTAAAGTCTTTTGTATTGCATGAGTTATTTTTAAACAGTGAGATTTTACTCTTGTATGACATAAGCAACTTTAAAATGTATACAAATGTATTTTAAAATCTCAGCTAACATGGTGAAACCCCATCTCTATGAAAAATACAAAAATTAGCTAGGCGTGGTGGCAGGCACCTGTAGTCCCAGCTACTCAGGAGGTTGAGGCAGGAGAATCACTTGAACCTGGGAGGTGGAGGCTGCAGTGAGCCGAGATAGTGCAGCCTGGGCAACAGAGCGAGACTCCGTCTCAAAAAAAAAAAAAAAAAAAAATCTCAGCT
This sequence comes from Homo sapiens, assembly GCF_000001405.40. Lineage (NCBI taxonomy): Eukaryota > Metazoa > Chordata > Mammalia > Primates > Hominidae > Homo > Homo sapiens. The sequence goes on along the minus strand of NC_000019.10, from coordinate 38,059,303 downwards.
GTTTGCTGGGCATGGTGGCTCACACCTGTAATACAAGCCCTTTGGGAGGCTGAGGCAGTGAGCATAGCTTGAGCCCAGGAGTTTGAAACCAGCCTGGGCAACAGTGAGACCCCATCTCTACCAAAAAAAAAAAAAATGAGCTGAGTATGGTGACATGCACCTGTAGACTCAGCTACTCAGGAAGCTGAGGCGGGAGGATCACTTGAGCTATGATGGTGCCACTGCACTCCAACCTGGGTGACAGGGCAAGACTTTGTCTTTTTTTTTTTTTTTTTTTTGAGACAGAGTTTCACTCTTGTTACCCAGGCTGGAGTGCAGTGGCGGGATCTCAGCTCACTGTAACCTCTGCTTCCTGGTTTCAAGTGATTCTCCTGCCTCAGCCTCCCCAGTAAGCTGGGATTACAGGCATGCACCACCACGCCTGGCTAATTTTCTATTTTTAGTAGAGACAGGGTTTCACCATGCCAGCCAGGCTGCTCTAGAACTCCTGACCTCAAGTGATCCACCTGCCTCAGCCACCCAAAGTGCTGGGATTACAGGCGTGAGCCACCGCACCTGGCCAAGACTCTGTCTTAAAAAACAAAACAAAACAACAAAAAACTCAGCTGTTTGATCACCCTCTGTGCCACCCCAGTCACTCTCATGCCATAGCTTGAGATTCACTTTCTCTCTCCTATAAGAGATTTCCACTCCCAGAACCTGCAGGGCCACTTCGCCTGGATGAACACAAACATTGCGGGCTGCCTGGGGGAATGTGCACTCCCTCCGAGCCCAGAGGGAGTCAGGGAGAGCGGGGCACCCTCACAGAGGCAGTTTCAGGACAACTCTCCATATGTGACAGCTGGGGACAGAGGGGAGGCGCCTCTACCCACCTGAGACATGCAGGGGGGCACCTGTCTTCCTTCCCAGTGGGGAGAGGTGTGTGGGAATGGGGGTTGTGGGGCCAGGCTACTGTTAGGAATGAGCACTCCAGCCCCACCCTTCAGCAGCACCACAGAAGGCTCTAGAAAGGCTCTAGTTATGACCCTCGCTGGATGTGAAGCTCTTCTCAAGCCCGAGGGACCAGCTGGCAGATGGCGAGGGCCTGCTGTTCTGTTTGCTCAACACCATAATCAAACATCCTGCTCCGGGACTGCAACCCAGGCCAGGCAGAGCACAGCAGGCTGGAAGGGGACACCAGGCCCTCAGGAGACCAGGAAAATGGCTCTCCAGGAGCCCGATGAGCCCAGCACACCAGGAAACTGGCCACTCCCCAGGACAACAGACTTCTTTCTTTTTTAATGTTCCCAGTGGTGATCCCTTTCTAGGGGCAATTTGGCAAGAGCTTTAAAAAGTGTTCTCAGGCCGGGCATGGTGGCTCAGGCCTGTAATCCCGGCACTTTGGGAGGCCGAGGTGGGTGGATCACGAGGTCAGGAAATCGAGACCATCCTGGCTAACATGGTGAAACCCTGTCTCTACTAAAAAATAAAAAATAAAAAATAAAAAAAAATTAGCCAGGTGTGGTGGTGGGTGCCTGTAGTCCCAGCTACTCGGGAGGCTGAGGCAGGAGAGTGGCATGAACCTGGGAGGCGGAGCTTGCAGTGAGCCAAGATTGCGCCACTGCACTCCAGCCTGGGCGACAGAGCGAGACTCTGTCTCAAAAGAAAAAAAAAAAAGTTCTCACCCTCTGAACCAGGAATGCTACTTCTGTAAATTAATCCTAAATAAATAATAAGAGATGCAGAAAAATTCATAGTATCCTTTATAACAGGCAAAAAACCCAACCTCAATGAGCAACACCAGGAGTACCATTAAAGAAATTATCAACCCCTAGGACAGTAAACATCTATAGGCTATGCAGATGCATTCCCAGAAAAAAAGACAGGAAAGACTCGATAATTTGATGCTGGGGCTACTAGTGGTTTTCGAAAATCTGTTCTTTATACCTTCCCATATATATACATATATATACGTATATATATACGTGTGTGTGTGTGTGTATATATGTATACACATATATACACATATATATACATATATATATATATTTGAGATGGAGTCTTGCTGGAGTGCACTCTAGGCTGGAATGCAGTGGTGGGATTTCAGCTCACTGCAACGTCCGCTTCCTGGGTTCAAGCAATTCTCTTGCCTCAGCCTCCTGAGTAGCTGGGATTACAGGCGCCCACTACCATGCCTGACTAATTTTTGTATTTGTAGTAAAGACGGGGTTTCGCCATGTTGGCCAGACTGGTCTCGAACCCCTGACCTCAAGTGATCCACCACCTCGGCTTCCCAGAGTGCTGGGATTACAGGCGTTGAGCCACCGCGCCCGGTCCCCATATATATTTTTTAACGACAGGGTCTCATTCTGTCAGTAGCTGAGAATACAGGTGTGTACCACCATGCCTGACTAATTTTTTAAATTTTTTGTAGAGAGGAGGTCTGGCTATGTTGCTCCGGGCGGTCTCCAACTCCTGACCTCAAGTGATCCACCCGCCTCCCAAAGTGTTGGAATTACAGGTGTGGGCCACCACGCCTGGCCCCTTTCCATATTTTTTCATATTACTTTCAGTGAATGTTTCAAAATCAGGGGGAAAAAAAACCAAACAAGTTTTCATTCATTTGATTTACTTCCATTCACTAGGTGAGTATTTCCTGAGATCTTACTATGTGATAAGTAACAAAGCAGTAACCACGATAGCCCCCTTCTCTGTCCACTGACTAAAGGAGGAAACAAACATTAATTAAATGCACTTAAGCACACAAATCAGTCTAAAGCAAGAGAAGGAAGGGGTAAACTGACGAAGGATGGGAGCAGGGTGCTGGAGAGTGGGTGGCCAAGGAAGATGGCATGGAAGGGGTGGTGTTTAAGCCCTGAAGGATGAGAAGTTGGCCATGGAAAGGGGTGTGAGTGGGTGAGGGGGATGGAGGAAAAACAGGTGCAAGGATGCCACAGTGTTCAGGAATCTGGAGTTGACCTCCATGGCAGGTTTAGGGGGGCAGTGGCCCGACTGGCTGTCATGGAGATCGTGACCTGCCGAGGGTACAGAGGCTTCATCAGGAGGCCAGGGTAGCCACCCACGTGGGGGCAAGAGTGGCCTAGCCCAGAAGGAGGGTGGTGCTGGTGCAGAGAAGGGACCGACTGGGGAAGATCTGACTGCTCCTCAGATCAAGAGGTGCTCAGAAGCAAGGCAGTCAATCCTCAGCCGGGTACCTGGTGGGTGCTGGGCGCTGTGCCAGATGCTGGCCGCAGAGCCGCAGCCATCACTCCCACTCTCAGCCCCCACACTGTTCAGACTCGAGCGGGAGGGAGAGAGGTGAATAAATGAGCCGTCTCAGGGCAGTATGTTTGGGCTCTGGCAGTCAATCGGCTAGTTCGGCTGGGCTCCACTTGAAGAAAACCCGACAATTTTCCAAACAAAAGCCAGCCTCAGCTCTCCTATGGGGTGGGATGTATTTCAAAGTCCTTCCCAGCCAGGTTTTAAAGCTTCTCCCAAGTGTTCCTCAGCAGGGGGCATCACTCTCAACATGCAGATGAAGAAACAGGGCACAAAGCAGTGGCATTCCTGGACATCACAAACCAGAAGTCAGGCCCGCAGTGGGAGAATCCCGCACTCCTGCTCTGGGTTACTCCAGGGCCAGGCACCTCAGGCTCCACTGCTGGTTGTCAAATCCAAACCCATCCTCTTCTGATTCCTTGAGAGAGGTCCACATTTGTTGGGGTGGCAGGATACTAATCCAAAAAGCTTACTTTCCTGGATTCCCACGCAGCTAAACTAAGGATGTATCTGATTATGGCCAGTGTGAGGGAAGAGGAAGTTTGCAGGGGATGGGGGATGGGACCTTTTGGCGAAGCTATTGTTTTCCTAATAAATAAATGGGGCACACCTCTTCTACCCTTCTCTTGTACTTGGAATATAAATGTCATATCAGGGGGTGCAACCGTCATCTTGGGAGCATGAGGCTGAGAGTGACATGCTGGGGACAGCAAGATGAGGAGTCAGAAGGAGCCTGCTCCCTGTCCCTGCACCCCCCAACAGTGGCGCCGCCCCCAGCTGCCCTCCCTCCCTTTTCTTCTCATGTGTAAGAGACCACCTGTTGCCTTACTGAAGCCACGGCTTACTGGTTTTTTGTTACATGTAGCCGATTGCAATCTTGACTGATGGAGGTCTTACCAGATCATTTTACAGCTAAGGAAACGGAAGGCCAGCAGGGGAGGTCACCAGACCAAAGTCACAGAGTTAGGAAGCGACAAGGCTAGAATGTGAGCCTCTATGCCTAACCACGCCACAGCAGCACCCCGAATCAGTTACAAGCACTGGCTTTGGAGAAGTCTTGGTTCCAACGTGCTTCTCTATTCAGTCGTTTACTTGTCCATTCCTCCACCAGCAGCAGGGGCTCCCGGGAACATGGACTCTTCACCGTTCACCTGCTATCACCAAGGACTCATGGCAGAAGCGCAGCCATCCCCATGGCCTGAGCAGCGACCACAGGCCAGGAAGGTCGTGTGATGCCCCTGGAAAGTGGGGACGACAACAGTGGCTTCACGGCTGTGTGGGAGGGCATGCTGTCCAGTTAGTGCCAAACAAAAGGTTCTCTTATCACCATCACTGAAGCTGTGGAGCTCCTCTTCCAAAGGCCTCTCCTTGTGACCAAGAGAGTGTACCAACTCCAGATGATTTTTTTTTCCCCTAAACTTGGATTCAAAGACAATTTCCTTTTTTTTTGAGATGGAGTTGCTCTGTCGCCCATGCTGGAGTGCGGTGGCGCGATCTCGGCTCACTGCTGAGATCAGGTTCAAGTGATTCTCCTGCCTCTGCCTGCTGAGTAGCTGGGATTACTGGCACCCACCACCACATCCGCTAATTTTTGTATTTTTAGTGGAGGCAGGGTTTCACCATGTTGGTCAGGCTAGTCTCAAACTTCTGACGTCAAGTGATCCGCCTGCCTTGGCCTCCCAAAGTGCTGGGATTACAGGCATGAGCCACCACTCCTGTCCTCGAAGACACTTTCTCAACACAAACTAGACATAACTCACAGGCCAATCACCTCCAAGGACTTCCAACCAATTCCTAACTGCTGTGCATGGGAGTGGCCTCCCTGTGGCATGTGCCACTACGCCTGGCTAGTTTTGTATTTTTAGTAGAGAAGGGGTTTCTCCATGTTGGTCAGGCTGGTCTTGAACTCCCAACCTCAGGTGATCCGCCCACCTCGGCCTCCCAAAGTGCTGGGATTACAGGCATGAGCCACCGTTAAGGGCACAAATTCTGAACTCAGGCTGCCTGGGTTTGAACTCAGCTCTGCCGTGTGACCTTGGACAGGTCCCTTAAATCTCTTTGTGCCTCAGTTGCCTCATTTGTATTTGGTTGGTGCAAAAGTAATTGCGGTTTTTGCCATTGCTTTCGATGGCAAAAACCACAATTACTTTTGCACCAACCTCACAAAATGGAAACAAGAAGGCTGGGCGCGGCGGCTCACGCCTGTAATCCCAGCACTGTGGGAGGCCACGGCGAGAGGATCACCTGAGCCCAGGAGTTCGAGACCAGCCTGGGCAAGAAAGTGAGACCCTGTCTCTACCAAAAAATAAAAAATAATAAAAATTAGCTGGGCGTGTTGGCACACGCCTGTGATCCCAGCTACTTGGGAGGCTGAGGTGGGAGGATCGCTTGAGCCCAGGACTGTGAAGCTGCAGTGAGCTGTGATTGCACCACTACACTCCAGCCTGGGTGACACAGCGAGACCCCCATCTCCAAAAAAAAAAAAGTACCTCCTTCATAGGGTGACTGTGAAGATTAAATGAGTTAATATGTAGAGCTCTGAGGGCAGCCTGGCATAGGTGACCACCAGGAAGTGTCCATGGCTATTACTACCACTATTATATGGATTCCTGGTGTGCCACTCCCTAGATGTGTGGCCTTGGCCAAGGTACTTAACTCTCTGGGGTTAACAGTCCATACCTACCTCACAGGATTATTATGAGAATTAACTAAGTGAATAAGTGTAAAGTACTTGAAACAGGTCTGCTTTACAAGAAGGGCCCAGGTCACCTTAGCAATCACGTCGCTTCTGACCGAGGCTTTCTTGTGTAACTGGGCTTCTCTGTCTCCTTTAAACTCTCACATTGGTGTTGAGCTTCCCTGTTTGTGTATCTGGGCACCTTCCATCTCCCCTGGGCTCCCCTCACCTCCGTGAAGCCACCAGCTCCAGGAGGGCACAAAGCACAGCTCCCACCCACACTTGCCTGATGCCAGCTGAGTACAGAGCTGCCCGCTCAATGCCAGCTTGGGCTGCTCAGTGGCACAACATTCCTCTGGCCTCTAGTGTGGCCCAGGATGCTGGTACCTCATGCAGGGGGCTCCCTGAGAATACTCCAGCACCCAGAACTCTCCGGCACGGTGTCCTCAGGAGGGCTTTCCTTAGGGTCAGGGCACAGCCCAGTGCGATGGGCAGGAACAAAAGGCAGTGTCCACTCTGAGTGTGGGAGGGGGAAGCTTGGAGGGGACTCCTCCGGCAGAGGAGGAACTCGGAACCATGTAGGCCCATCCCAGGCAGCAGTGACTGGCTGGTGGCATGCAATGCCCAAAGAGCTGCCTCAGGTTACCCTGGCAACCAAGGGACTTACCTCAGTGCCAGGGATGGTGCCTGTCACTAAATGAGGTGCCCCTGACAGGCCATTAGACCCTCTGGCTTTCTCATCTATCAAATGGGGATCGAGTTCCCTCTTTGATCCATTGCCTGCCCTTTTCCTAGCCTGCTCTGAAACACAGGGAACTACATTTCCCAGGACTGCTGGTGAGGCTCAGCCAACAGGGGCAGTGGCAGAAGCCTGGAAGGTAGAGGTGGTGAGAAGCCAGGTGGTCCTCCCTCCAATGTGGACAGCATCTCACGCGGAGGAGGCCTCCGCCCAACACTGCCCTGGGCTCTGCTAAGGTGCCCTACTCCTTGCGCCCTTCAGCTCTGGTTGCTCATCTAGGGACTGGCCTCTGCCCCTTTTTGGTTTCTCTGCTCCTCCCCAACTTTTTTAACCAAATTCCCTGTATTGAATTCCTTCCGCTAAAATACCTAGAGTGGATTCTGTTTTCCCAACAGATACACCTGCCTTGTCTATGTCTTAGGGGCATCTGAGAATCAAGGGAGAAGACACACCATGGAAAATGAAAAGCACCACAGGATGATTTTATAGAAATGTCCTCCTCTCTTCCACGATGTACAGGCACGCTGTGGGCATGCAGTTTAAAGCTCCCCAAATGAAATGATACAATGTTCGAGATTTGTTTCAAAATGATCCAAAGGCAGAGGAATGGATGAAACAAGACTGGCCATGTGTTGGTCACCAAAGAATCTGGTGACAACTGTGTACATGCAGGCAATATATGCTATTTCTACCCCTGTAAATGCCTGAAATTCCCCATTACTAAAACAACTCAAGTGGGGCGTGGTGGCTCACGCCTGCGATCCCAGCATTTTGGGAGGCCAAGACGGGAACACTACTTGAGACCAGGAGTTCAAGACCAGCCTGGGCAACATAGCAAGACCCTGTCTCTACAAAAAAATTAAAAAGTTAGCAGGTGTGGTGGTGTGTGCCTGTGGTCCCAGCTACTCAGGAGGCTGAGGTGGGAGGATCACTTGAGTTCAGGAGTTCGAGTCTGCAATGAGCTAAGATCGAGCCACTGCACTCCAGCCTGGGCCACAGAGATACCCTGTCTCAAACAAACAAACAAAAAAACCAAACCAAACTAAGAAACAAATCAAAACCAACAGGTCTGTATTCTGTTGGTGGGGATACACCAGGTTCTAGTGGCAGAACCGTCTTTGAGGGCAACTTGTCAGTTCATTACATCAAAACCATGCATATCCCTGGACCCAGCAATTCTGGCTCCAGTAAAAACACTGGCTCAAGAACCCAGAGCTTCTTGGACGAGGCTCCCCACTGCAGCACTACTTGAGAAAGACGAAAAGATGAAACCCAAGAGTCTCTCATTAAAGAATCAGTAAATACATTTTGATATGTCCATATGATACAGGCAGTCATTAAAAAGAAAGAGGGTACATTTAACATGCTAACGTGAGAACATGTCTAGAGATAGTCATCAGAGACAAATGCTAGCTGTGAAGAAAAAGTATTTATCACGTCACATTAAAACCTATGTGCTACCCAGAGGAGAAAACTCTGGTAAATGTAGTGATATCCACAAACATGACTATAGCATTTACCATGTGCCAGGCACTGCTCTAAACACTTTACATATATTTTCTTTTCTTTTTAAGACAGAATCTAGCTCTGTCACCCACGCTGGAGTGCAGTGGCATGATCTTGGCTCACTGCAACCTCCGCCTCCCAGGTTCAAGTGATTCTCCCGCCTCAGCCTCTGGAGTAGCTGGGATTACAGGTGTGTGCCACCACACCGGGCTAACTTTTGTATTTTTTGTAGAGATGGGGTTTCGCCATGTTGCCCAGGCTGGTCTTGAACTCCTGGCCTCAAGTGATCCATCAGCCCCAGCCTCCCAAAGTGCTGAGATTACAAGCATGAGCCACCATGCCCAGCGCACACATCATACTTTTAAAAATTAAAAACTACACACGTGGAAATGAATATACAGCACTCGACTCAAATGTGAAAGAAAGGAGTAGCTCCAAGCCTGCTCTTCGGACAACTTTGACTATATTGTCTCTTGGACGACCCAGGAGAAGCCAGAAATTCCTCCACAGGCAGAGCCATTCTGACGTGCATTGAAAGTGAAAGGATACAACATTTGAAAGTTTAGAAACTTTAAAACAATAATAATGACGGTGATAGTGATAATAATTGCTAATGCTTTCAGATCACATATGTGTTAGGCGCTGTTTTTTTGTTGTTGTTGTTATTGTTGAGACAGTCTCACTCTGTTGGCCAGGCTGGAGTGCAGTGGTGTGATCTTGGCTCACTTCAACCTTTGCCTCCTGGGTTCAAGGGATTCTCCTGCCTCAGCCTCCTGAGTAGCTGGGATTACAGGCATGCGCCACCACGTCGGGCTAATTTTTGCATTTTTAGTGGAGACGGGGTTTCATCATGTTGGCCAGGCTGGTCTCGAACTCACGACGTCAAGTGATCCACCTGCCTCGGCCTCCCAAAGTGTTGGGATTACAGGCGTGAGCCACCATGCCCAGCCAGCACTGTCTTAAATGCTTTACATATATTATCTCATTTAATCCTCAAAATACCTTACAATATAGATACTACTATTATTTCCATTTTATATTTATGGCAGCTCTGAGGCTCAGAGAGGTGAACTAACTTGCTGGGTTACATGGCAGGGTCAGGATTCAAACGCAGGTCACCGGCTCCAGAATTTGCCTTCCAATGCCTGTGCTGACTGGGCCTCTCTTGGAAAGGGGAGCCTGAATTAGGTTAACAGGGGCATGAAGAGGCACTCAGCCAGACTCACCATCAGAGCATTAAAACCCCGGAGACCCCACTTGACACCCTTCGGATTGGTGAAACTGGGAAGCAGGACAACAGCAAAGTGGCGAGAGGTATGGGGAAGCGGGACCCTCCTGTGCTCTCGGGGGAACGCGGGTCAGAGCAGCCTCATAGAGAGCTCAGGAGTTCAAGATCAGCCTGGCCAATGGAGCAAAACCCCAGTTCTACCAAAAGTACAAAAATTAGCTGGGTGTTGTGGCAGGTGCCTTAATCCCACCCCTGGGGAGAGAGAATGCCTATCTCCGGCTGCAACTGACTCCTGGGGGTAAGCCCCATGGGTTCCTAAGGCAAAGGTAGGCGGATGCTCACTTGAAGCATGGTTTGAAGTGGGGTGGAGCTAGGGGCAACCTGGATGCCCAACACCAGGGGACCAGACACGTGAGCCGTGGCAGATGTACAGCATGTACAACTGTTCAGCTGCCAGACGCCATACACTGGACACACATCCAGCAACGTGGCTAGATGGCGAACACATGCTATTTGGTGAAAACCAGAAGAAACCGAAAGAATGAGATACAGAGCTCCAAACCCCGGAAGCTGACTCTTTACTCAAACCTCAATATATATTTTGCAAGGATGTGTGCACAGCTACAGACACACCGGAAATATTTCAGACTGGGGGAAGGAATGAAAGGACCTATAGAGGATGAAGATGGAAAGAGAAACAAAAACCTTCCCAGTGACAAGGGAGGAGACACCCATTTTTTTTCCCCACCATCAGACAAGTAGTCTTTGGCAGCCAGACTCCACTTGCCCCCTGTCCACCCCCCGCTTTTTTTTTGAGATGGGGTCTCGCCCTGTCGCCCAGGCTGGAGTGCAGTGGCGCAATCTCAGCTCACTGCAACCTCCACCTCCTGGGTTCAAGCGATTCTCCTGCCTCAGCCTCACGATAGCTGGGACTACAGGTGTGCACTACCACACCCAGCTAATTTTTGTATTTTTAGTAGACACGGGGTTTCACCGTGTTAGCCAGGATGGTCTCTTGACCTCATGATCTGCCCGCCTCAGCCTCCCAAAGTGCTGGGATTACAGGTGTGAGCCACCGCGCCCAGCCTGCCCCCTTTTTTGGGTGTTAACTGAGGGTGGATGATGCAGGAGGCAGAAATTGGACGCAAGTCACTAAACTTCTTCAAAAGAAAACCACACTTCTTTGTTCTCAAATGCCACAAAATCTGTTGGGCCTGACACGATTTGCTAACTTAGGGAGGGGACTTGGTCAGGGACTGAGCTTGGCAGGCATTAATGGTTGTCTACTCAGTTTCCACTTCTGCTTTTTTCAGCTACTAGACAACAGAACCCAGTTGGTCAAGAGTGATCAGGATGTGGCATTCCTCTAGTAACTTGACCGGCCTGGTTGAGGGGCACGTGACCTCAGCTGGACCAGCTGTAGACTGAGGGGAACCACTTATAACCATCAGTGGGGTGTGTTCTCTCTCTCCTGATGCCTGTGGACAAGGGCAAGTGGCCCTGATTATCACTGGAAGCCATTCTGGAACCAAGAGGCATACAGAGGCCTTTGGAGGCTGAGAACCTGAGTCCCTGACAGACATGCTTGAGCTGCTGATCCTATCCACCTGGTGCCCATCCACCCCTGGGCTTCTAGAACACATCACATGTCTTAACCATTGGCCAGATGGTGCCAGGGTTGTTACTTGCAACTAAAAAGCATCCTGACTGAGAACCACAAAGCAGCCTGCTATCTTTTAATTGTTAAACAAGAGAAAATCTCTGTAGGAGGGAAATGGGGCATTAGAGGCATGAACAGGAAGGGCCAATTCATCCTAGTGTATGGGAAATGTTCACCCAGGCTGCATGTCCCCTGCCCACCCAGAGGCACACGCACGATTCTCTGTGCACGAGAGCTCAGGAAACCCTCTGCAGTGGGTCACTGTTTCCCTCACATCCTTTACCACAGTGGAGTTACCGCCGGTTTCCCATGTTGTATTTCTCCTGATGACGGCAGGGGGTTAATCCCCAGCTGACTGGAGCTGAGGATGAGAGACAGGACCAGAAAGCCCAGCCTGGCACTCCTGCAGCTGCTCTGTTCCTGAATCAAAGGTCGGACTTCAGGATCTGGACTGCCGCTGGGGTCTCTAAAATGACACGTGGTCCGAGGCCCTCCATGAGGAGACCTGGCTGGCTGCGGTGTCACATCCCTCCGTCAGCATCAAGGGAAAGATACCAGTGTGGCAGGGGCGGGCAAAGGAGCGTGCGCTCTGGGGTCAGCCCGGCCCGGGTTCAATCATCGCTCTACCCACAGATCGCCTGTGACTGCCTCTACTATAAAGTGAGTGGCAGGAGGGATCGAGGTCGAAGGAGGAAAAAATAACACAAACCTACCCAGTGAGACATTGTGTCACTGGCCATGTCGGTTCATTCATTCAACAAATATTTACTGAGCAGCTCTTTCGGGCCAGGTCCTGTTCTAGATGCTGGGGATATGGCAATGCACAAGACACAGAATTCCTATGGTCAAACAGGAGCTCACAGGCTATACTATAGGGTGTAGACAGGCAATACACAAGCCCACAAATCCACTGTGATATGTGCCATGAAGAAAATAAACCAGGTGATATGACAGAGAGAGGAATGTGTAGGAGTGTGTGTGAGTGCGTGCGTGTGTGCGTGCGTGTGTGTCGGCGGGGGAGAACAGGCTGGCAGGAAGTATAGCAGAGTGATTATGAAGCCAGATGGTCTGGGTTCAAATCCTGGTTCTGCCACTTCCTACCTGTGTGGCTCACGCAAACAACCCAACTTATCCGTGCCTCAGTTTCCTCATGTGTAAAACTGGATAGTGCCTGCCTCACAGGGTTTTTGGGAGGACTAAGTGGGTCAACACCTATAACATACTTAGCAGTGGGGACCACGCCTGGCTGGGGAGCCCATCCACTTAAGGGTCTCTGGAAGAGCCACTCAACCACCCAGGTGGTGCTGTTAGGCAGCCACAGCTACAAGCCATGTGGGTTTTCTGAGACACGATACACCCAAGTGCTCTCAAAGAGAGCCCCCTCCTGCAGGATCAGAGCCACCTTGCTCTGAGCGGGCAGCTGTGGGTACAGCAGAAGGGACAGCAAAGCCCTCCACTTACTGAGCAACTGACAGACGCCACTCGGGCACAGGAGATGCCGGGTTGCGGGGTCAGAGGAGCTGCTCGGGGGACCTGGGCCCCTCCACACCCGGAAAATCCAGCAGCATCCCCAGGCTGCGGGCGAGATGGCGGATTCATGTGGGCTCTTGCTGGGGGGTTGTGGCACAGGGCCTCCCAAAACTCTCAGCCTATGAAGGAGTCATTTCCTGTGCCATGCCCAGGAGACACAGGTAATCTGGAAACTCCCCTCCCCGGCCACCCTGCCTCTTTCCAGGGCAGGGCCCAGAACAGGGAACCGAGAGAAGCACGTTGATCGGCATGAGGTCAAAGACTCCACCACCACCCCACGGCCCCCGACCTTGAAGCTTTGTGCTGTCATCTGGCCACTCAAAAGAAATAGGGAAATGAGGAGGGGGGACAGGCTGCTGGCAGCGCTGGGCCTGAGAGGAAATGAGGCCATCTTTGCGGGCAGCAGGTGGGGGTCCCTTTTGAGAGGCCTGGAGGTCTATGGAGGAGGCGGGGCTGCTGTGACCTGTTTCTCGGGCCTCCCAGCAGCCTGGGATGGACCAGCAAGCTGCTTCTTTCCTAGAGGCTGATGAGTCGAGAACCAGGGCACCTTCTCGTCTATAGAAAGCTCCTCTCAACCCCGCCGACTGAGTGGCCAGATGACGGCAAAAAGCTTCAAGGAATCACAGTGGTGGAGGCGGCTCTGGAGTCTCTGACGTGACCCTGGAGCGGTACAAACTGTCCTGGGGGAGGAAGAGTGTCAGGACATCAAGGCTTGAAAGTGCACACAGAAGTTTAGAAAGAATTAAATGAAGTTGTATCACTTCTCCCCTGAAAACCCTTCTGTGGCTCCCAGGGGCTGTGGGAAGAAAGTCCAAATCTCCTACCGTGGCTCACCAGACCAGCTGACCCAAGTTTTCCTTCCCGCACTCTGCTCCTCCAACACACCCAGTTCCTCCCCACCTGCGACACCTTGGACCTGCACACAGACTATTCTCCCAGCCAAAATGCCCCAGCCTCCAGCCCACCCCAGGCTAGTTCCTGTTCATCCTCCCCGTCGAGCTTCACAGGTTGCTTCTTCAGAAAAGCCTCCTCTGACACTCCCACGCCCACCCCAGCCTGGAATAAGACCCCCACCTCCTTCCTGCCTGTTATTCTCTCTCAAGGCCCCCTGCACTTTTTCTTTCTTTTTTTCCTGAGACAAGGTCTTGCTCTGTCACCCAGGCTGGAGTGCAGTGGCGTGATCATGGCTCACTGCAGCCTCGACCCCCCGGGCTCAAGCGATCCTCCCACCTTAGCCTCTCGAGTGGCTGTGTACCTTTTCTTTATAGTTTCATTGCCACAGTTAAATTACGTGGCTGAGTGATTATTTGGTATCTTTTTTTTTTTTTGAGACAGAGTCTCACTCTGTCACCCAGGCTGGAGTGCAGTGGCATGATCTCAGCTCACTGCAACCTTCCGCCTCCCGGGTTCAAGTGATTCTTGTGCCTCAGCCTCCCGAGTAGCTGGGATTACAGGCACGCATCACCACACTGGCTACTTTTTGTATTTTTTGTAGAGACGGGGTTTCACCATGTTGGCCAGGCTGGTCTCGAACTCCTGACCTCAAGTGATCTGCCCATCTTGGCTTCCCGAAGTGCTGGGATTACAGGTGTGAGCCACTGCGCCCAGCCTGATTATTTGATATCTATCTCCCCCACTAGGTGGTGAGGGCCATGAAGCCAGAATAATGGTAATGATAGGATTTAACTTGTAACAACAGCTCAAGCCTATCAAACACTGATGATGTTTTACAGCATTATCTCATTGATTCCTGACAACAGCTCCATGAGTCAGTATTATTATTAGACTCATTCTCTAGATGGGGATGCCACGTCAGTCCTGTTGGTGGCACCAGGCACTAAGTAAATGGTCTGGGGGGCGCCCAGATGTCTGGGTTATGTTTCTGATTCTCCTTCCCCATCATCATCTGGGGACAGGAGCCCAGGTCCATAGAACACACTTCTGCCATACTCCACAGTGACGACCCCCAATTCCAAGGGCTCCTCTGCGTTCTAACCTCTCCCCAATCCATGAAGACATTAATTTAACACATTTTTATTGTGCAGCTATTGTGTGCCAGGTGTGGCCTGAACAGAGAGAAAGCAACAAACAACACGTGTAGTCACACCTTCACAGGCCTCAACAAAGCCCCGTCTCTCTTGAACCTGCTCCCTTCAGCCTTTTGTGCCTCCCATCTAGCAATCACCTCGGGCCCTCATCAACCTCCTGCCTCACTGCAGGGGTCCATACTCTCCAGGTCTCCTCCCTCCTCACTGGCACTCCCTCCCCAGCCTCCTTCGCTGATTCCTCGCCGTCTCTCCGCACAGCTTCGCTCTTCCCCATCCACACGGCTCTCCTCGTGATTTCAACACCTCTGTGCTGGGGACCCCTACTTTTCCTTCTCCCCCCTGGACCTCTCTCAACTTCAGGTATGCGTATCCAACTGTCTCCTTGCCATCTCACGCAGCTGTCTGACGGGCACCCAGCACCGAACAGACTCAGCCACGTCTCTGATTCTTCACAAGGCCTTCTGCCACTCCCTGCAAACCCCGACCCTGGGGTCCCTCAATGCAGTATCTTCACCCCTCAGCTGGTGTCCAGGCCCAAACCTCAGGGTCATCCTAGCCCCCTCTCTTTCTCTCACCCCTACATCCAGGCCATCAGTACTCACTGTCAGCTCCACCTTCAAGATATAAATGGGCTCACCCCTCCTTCACACCCCCACAGGCAGGACCATGGACCACAGCAGGAGCTTCTGCCCCAATTTCCTGGCTCTGGCTCCTGCTGCCACACACAGCCAGAGGGACTCTATTAATCTATGGGTCAGATCATGTCCTTCCTCTGCTCAGAACCCTCCCCCTATCCATGTAAGGAAAAGGCCCCAGTCCCTAGCAGACCTCCTGTGGAACTCTCTGACCTCAGCTCCTCCGTGCCCTCTTTTTATCGTAGCCACTGAAGCAGGTGTGTCACGGTATCTCACTGTGATTATCACTCGCTTTTCCATGATGATGATTACGGATGGTGAGGTAAGCACTTTAACTAGTAATAGTAGCAACAGTAAATGGTTAACATTGACACAGCATTTACTATGTGCCAGGTACTAGGCTAAGTGCTTTCTTCATATATACGGTGGCATGATCCCTTCCTAAACCTCTTGGGCCTGATGTGTTTCGGAATTCTGAATAATTCAGATTTTAGAAAGGCAACCCTAGAAGGTTCTGAGCGAACAGTGGTAGACTATCACATCGATATTTCTGCAGTGATAACAAGACATCAGCTTGGATCACATTCCACCTGGGACTGTGGATCTGCTTTTTTCTTTCTTTCTCTCGCTTTTTCTCTATTTCTTTCTTTCTCTTTCTTTCCATCTAACTATTTATTTATTTTGAGATGAAGTCTCGCTCTGTCGCCCAGGCTGGAGTGCAGTGGTGTGATCTCAGCTCACTGCAACCTCCGCCTCCCAGGTTCAAGCGATTCTCCTGCCTCAGCCTCCCCAGTAGCTGGGATTACAGGTATGCACCACCATGCCTGGCTAATTTTTGTATTTTTAGTAGAGATGGGGTTTCACCATGTTGGCCAGGCTGGTCTCGAACTCCTGACCTCAAGTGATCTGCCCGCCTCGGCCCCCCAAACTGCTGGGATTACAGGTGTGAGCCACCGTGCCTGGCCCATGGATCTGTTTTAAATCCTTGAATGCCCACAACCATATTATGATGTAGGCAGCATTATCTCTTCTGTTTTACAGATGGAGAAACTGAGGCACAGGAAGGTAAGTGCTTTGGCCATGGTCATAGAGGTAGAAGGGGATGGCTGAGATTCCAACACATTCCAAAGGCCATCTTTACTACTGGCTTTCAGGGTAGCTGACAGGAAATATATCAATGTCGAATGAATGAATGAATGAGGTCAAGCTGGGGATGTGAGAGAACTAGTTACAGCTCACGCAGGAAGGTCAAACACTACTGAGCTAGCTATTTGTGAGTGGTTAACTTCATTTATTTTGGATAAAAGATGTAACCAAAGATAAAGCAAGATATGCCCAAAATATTATCCTTAGAAAATGTAGCTATATTTCAGGGTCTTTCACTTTATTTTATTTTGGAACAAGTGCTCTTTGGGAAAGACATATTAGCTTTTAAAAACTTAAATGATGCTAGTTTGGGCAATAATAAAAAGGGAGGCATATACTATAGGAGACTTGTTAAGTATTCCCAAGTATTCACAATTCCAAGTGTGATAAGTCACTGTAAACATGCTCTTTAAGCAATCTTAAAATTTATATATAGCCACAAAAAAACCCCAACTAGCCAAAGCAACACTGCGAAATAAAAAGTTGGAGGCATCACACTTCCTGATTTAAAATTATATTACAAAGCTATAGTAATCAGAACAGTATGGTGCTGACATAAAAACAGAATAAAATAGCCCAGAAATAAATCCAAACATAAGTGGGAAATAAGAATGAAACTGAGCCTTTCAAAGAATGAAATCTTATACCATACACAAAAATAAACTCAAAGAGGATAAAAGACCTAAATGTAAGATTTGAAACCATAAAACTCCCAGAAAAGAACATGGCGGAAAGCTCCTCAACATTGGCTTTGGCAATGATTTTTTAGACATCACACCAAAAGCTCAGGCTACAAAAGCAAAAATAAATAAACGGGACTACATCGAACTAAAAAGCTTCTGCACAGCAAAGGAAACAATCGACATAACAAAAAGTCAACCTATGGACTGGGAAACAATATTTGCAAACCACATATCTGACAAAGGATTAATATTCAAAATTTATGGAGAACTCTTACAACTCAATATTAGAAAAAAATAACCAAGTAAGAAATTAGCAAAGGGCCAGGTGTGGTGGCTTACACCTGTAATCCCAGCACTTTGGGAGGCTGAGACAGGAGGATCACTTGAGACTAGAGTTTGAGACCAGCCTGGGCAACATAGTGAGACCTGTCTCTATAAAAAATTTAAAACTTAGCTGGCCGTGATGGCTTGTGGCTGTAGTCTCAGCTACTTGGGAGGCTGAGGCAGGTGGATCACTTGAGGTTAGGAGTTCGAGACCAGCCTGGTAGCCTGGTCAACATAGCAAAACCCCGTCTCTACTAAAAACAAAACAAAACAAAAATACAAAAATTAGCTGGGGCCTGGTGCGGTGGCTCACGCCTGTAATCCCAGCACTTTGGGAGGCTGAGGCAGGCGGATCACGAGGTCAGGAGTTTGAGATCAGCCTGGCCGACATGGTGAAACCACATCTCTACTAAAAATACAAAAATTAGCTGGGCATGGTAGCGTGCGCCTGTAATCCCAGCTACTCTGGAGGCTGAGGCAGGAGAATCGCTTGAACCCGGGAGGCGGAGGTTGCAGTGAGCTCAGATCATGACATAGCACTCCAGCCTAGGTGACAGAGTGAGACTCCATCTCCAAAAAAAAAAAAAAAAAAAAAATTAGCTGAGCGTGTTGGCGGGTGCCTGTAATCCCAGCTACTGAGGAGGCTGAGGCAGGAGAATTGCTTGAACTTTGGAGATGGAGGTTGCAATGAGACAAAATCGAGCTACTGCAGTCTAGCCTGGGTGACAGAGTGAGACTCCAACTCAAAAAAAAAAAAAAAGTAATAATAATAAAATAAATAAAGGTTCCTTTAAAAAGCACGATAGGGGCCGGACACGGTGGCTCACGCCTGTAATCCTAGCACTTTGGGAGGCAGAGGTGGGCAGATCATGAGGTCAGGAGATCGAGACCATCCTGGCTAACACGGTGAAACCCCGTCTCTACTAAAAAAATTCAAAAAAATTAGCTGGGCGTGGTGGTGGGCGCCTGTAGTCCCAGCTACTTGGGAGGCTGAGACAGGAGAATGGCGTGAACCCAGGAGGCGGAGCTTGCAGTGAGCGGAGATTGAGCCACTGCACTCCAGCCTGGGCGACTGAGCGAGACTCCGACTCAAAAAAAGCAAGATAGGGACAAATGATTTTAAGACACGTTTAACCAATTTAAACAAAATACTTCAGTTGAAACTCTTAAATGGGGCATTTCAACTAGAATTTTGAATTTTTTTTAAAAAAAGGATGTGTAATATAGCACTGAAAACTGTCTCAAAGCAAAGTGCCACTGTGGGGGAAGAAAGAACATGGAGAAATTTTCCTAAGTTGTCATTTATTATTCGCACTGGAATGATGAGTCTGATTGACTCACAAACAGGCGATTATATAACCACTTTTATATGTTCACGTTTACTCAGCCACTTACCCATGTTCAGTAACTGTCCTTAAACATCTGAGTTGGTTTTTTAAAAAAACCTAACAGTGAGTGGCTGTAGAGATCACCAATTCCTAAAAGGGGCATTAAAAAAAAAAACTGTCTAATGGTAGAGGAATGGCTTCCTGAGTGTTGGGATACAGTTTCCAGTGACAACATACACAAATTCAAGGGGTGCCACATCACAAATGCTTCAGATGGACGTGGAGACAGCGTACTCTGGAAATACGTGTAGATGACTCAAAAAGTGACTCTTGTAATAAGGATGTCTGTGAAAAGTGTGACTAACACTGTTTTATGACATGTGAGAGGATATACGGAACATTTTGAGTCCAATTTTCTCTTTTTTCCTTGAGACAGGGTCTCCCTCTGCTACCCAGGCTGCAGTGCAGTGTTACAATTATGACTCACTGCAGCCTCTACCTCCTAGGCTCAAGCGATCCTCCCACCTCAGCCTCCCAAGTAGCTGCGACCACAGGCACACACCACCACACTTGGCTATTTTTTTTCTTTGTAGAGATGCGGTCTTGCTATGTTGCCCTGGCTGGTCTCAAACTCCTGGCCTCAGGCGATCCTCCTATGCTTCCCAAAGGGACAGGATTACAGGCGTGAGCCACTGTACCCTGCTGAATTCAACATTTTTGATATCTGGATTCCAAACATGTCACAAAATTAATCAATTAGGAAATACAGAAAGGCAGCTGATTATGTTGTTCAAATCCCTGAATGTTTCAGGTGGGCCTCCAAACTTTTTTTTTTTTTTTTTTTTTTTGAGACAGAGTCTTGCTCTGTTGCCCAGGCTGGAGTAGAGTGGTGCAATCTTGGCTCACTGCAACCTCTGCCTCCCCGGTTCAAGCAATTCTCCTGCCTCAGCCTCCTGAGTAGCTGGGATTACATGCGCGTGCCACCACGTCAGGCTAATTTTTGTATTTTTAGTAGAGATGGGGTTTCACCATGCTGGCCAGGCTGGTCTCGAACTTCTGGCCTCAAGTGATTCACCCGCCTCAGCCTCCCAAATTGCTGGGATTACAGGCGTGAGCCACCATGCCCGACCCCCACCCCCACCACCCCCACCCCCCGCTGGCAAACTTTTTTTCATCTCTTTGGAAAGCTATCGAACCACTTTGTTTTGGGGCACGTATGGCATTTTTTAGGTACAAGTGTTGAAAAAAATCTGGAAGACACACACCAGCTCATAAAAGTGATTATCTTGGGGCATTATGGGTCCTTTGATTTCTTTTTTTAAACAACAAACAAGCATTACTTTGATAATCAGAAATGCAGGCTAGGCAAGGTGGCTCATGCCTGTAATCCTAGCACTTTGGGAGGCCAAGGCAGGTGGATTGTCTGAGCTCAGGAGTTCGAGACCACCCTGGGCAACATGGTGAAAGCTTGTCTCTACTAAAATACAAAAAATTAGCCAGGCGTGGTGGTGCACGCCTGTGGTCCAGCTACTCAGGAGGCTGAGGTATAAGAATTGCTTGAACCTCGGAGGCGGAGGTTGTGGTGAGCCAAGATTGTGCCACTGCACTCCAGCCTGGGCGACAAAGTGAGACTGTGTCTCCAAAAAATAAAAATTAAAATTAAAAAATTAAAGAAATGCAAACAAATAATACAGCTTTATAATGTCGCTCAGTAACTCTAACTGAATTGGTCAAGGGTGAGACCCAGGCCTTGGGATTTCTTAAAGTTGCCAACATAATTCTAATGTACAGCAAGGATGGGAATCATTATTAAACATTTTCCAAATTACACTGTAGAAGATGTTCCTGGGTGTCTTTCAAAAAGAAAAGTGCTCCATAGTCAAAGAAGCGGGTTTCTTTCCTGTAGGATTTCTCAGACTGTAACATGCACATGACTTTTTTTTTTTTTTTTTTGAGACGGAGTCTCGCTGTCACCCAGGCTACAGTGCAGTGACGTGATCTTGGCTCACTGCAACCTCTGCCTCCTGAGTTCAAGCAATTCTCCCTGCCTCAGCCTCCTGAGCAGCTGGGATTACAGGCGCCCACCACCATGCCTGGCTAATTTTTGTATTTTTAGTAGAGATGGGGTTTCACCATGCTGGCCAGGCTGGTCTCGAACTCCTGACAGGTGATCTGCTCACCTGGGCCTCCCAAAGTGCTGGGATTACAGGAATGAGCCACCTCGTCTGGCCTGCACATGACTTTTACATGAGGAAGATACAGTGCACAGTGGACATCTGTGTGTGTCTGCTCAGAACTCCTTTCCAGCAGCCATGCCATTAGCAAGTCCTGTCCACTCTACCTCCAAACCGTACCCAGAACCTGCCCCCTCCTCTCCCTCCATGCTCCTTACCCTGGCCCCATCCTCTGGCATCTCCAGCCTAGACTAGAGCAACAGCTTCCTCCTTACTCTCACACTGGCTTCTATAATTCACTGTCACCAAGGCACGCTAGTGGCAGATCCTTGGGACATGCAGAGTTTGAAAAATCTCCCGCTACCTGCCCTGACACTGCCCAGGGCATCCCTACCTGCCATCCTCTGACCATGGAAGGTGCCTGCTTTAAGATGAAGGCACCGTGACAGACAGTCCCCCAGGCTATTGTTGAGCTGCTGTGTCACCAGCTCACAGGGTCCAAAGAACCCTCAGACTTGGAGGTGGGGGGCCTGACTGCTTAAGTCTGCATGAATGGGGGTTGCCGTTACCTGGAGCCAAAAGCCTCCAATCCATACGCTCCTTATTGTTTTACTCTATTTACTGGTCAGCAGTTTTTTTCACCAGGTAAAAATTATCCTATGTATCTGCCTGGTTCACTGCCTGTGTCCCGCTCCTCGAATGCCAGCTCTGAGAACAGGGATATTTGTCGTCTTGTTCACTGCTGGAACACCCCCTGCCAAAGAGTGGGAACTCAGCATTTGTTAAGAGAATGACTGAGCTCATTTGATTCTTTCAACAGCTCCAAAAGGCAGGTGTTCCAAGTCCCAGCCTCCTCCTCACCGCCAGCCAGACCCGGCACCATCTGCCCCCACCTACCTCTCCCAGCTCTTGACCCTGCAGTTACACAGGTCTTCTTCCAGTTCCTTCGCAGAGTCAAGCTCCTTCCCACGTCCGGAGCTCTGCTGATGCGGTTCCCTCTACCAGGGACTCTCTCCCCATTCCTCGCCCCCACTGGGGGAAGGTCTACTTATCCTTCAGGCCTCCTCCCAAACGTCAGTCCTTATGACAGACGTTCCCTGACCTCTCAAGACATGTCCGGGCTCTCAGATATGCTGTCACGGCCCTCTGGGCTCCTCTGCCAGAGCACTTAGTGCAGACATAATCACACAGCTGTTGCTGTAATTACTTCAATTCTGTTTCCACCACTAAACTATGAGCTCCAGGAAGGCAGGGGGACACCTCTGCATTTCTAGAGCCCTGAGAAGGCCTGGCACACAGTAGGTGCTGCATAAATACCCCACCAGTCCACTGTGGCTATGAGAGTTACTGCTCACTGAGTATCGTATTTCTAGTCCCTTGTAGTTAGGCAGGACCGTGTGACAGTTCTGGGTGCAGGTGGAAGTGAACACGTGGCTTCTGGGCCTCGGCATCTAAGTGCTGCTGTGCACCTCTCCGTCCCCTTCTGCTGTGGTGTCTCTGCAGCCTGTGAGGCTCCAAGACAGGGGCAGGCCGGGATGGGGCGAGTGGGGGGAGCTCCTGTCAGCCTGGGTCCCTGAGGTACAAGGTTAAGCCCTCCCACCTGACCTGCCCATGTCACAAGTAAGAAATGGACATCTGTTGTGTCCAACCTCTAGGATTTCAGGGTTAATTTGTTACTGCAGCAGAAACTCGCCCATCAGAGGCATTCCTGTGAATGAATGAAGGCAGCTAGAAAGCAGAGACACTGTGATCACCGACCGGAAGGTGTGGAGCAGGGAAACGGCCACCAGCCACCCAGCACGGAACTCAGTGAAAGAACAGAAGCGGGGAATGGGCCAAGCACTCCACGGAGCTGCGACTCTGTGCTCCTGAGGGGGCAGATGAAATGACCCAAAGCCTCCACTGCCTTCAGACAGGGCCTGCCTGGGCAGCCCTCGGGACACACGCTCCTTAGGGATCACAGCCAAGTGTCCGTCCCTGGGGACGGGGAAGGAGGCAGTGCTGAAGCCAGCAACACCCTGGAAAACCCTCTTAGCCAGAGGAAGCTGAACCAGCAAGGCTGCATGAAAGGTCTGGGCTAATTCGGGCTGACAACCTTCCCTCCGAATCACCCACTGGGGCTGTGCCCTCCCGGCTCCATCCCAGAGAATAAATCACACTGTCAGGTCTAATTTGGGGCTTGGCTGATGGGCTGAGCAGAGCATCCATGCGTTCTGGCCACAGAGGTCAAGGGCAGCCTACACTCTTGAGGCCAGTGCTGAAAAGTCTCAGGAATGAACAAGAAAGGGGACCAGGAGGCCAGGAGCCATGGGTCTCCAACACACACCAAAGAAACTCCCAACTTGGCCCATGAAATTCCTGGCCCAGGCTTTCGCTGTATGAACTCTGCTCCCAGAACACAGTCCTGCTACACCTAGGCCTGTGCCAGCTCAGGGCTGGGTGCAGGGCGACCCCTCACATGTCTGGTGAATGAATAATCACAACAGCAGCAGCTCACGCTTATTATCTTATAGGCTGTTACTAAGCCACCTAACCTCCAACATGCAGTAAGGGCTAATGAATGCAAGCTGCCACCATCCTCCTCCTCCTCATTATCATCATCACCACCTCCACCACCGCCACCACCATCATCTCATCATCATCATCTCATTATCATCTATTATGCGACTTCTCGTGCCAGGTACTGTCCTAGGTACTTGAAATTCATAATCCCATCTTAATCCTTACAACCACCTTGGGAGAAAATGGAAGCACCCACAGTTAAGCTGCCCATTTAGGGCTAGTCACGGGCTCAGCTATGACTAGACCCCAGGTCAGCTGGATTCCGGAAAGCTGTGCTCTTGGCCACCGTGTCAACCCATTTTTGCTTTCATCTCCCTGGAGAAGCCTGTCCCCAAACTCCAAGTCACCGTTAGGTGCCTTCTTGGGGTTCCCACAGCCCCGTGGCTTCCCCTATTAGAACTCTTATCACTCTGGGTTGTTTACCTGCAGAACTTCCCAACATACTGTATACCAGGGTAAGCCTCGTGCCCAGCAAGAGGAGCAGGAACATGGGAGGTGCCCAATCAATGATGGTTGGTTGGAAGGATGGATGGAGACCCAAGTCTGAATCTTTCATTTTACTGAGGAGGGAAACAGAAGTTCAGAAAGGAGAGCTGTCGTGAGAGTTTCACTGAAGAAAGGCAGGTGGAGAAGATGGTAGAAACGGCTCCTTGATGAATCTCTATTCCACCTCCAAAGCCCAAAAGCTGCTTCCAGGAGCCCTCTTTGACCCCTAGGCTGGGTTAGGCACCTCCACTGGGTTCCCACTCCCCTGGGCTTCCCCGATCACAGACCTGACCACTCTGGGGTCTGAAGGTCTGCTTCCCTCACCGGATGGGGAGCCGCATGAGGGCAGAGCCACCCAGCCATGAGGCTGGTCCAGTCACCACTGCATCCCCACTACTCTACAGGGACGGGCAGGGGAGGCGCATATCAAATGTGTGCGCAATCAACCAGCAGACCTCCAGAGAAAGAAAAGGCTAGAAGGCTCATCCTGGGAAGAATAACTAAAAGCACAGGTATAGTTTGGAAAAAGGGAGGCCAAGAGGGGTTCCCTCAGCCACTTGTAAGTCCCTGCAGGGCTGCCAGGAATAAGACGTGCAGCTGGTGCTCTCCCGAGGACTAGACCTGAACCAGTGGGAGGTAGTTAGTTACACAGGGGCGGATGTGATTCACAAGACAGTTTTTTAATGATCACAACTTCCCCAAAGCAAAACACACTGCTGGGCTCTGCCCTTGCTGGAAGAATTTAAACCCAGGCCAGACAGTGAGCAGCCTGGTCCCCTGTACCCCACCCCCCGCACCCCCGGACCTCTTATGAGGCAACAAAGTGTAGTGGCTAAGAACAGGGGCCCTGGACCCAGGCTGCATGCCTCCCTGTCCCAGCTCCTCTACCTGGCAGGCAGCTTCACCACTCGTGCCTCAGTTTCCTCATCATTACCATGGGGATATCACAGCAGTGACGTCTTAGGGTAGTTACAAGAACTGAATGAGATCATGCACGTGAGGCGCTTACGGCAGGGCTTGGCACAGAGTCAGCACCCATTAATGTTCATTATTACTGCTTTTCCTTCCCCATGAAACCAGGCAGTGCTGGCTGGCCACCCCAACAGATACTCTCAATTCATTTTTTCTCTGGCTTCCTCCTCAGGAAAGGCTGAAAAGTTAAATAACATTTGCCACCTTCCTTGGAGCTAGGGGAGGCTATGCGACATGGCAGCAGGAGCGATGTGTCCATGAGGGGAAAGATCAAGAGAATCAAAGCGGCTCTGCCCTGACACTGCCCAGCCACCAAACTAACACTGGCAGCCAAGCACCTCCAGGTGTGCTGTTGTGAGCGAGAAATAAGCCCTCATTCAATCAAGCTGCAGTGAGCGGGGGTTTCTGTTCCTGAAACTTGAAGACATTCCTGGCCGAATGCACATACCATGATGCAAATGGCTCAAGGCGCACACCCATGGTAATTGTTTGCCAATTTCAGCTCAGGCCCGCTGCTGAGAACCCCTGACCCAGAGGAAAAACAGTGGGTGGCTGAGCCATACAGTGCTTACCAAGCCCAGTCGCTGTGTTCCACCCTTCCTTTTCAGCTGTATCTACTCCCCATCTGTACAATTATTTACATACACGCACACACACACACACACACACACACATACGTATCTCTCTCGCTCTATTGCCCGGGGCTGGAGTACAGTAGCATGGCCTCGACCTCCTGGGCGCAAGTGATCCTCCTGCCATAGCCGTCCGAGTTCCTGGGACTACAGGTGCATGCCACCAAGCCTGGCTATTTAAAACATTTTTTGTAGAGATGGAGTCTCACTCTGCTGCCCAGGCTGGTCTTAAACTCTTGGCCTCAAGTGATTCTCCTGCCTTGACCTCCCAAAGAGCTGGGATTATAGAGTGAGCCACTGCACCCAGCCCTCAAGTGATGTTCAAGCTTTATATATTTAAAAAGAATCCATATCACCACTAAAAATGAAAAATTGCTATCTTTTGCTACAAAGAAAAGCAAACTTAAAAAATAAACACAATGAAAACAAAACATAGTCACAGTCATTCATTATCTGACGTTGCATAATTTGGGTTCAATGGACTGGCAAAAAATTTTTCACTTTCCTTTTCTATTGCGGGGAACATCAGATCTGGCAATACTCAGGGATAAGACTGGCTCCAGCTGAGCAGGGCTGCCCCTTGGAGAGGGAACACATTTCCTTTTCACAGAAACTGTGTTCAGAAGGGAGATGATTTGACTGTGATCTCCCGGATGGCTGTGGATGAATTAGGCTGGGGACCGCCTCACTCCCTCCTCTATTCAGGGCCTCCTCAGAGAGGCCTTCCTTGGCCACCTTGTCCGAAAATTGCCCTGTGAGGCCAGTCCCCTTCCCTGCTTTATTCATCACTATATACTCCTATATACATCCTATGTACACTATATACATCCAACTTATCCTATATTCACTTCTTTTTTTTTTTTGAGACCGAGTCTCGCTCTGTTGCCCAGGCTGGAGTGCAGTGGCGCAACCTCAGCTCACTGCCACCTCTGCCTCTGGGTTCAAGCGATCCTCCCACCTCAGCCTCTCAAGTAGCTAGGATTACAGGTGTGTGCCACCACGGTTGGCTAATTTTTTTGTATTTTTAGTAGAGACGGGGTTTAGTAGAGACGGCCACCATGTTGGCCAGGCTGGTCTTGAACTCCTGACCGCAAGTGACCCGCCCACCTTGGCCTCCCAAAGGTGTTGGGATTACAGGTGTGAGCCACCATGCCCAGCCCTATATTCACTTTTTATCTGTTTACTGTTTTATTCTCCAGTAGGATGTCCGTTCCCTTAAGGTAAGGAGTTTGTTTTTTCATTCCTGAATCCCTAGTGCCTAGAAGCAGATAGTAGGTGCTCAAATGCATATTTGCTGAGTGAAGGAAAATAAATGAATGAACAAACGAAACCTGTTCATGTTCTTTCCAAGTTCCCTAAGGCCCTGGTTACCACGTAGGAAAAGTGCCGTTCTTCCTGCTGTGTGAGAGGCAATGCTAGGAATTTACTTGGAACTTGGGAGCTTTTATCACATGAAAAAGGAATGTGCTAGATTAAAACAAGTATCTATGAGCCCATAGGATATAAATTAGTAACTAAATAAAGAAATAAGGGGGAAGGGACAGGTCTTCCTTACAGAAGAGTTCCAATTAATAAATGTAGATGGAATGAGAGGCACACAAAAACTGCCATCAGGGAAACAGCACAGCAGTAACTGCTGTAGACAAGACCCGGCCACCAATGGATGGTAAAATTAGTGGGTGGAAGTTTGAGGAAAAGCGGGATGTGGGATATTAGCATAGCCTCAAAGTTTCTCCCCAAAGGTAGCATTTTTGTTTTGTTTTAAAGAGACAGGCTCTTGCTCTGTCACCCACACTGGAGTGCAGTGGCACGATCTCAGCTCACTGCAATCTCCGCATCCTGGGCTCAAGCGATCCTCCTGCCTCAACCTCCTGAGTAGCTGGGACTACAGGTGTGCACCACCACACCTGGCTAATTTGTTTCTATTTTATTTTTTTAGAGCTAGGGTCTCACTTCATTGCACAAGCTGGTTTCAAACTCCTGGCCTGGAGTGCCCCAAGATAGCCATTAATTACAAAGGGAAAAGTGTAACTTTACTGTGGAGAAATCTGGCACACAGCAACTTAACCAAGTGATCTAGGTGAACATTACCGGAAATATGATGCATTGATGTCACAGACCCCCACAATGACGCACTGAGAAGGGCATGCTGCCTGTGTGGCACTGTTCCAAATAATGAATAACCTCAATCAGGTCATGAGAAAACATCAGAAAAACCCAAGTTGAAACACCCAACAAAATAGCAGAGCAGTCCTCTTCCAAAGTGTCTGGGTCATGAAAGGCTAGGAAAGACGGAGGAATTGTTCCAGATCGGAGGAGGTTAAGGAGACAAGAAAACCAAATGCAATGTGGGATCAAGAATAGACTCTTGGAAGAAAAAAGGACATCCGCAGAAAAACTGGTGAAATGTGATTAATGTCTGTCATTGAGTTAATCGTACTGGGTTGTGTGAATTTCCTGTTTTGATCACTGTGTTAAGGTTGTATAAGATGGTAACATGGGGGAAGCTGGATGTAGGGTAGACATGTGAACTTTGTAACCATTTTCACAACTTTTTTATAACTCTAAAATCACTTCAAAATAAAAGTAATCAAGAATTGTGCCAGGAAGCATCCTTTGACAGAAATCTGGCCCCTAGCAACTGTCCCACACACAAGCTTCAGGTACCCAGGCAAGACTGCCAGGATGAGGGAATGTGATGAGACCCACTAAACATCCAGGAGAGAGAAACTCCATCCACAGCCACTCAGTTCCCGCAGCTTGGCCGACACGGCTACCTGCATCCAGGGTCTGAATGCCACAATCCTCCCCCTTCCACCTCCCACACCGTTATGGTCTCTTGGTTCTTCAAGGATCAGACAATGGCCCCTCCCAACAAAGCTGGGAATCGTCCAGGAAGGCGTCACTGCAAACTGAAATGACATGCAGCTGGGGGCCCATGCCACTGCTTAGAACCCACCCACAGAAACAAGAGAGAATGTTCACTAGCAAACCAACCCAAACCCAACCCAGAAACCTAAACATAACATATTCAAAACCTATATAGCACAGGTAAGTATTTGCCATATATATATATATATATATATATATATTTGCCACATATATATATATAAAATATGTGTAAATACCCATTACCCATGCCATACATGTGTATGTATGTATGTATTTATTTATTTATTTAAATTTTTAGGTTTTTTTGAGACAGGGTCTCACAGCAGCCTTGACCTCCACCGGTTCAGGTGACCCTCCACTTTAGCCCCAGTGTAGCTGGAACTACAAGTGTGCATCACCACGCCCAGCTAATTTTTGTATTTTTTGTAGAGACAGGGTCTCACTTTGTTGCCCAGGCTGGTCTCCAGCACCTGGGCTCAATCGATCCTCGAGCCTCAGCCTCTCAAAGTGCTGGGATCACAGGTGTGAGCCACCACACCTGGCTCATATTTTTAACCAACAGAGAAACCAGTACATTCACATAGTGGGGCGGTGGGGCTGCTCTGAATCTTGATCGTGGTGGCAGTTTCACAACTGTCTACATCTGTCTCCATTCAAAGAACTGTATACCGGCCAGGTGCGGTGGTTCATGCCTGTAATCCCAGCATTTTGGGAGGCTGAGGCGGATGGATCACCTGAGGTCAGGAGTTCAAGACCAGCCTGGCCAGCATGGTGAAACCTCATCTCTACAAAAATACAAAAATCAGCCGGGCATGATGTCAGGGGCCTGTAATCCCAGCTATTCGGGAGGCTGAGGCCGGAGAATCACTTGAACCTGGGAGGTGGAGGTTGCAGTGAGCTGAGATGGCGCCACTGCACTCCAGCCTGGGTGACAGAGTGAGACTCCATCTCAAAAAAAAAAAAAAAAGAGGCCGAGGTGGGCAGTTCACCTGAGGTCGGGAGTTCGAAACCAGCCTGACCAACATGGAGAAACCCCACCTCTACTAAAAATACAAAATTAGCCAGTCATGGTGGCGCATGCCTAGTAATCCCAGCTACTCCGGAGGCTGAAGCAGGAGAATCGCTTGAACCCGGGAGGCGGAGGTTGCGGTGAGCCAAGATCACGCCACTGCACTCCAGCCTGGGCAACAAAAGTGAAACTCCATCTCAAAACAAAACAAAGAACTATATACCAAAAGAGGGTTTTACTCTATGTAAAGTTTAAAAATTGAATTAAAAAGTAAAGAAAAAATAAAAGTATATGAAATGTATGATATGCTGAGGTATGCTCATGAGCAAAGATCTTCAAAACATACTATTATTGGGGATGGTGGAAGCAAGCCAAGAAGCACTGCATAGCCTGGTTCCTTTTTCTCACACAACGAACCAAAATAAGTGTGTATATGTGCATGTAGGAATGTTTGTGTATGGGAAAAGGTCTGGCAGGGCACCCAGCCAGTGACTGACAGTAATTACCTCTGGGGTAGACGTTAGGCTTGCGGGTGACAGAAGTACAGCGATGCAAACTTTCATTTTTCCCTTGATACTCTTTTTTTAAAATTTTAAAAAAAATAATATGTGTATGAGTTGTAAAATTCTAAGCAAACCAGCAGCCACGCCTTACTCACCCTTAGTGCCTTCTAGACACTAGTGCTCTTGGAGGGTCCCAGGAGAGCTGATGTCAGAGACTGTGCATCTACATGGAGGAAAAAGAAGAGGTTAGGTCTCTGGCCAACTTAAGCCTTCCTGCAGTAATACCCAGCTGTCAGTCACATATTCACTCTTTCAACAAGTATTTACTGAACATGGCTGAGTGTAATCCCAGCACTATGGGAGGCCAAGGCAGGCGGATCACTTGAGGCCAGGAGTTCAAGACCAGCCTGGCCAACATGGCAAAACCCCATCTCTACTAAAAATACAAAAAATTAGCCGGGCGTGGTGGTGGGCGCCTGTCATGCCAGGTACTTGGGAGGCT
The DNA here is from genome assembly GCF_000001405.40 of Homo sapiens. NCBI lineage: Eukaryota > Metazoa > Chordata > Mammalia > Primates > Hominidae > Homo > Homo sapiens. The sequence goes on along the minus strand of NC_000019.10, from coordinate 38,028,809 downwards.
GAGGCAGGAGAATCACTTGAACCCGGGAGGTGGAGGTTGCAATGAGCCAAGATTGTGCCACTGCACTCCAGCCTGGGTGATGGAGCAAGACTCTGTCTCAAAAAAAAAAAAAAAAAAGTATTTACTGAACACCTGCTATGTGCCAGGCTCCGGGAATACAACCAGGGTTCTCCAAGACAAAGTAGCTGTCCTCAGAGAGCAGACATTCTAGTAGGGGAGGAGGACAATAAACAAATACACAATACAAAGTCACAGAGTGGAACCTTGATGAAACCTAGCGGGGTGACGCCATAGTGATGGGACTGTGACCTTAAACGGAGAGCTCGGGGAAGGCCTCCCGGACGAGGGGACAGAGATGTGAATACATGAGACCACAGATCATGTGACTACCTGGGAAAGAGCCTTCCAGAGGGCAGGAGCAGATGTGGAGCATCTCAGGAGCAGTCAGGAGGCCCATGGAGCTGGCACGGGGTGAGTGAGGGGCAAGCGGTGGCAGGGGGGACAGATGAAGGGCTATTCTAAGGACATTTCCTCAGACAACTGTGAGCAGAGGAATGACAGAGAAATCATACTTGTCCTGGTTTGGAACTTTATATTATTAATTTATGCCTTTGAATATTTAGTATGCTTGTTTATATTTAAGTGAATATTCCATGGATGAATGAATGTCTCCAGGCGGAGAAGGCACTGTCTGTATTGTTCAGCATCACATTCTGGGCACCGGCAGAGGCTGGGCACTAAGTCAGGAGATGAGAGCTGAGAGGGTCTAGAGCTGTCCTATATGCAATGGCCATTCACTAATAACAATCCCTCCCAATGTGCCGGCTCTGTCCTAGCAGACAAGTGCTGACTCATTTCACTCTCCCGATCACCCAAGAAGAAGATACTATTATTACTTTCATGTTACAGATGAGGAAACTGAGGCACAGAATTCATAAGGGACCCACTAGCTGAGGTTGCCCAGTCAGTCAAAAGTATACTAAGCTAGGCACAGTGGTCTATAGTCCCACTAAGCCTATAGTCCCAGCTACTCAGGAGGCTAAGATGGGAGGATCATTTGAGCTCAGAAGTTCAAGACCAGCCTGGGCAACATAGCAAGACCCTGTTTAAAAAAAAAAAAAAAGTGTACTATATACAGCCAGGATGTGAACCCAGCAACCTGGTCCCAGAGTCTGTTTCTGACCACCTGGCTAGACCACACTCTGTCACAATGGTCAATGAAGGCAGTGGGCTGGCAACACCTCCCTGCTCCACTTCCCCAATACCATAATGTCCAAATGCTACCCAAATATCCCCGCCAACCTCAAAGGCCGGTCAGCTCCTCCAGGAATCTCCCAGGAAGGAAGCCTAGCAAGCAGCTAGCTAACACCCCAGGGTCCAGGAATCAGGACAACTTCAATGATCATTCCCCTGGGGTTCCTGGAGAAGCCCAAGGGGGTTCTTAACCTTTCTCATGCCAGGGACTCCTACTGGCAACCTGGTGAATTAGTTGCAGACTCCTCAGAATAATTTCTTTTTTTTTGAGATGGAGTCTTGATCTACTGCCCAGGCTGGAGTACAGTGGCGCCATCTTGGCTCACTGCAACCTCTGCCTCCCAGACTCAAGCAATTCTGCCTCAGCCTCCCGAGTAGCTGGGTTTACAGGTACACACCACCACCCCAGGTAATTTTTGTATTTTTAGTAGAGATGGGGTTTCGTCACGTTGTCTGGGCTGGTCTCAAACTCCTGGCCTCAAGCGATCCGCCCACCTTGGCCTCCCAAAGTGCTGGGATTACAGGTGTGAAACACCACTTCTGGCCTATTAATGCTGTTATATTACAAGATCTAGTGGTGAGTCCAATACCTATAGTGATTTAGAAACAGGTAGGTGTTTAAATGATATTTTGTGATATTTGCAACACTGTAATGTGATATGAGAATATCCGTGATTTCTAGTAGTGACAAAGTCACAGATATTGCTAATCCAATTGTGGTTTATTGCCCTGTGCATAAAAAAATGTTAATTTCAGTTACAGGGTAGCGAAAATAGAGATGTAATGTTTTTCCCAGCCAACCTCGTGACCCACTAATCTTCCATCCTTCAAAGGTCCATGGACCCGAGATTAAGAACCCCTCAACGAGACCCGAAAGAAGGTAAAGGCGGAGCAGCTTCCAAGGGAAAAGAACAACTGGGGAGTGTGGGGGCAGATTCAGCTTCGTGAAGTTAGTATGGGAAGGGGTTCCAGGCGTCGGTTGCTTTGACCCACCCTGCATCTATTTCTCTTCCTCAGTCAGCCCCTTGAACCTCATCTTTCCCACTCAGTCCTATGGGACTCACCCCACCCATGGGTTGTGGGTGGAGGTGGGACTGGTCATATGATCCAAGTCTGGCCAAAAAGCCACTGCACCACCTTCCCTGTTCCCAGCTTCAGAGATGGCCCGGGGTGACCCTGCCACCAAAGCCAGGATGATCAGAGCCAGTAAACACCAGCCCCATGATATATACTGGGACTATGGGGGAAAGAGATGGTTTATTTCCCTTGGAGCTGCTAAGTTGGTTGAATCTACTAGTGGAGCTGCTAGGGGCTGCTTCAGAGCCTACCTGAGAATAAAATCAGCACAGAAGAATGCTGAGCCAGGAGGTAAAAGGAAACATGTCCTGACAACCTCACCAGGCCCTGGATCCAGCCTTGCCTGAAACCATTCCAAGCCGAATCTCCCAGGCCCTGTGTCCATCCACTTCCTTTTAGACTTCCTTTTGACCTGAATTTCTATTTGTTCATACAACCAAATGACTCTCAACTAACACAGAAGGGCAGAGGCAACTGCTGTTCTTGACGATTCCCATAGCTCCCTACCAGGCCATTTAGCAAAGTACAAAATAAAATTAGAAACAGTCACTATACATAGAAACAGCAAATACAGAAAAACACGCTTTTAAAACACTCAGAAATGGCCTCTTGGGCCGTTGCTATTGCTAAGCTGGTCTAGGAAGCCCTCACAATGGTGGTTTTCAAGATGCTTGGCAGGGCAGGAGGGAACCAGACGCACCCAGAACATTTTCCTTTATCACTAGACTTCCCATTTTAAAAATTCCTGGGATGATCAGAAAACCCCTGCAATAAAGCTCTTATAAAATTTTAATAGCCGCCTTTTAAATTGCAACGGAAATTGCTTTCCCGCCACTCTAATTTTTCTCCTTTCTTTCTCTAAAGTGATGCATATGGCTCTATAAAGGCTGATCAGCAGCGATGTGCCGTGGTGCCAAGTCTCTCTCAGCCAGGAACCTACTTCCTGCCGACTAGAGGGAGCTGCGGATGCCCGTCGCCCTGCAGTCCCTCATGCAGGAGAGAGGAAGATGCCAAAGGGCCGTGGAAACGGCAGCAAAGGAGGGCTACAGATCCGGGAATCCAGCCAGTACCCTGCTTATCCCAGGGCCCCACTTTCTACCACCTGGGAAGGGACGATGACCTTCAGTTTGCCTCCACAATCCCAGCACACTCATGGCCATGACCCATTCATCACACAGGTGACATACAGGCCGAGCACTTCACTTCCTGCAGGTTTACAGCAAGAACAGAATCCCATGAGATAATGTAAGGGGGAAAGGCGTCCTGGCCTGAATGTCTCCTCCCCTCAGCCATAGGGATTGGCTCTGGGAGAGACACGTGAGCCAAGCACGGCCAATCAGAGTGGGCCCTGGACATTTTGCTGCAATTTCTGACGGAAACAGATGGGTGGTAAGGCAGGGGGACTGCTGAGGACTTCTTTGCCACCTGAGGGTGAGCAGAGGTGGGGCAGGAGGAAGGGGCCGAGAATTAAGTTAAACCTGAGAAAGGCAGAGTCTGGAAATAAAGAGGGGTAAATTCCTGATGAGAATACCTGAGTACTGACTCCAGCTGGGCCAGCTCTGGGATTTTTCAGGTCCCTGAACCATTAACTTCCCTTTGCAGTTTAAGTCAATTTGAGTTGGGGAGGTTCTGTCGCTTACAACAAACTAACAGCACAGGAAGGGACCTGAGGAATCAATACAGCACTCCTTCATGTTTGGGCGAACATGACCCTTCTAAGAAGCTGACGAAACAAAACTATGTCATGTCCCTCCAGGAAAAAAAGCACAAAATACTGCCTGTCTCAAAGATGTCAAAGAATTCTGAAGCCCCTGTCCGTAGGAACTAAGTGAAGAATGCTTTGATCTAGTCTGACTTGTCTGTCCACTTGGTGGAAAAGCAAACTGGGGTCCAAAATGCATAAATGACTTATCTGGGGCCCAGGGCCAGCTGGGGGGCAGTGCCGGGCTCCCCGAGACCCCCAGGAGGTTTCACCTTGAACTCCCCTGAGTACAGTCCTCCGAGGAGACTGCAGAGGGTAAAGGAAGGCTGCAAGCGAGGCTCCAGGCCCCACACCCTCATCTCACCTCCGGCAGCTCCATTTTTTCCTGCTTTATAAAACAGGCCTACAAGGAAGTGTCTGTCAAAAGTTCCACAAGACCATAATCAACATACTGAAAACCAGTCTTTCATATGACATTTCAGAACACTTACATGTTAATGACCTTGATTTCAACCCTCATGAAACCCTATGAAGCAGGCATTATCACCATGGCTCCAGGTGAGCTGTTTCTGCTGGGCTGGCCAGGTCACTTCTCCCCTGACCTCAAGGCTGGCTGGAGCACCTGCCCTTTCTTGTTCCTGGACCTGTACTTCTGGGCCAGGATTTTCTACCCCACCCTCGTATTTCCACCTCAATTCACATGGAAAGGATCATCCGCTCATACCTCTTCACTCCCCTTTACCTCGTCCACCCCCCTCCCCCTCCCCAAGGAAGAAGGGCTGGCCAATCTAACCGGCCAGAGATTGCAACTGTTGCTGGCATCTGCTTCCAAGTGGGCAGATTATTAGCCTGCTGGGCCCAGGCCTACCAGCTCTTTTCTCTGTGTCCCAAGACGGCAGGAGGTTCTCTTCTGTTTCTGTCTTGGAGCAGAATAAACACCCTGGGCAGTGTCTACCCAGCCTCTAAGAGGGCCTGGCCACAGGCACTCTCTCTTGACTGAGTGGTGATGGGGGACAGCCAGGCCTTTCTCTTCTGTGCCGCTGTGTAAGTGGCTGGTCTGGAAGAACCAAACCCACTGCAGCCTTTGCTGTAAGCTTCGCTCTCCTTTCTAGACCGCCAGAGCATCACTGTGGCATCAGGGATTACTCAACTACTAATAAAGTGGTTCAATCATCCTTCATTTAGAGAAGATTCCCATTATACCCATCCCTGTCCAGTCTTTGAAATAATGACTTAGGGAAATATCTGTTCATTCAGCTGCCTCTAGCCTACATCCCAACAAAGAAAAGCTGATAAGTGAGGAAAGGACTTTGCCTTGGGAAAATCTAGGCCCTCAACAGCCACTGAGATCATCTTGCAATTAATCATGTTTCCTCTTATGACCTATATTCTATTAATAGCACACAATAATGATTTAGCGCTGGTTCTTTTGCGGATTGATGCGGTCTACAAACACGACTAAGGTTGGGTCACTGACTTTGAGGGTCTCTTTCTCATTTCCTGTACCCCCTGACCCCCGGCCCCACCGCCTCACCCTCTCCAGAAGATAGGCGTGCTAGTGTGGTGCTCTGAACACACAGCTATGAGGATTTCACTGTGCTGGGGGCCCCACGGTGGTCCTGCCTCCAGCCCAGCCTAAGTAACTCCGTGGTAGAGTGGGCTCACAGACAGACCTCTGCAGATAAGCTGCTCTGGGAAGAAAATGCTGTGTGGCCATTCCACACACAGCAGATTGGCCGAAATGCCAGGCTGACAACACCAAATGTGCTGAAGTTGTGGAGTAAGGGGAACACTCAGTCACTGCGGGTGGGGGTGGAAATGGGAACAAACATTTTGGGAGAGCTATCTGGCAACTTCTTGTAAAGATGAAGAGAGGGTAACCTCAGTGACAAACTTCACTTCACCTACTGACAGGCCCAGGGCTCCCTGCTGAGCCCCCAGACCCATGTGCGGCTGTGCAAATTCTTTCTGGGTTGAAGCACAAGGTTTTCGTTGTGATTTTACTACATGCCAGGCACTGTTTTCTGTTGTGTTTTGTTTTTTCTTTTTTATTTATTTATTTTTTTCTTGAGATGGAGTCTCGCTCTGTCACCCAGGCTGGAGTGCAGTGGCACCATCTCGGCTCACTGCAGGCTCCGCCTCCCAGGTTCAGGCAATTCTCCTGCCTCAGCCTCCCGAGTAGCTGGGACTAGAGGCACCTGCCACCACGCCCGATTTTTTTGTGTGTGTCTGTGTATTTTTAGTAGAGACGGGGTTTCACCATGTTAGCCAGGATGGTCTCAATCTCCTGACTTCGTGATCTGCCTGCCTCGACCTCCCAAAGTGCTGGGATTACAGTTTTTCTTCTTAAAGATAGGGTCTCACTCTGTCACCCAGGCTGGAGTGCAGTGGCACAATCATAGCTCACTGCAGCCTCGACCTCCTGAGCTCAAGCGATCCTCCCGCCTCAGCCTCCCGAGTAGCTGGGACTACTGGTGCATGCCACCATTCCCGGCTCTGTTTTCTGTTCTTTAACTACCAATCCATTTAAACCTCTTAATAACCTGTGAAGTAGGTTGTACTATGATCTCCATTTTTAACAGACCAGAAAACTCAAGTACAGAGAGGTACCTTGCCCAAGATCACACAGCAAGTAGACGGCACAGCCAGGAGGGATTTGAACCCAGCGGGTCTGGCTCTAGAACCACCAACAATGGTGCCTACTAAATGCAACAGTGAAGAGTATGAGCTTAGCCTTGAACTCTGTCTCCTTCCATATACAGACATCAATGTCAGATGGGTCAAAGACCTAAATGAAAAAGGAAAAATATGAACATGTCTAGAAGACAGCACAGGTGCGTATCTTCAGAACCTTGGGGAGGGCAAAGGTTTCTCATTCAGGAATTCTAGAGAAGCATTTCCCCTCTCCTCACAAAAAGGACTGGATTCATACGCGGGGTGCAGTGGCTCACGCCTGTAATCCCAGTACTTTGGGAGGCCAAGGCAGGCAGATTGCTTGAGCCCAGGAGTTAGAGACCAGCCTGGGCAACACAGCAAGACCCCATCTCTATTAAAGAAAAATAGAAAAATTACTCAGGCATGGAGATGTGCACCTGTAGCCCCAGCTACTTGGGAGGCTGAGGCAGGAAGATCACTTGAGCCCAGGAGATCAAGGCTGTAGTGAGCCATGACTGCATCACTGCATTGCAGCCTGGGTGACAGAGCAAGATTCTGTCTCCAAAAAAAAAAAAAAGGATCAGACTCATCTAACAGTCATTTTCCCCTTCACCAGTCTGCCTTTTCTCCAGCTTGGAATGCAGATATGCAGATGTGATAGCTGGATTTGAGAGAGTCCCCTTGTCCCCAGAACTACCCTGCCCAGACTAGAAGGGCTGAGTTCTCTGGGTCCAACAGCTGTCTTAAGGCCATGGCGGCAAGAGGGTCAGAGCAGTGCTGGTGTTGACCTGTCAGCCACTGAACCTGCCAGCCTCTCTCTCCAGACATTGTTATATGACACAAAGGACCGCCTATGTGTTGAGGTGACAATGTCTCTTGTGAATTCTGCTAGCTGCGGCTGAATCATTCCTAACTGAAACACCTGCTGCAGCCGGGGGCCACGTGCTGTGCCACCACCCTGGAGAGTCTGCAGAGAGCCACCAACATGGACCTGAAGGGGTCTCAGAAAGACTCAGCTAAAAGCCGGGCACGGTGGCTCACGCCTGTAATCCCAGCACTTTGGGAGGCTGAGGCAGGCAGATCACCTGAGGTCAAGAGTTTGAGACCAGCCTGGCCAACATGGCGAAACCCTGTCTCTACTAAAAATACAAAAATTAGCTGGGTGTGGTGGCACACGCCTGTAGTCCCAGCTACTCGGGAGGCTGAGACAGGAGAATTGCTTGGAGGCAGAGGTTGCAGTGAGCCAAGATAGTGCCACTGCACTCCAGCCTGGGCGACAGAGTGAGACTCCATCTCAAAAAACAAAAAAAAAACAAAAAAAACTCAGAGATGAATTGTGGGACTCAAAGATTTCCACTGAGCATGGCTGATCAGAGGCAGCTAGAAAGATGACCTGGTGCCCGAATTAATGCTTGGGGACCTGAAGAGAGAATAGCTTCTTTCTCCTTAACACACTACTAAGGGCAGCCAGGGTGACTGTCATTTTAAAGGCCAGGCCCAGCCCACTGGCACACAGGCACTGTGGTCGGCTGGCCCCAGGCTCAGGGGCTGCGGAAATCCTGCATAGCTGTGGATCCTTTTTCTTCCTGTCACCAGCCATTTGCTGGATGTGCCAACAGTTAAGCCCCTTCCTGAACGCCTATGAAAACAGCCTGTCAATGTGGTTTCGACTGTTGGGTGCTTTTCCACAAAGCACTCTCCAGACCCCAGCTAATCAGATGGAAGACAGAACAGTGGTCAATCTACCAAAATAGGTCAGGCTTTATTTTGTAATCCTCTTATTCATAACACATTGAAAGGGAAGAATGAACGGAAAAAAAAAATTACTAACAGTGAGAAAGTCTACGGTGACTTACCCTCTCTGTGCCTCAGTTTCCTCATCTCCAAAATGGGGATAATAGTAAGGGTGTTGTGAGGATTAAGTAAAAAAATTACTCCACAAAAATTGTTTAGAACAAGACTTATTATGCACTAAGTATGCATTAAGTGTGAGCTACCATTATTCTATTTATTTATATATAGAGAGAGAGAGACGGGGTCTCACTCTGTTGCCCAGGGTGGAGTGCAGTGGTGCAGTCATAGCTCACTGCAGTCTTGAACTCCTGGGCTCAGTTGATCCTCTCGTCTCAGCCTCCTGAGTAGCTGGGACTACAGGTGTGCATCACCACACCTGGGTAATGCTTTTTAAAAAAGTTTTGTGCAGATATGGTCTTGCTAAGTGGCCCAGGCTGGTCTCAAACTTGTGACCTCAGGGAATCCTCCTGCCTCAGCCTCACAAAATGCTGAGATTACAGGTGTGAGCCACCACACCTGGCCAGAGCTACCATTATTCTTATAGCTGGTGATATGGTAGGTTTCTTGAACTGATGCTCCTTGACAAGCCTCAAAATCCCACCCTCTGGTCAACCAGACACACACAGAAAGTCCGTGCTCTGATTCTGGTCACTTAAGGCTTGAAGGTCCAGGCCAATGGGCAGAAGCTGGCTATGATGGACCTGGGTACTGTGGGCAGGAAATGTATCAACTCCAGTTGCTAAGTGCCCACCCAGCAGCCATTCTTCTCTTCCTTCTCAGGATGCTCAGCTAAGACTACATTTCCCAACCTCCCTTGCAGCCAGCCTGGCCAATGCAAGGTAAATACAAGCTGTGGGACTTTGAGGAAAATTCCTCAGCAGAAACGCAAAGCTGGACTATGCTTTTGTGCCTCTCCCTCACCCTATTCCCACCTGGACTCCAGACTCACTAGCTTGACTCCAGCAGTCACACTGGGCCATGAAGCCACCTTAAGGACAAAGGCCCTGTGCTAGGGATGGTGAGCAGAAGGACCCTGCATCAAAGCACTCTGCTTTTCTTGATGACTGTGAAGCTGCCACACCAGGCACGGACTGCCTATCTCTGGATGTCTTACTCAGGACAGAAACTGCCTTCCACTGAGTTTACACCACTGTTATTTCTGGTGTCTGTTACTGGCAGCCAAATGGGCTTTTCAAATGAGCCGGTAGTCTTGCATAGCAGATGAGTGATGGGACAGTATTTTACACCAAAGAAATCCTTCTAGTAACCTGCCACTATTTAAAGTATCCTCATGCTTTAGGATGCCTTGCTCTCCTCAACACCAGGGAGAAAGCTAGAACTTCCCAGATACAGAGTGGGGTTACGATCACTTTGCCTTAGGGAGAGGTAAAGTGAGAAATATATGAGATGTTGAGTCATTCATTCAATAATGGGCACTACCTCACTCTGGACACTGTGTGGGGTAGGATGCTAGGTACGGTGAACAAAATGTACCTGCCCTCACAAAATGTACCGTCCAGACTAGGGGACCAGAGTAAAGAAGTAAGCAAACAGGTACATATATAAGTTCAGTGGTGAGAACCAGAATGAATTTAAGCCCAGAACTAAAGAAAAAGCAGAAGGAAGCTATGTGAAAAGTGGGAGTAAGGATAACCCAGAATGTCCATTAGCTGAAGAATTAACAAAATGTGGTACCTCCATACAATGGAATATTCAGCCATAAAAGGAATGAAGCAAGAATCCATGCGTGACATGGATGGGCCATGAAAACATGATGTTGAGTGAAAGCCGGTCACAAAAGACCATGGATTATACAGTTCCATTTACATGAAATGTCCAGAATGGGCGAACCCATAGAGATAGAAAGTAAATTCGTGGCTGGGTGTGGTGGCTCACGCCTGTAATCCTAGCCGAGGCGGGCAGATCACCTGAGGTCAGGAGTTTGAGACCAGCCTGGCCAACATGGTGAAACCCCGTCTCTACTAAAAATACAAAAATTTGCCAGGCGTGATGGTGCGCGCTTGTGATCCCAGCTACTCTGCAGGCTGCAGCATGAGAATCACTTGAACCTGGGAGTCGGAGGTTACCATGAGCCGAGATCATACCACTGCACTCCAGCCTGGGTGACAGAGCAAGACTCTGCCTAAAAAAAAAAAAAAAAAAAAAAAAAAGACACTCAAAGGGCTATCCAGACTGAATGATTAGATTGGTAATAAATTCTCTAAGAAAAAAAAAAAATCAGAGAATCCCAGGAGATGGAGAAGGATACATGAGTCTGTTCAAAGAAACACGCAGGGAGCCCATGTGGCTGGATGGCTGCAGCAAGGGAGGGTGTGCCTCAAGACATAGCTGGTGCTCGAGGCGCTGTGTGGCCGCAGTCAGCCACATGCTTTTTAGTGTGATGGGAAGCAGGGGAATGATATGTTCTGATTTACAGTTTTGAAAGATCCCTCTGGCTGTTTCACAGAGATTGTCAGTGTTCAAAAGAAGCAGAGAGAGGCCAGGCATGGTGGTTTATGCCTGTAATCCCAGCATTTTGGGAGGCAAGATGGGAGGATTGCTTTAGCCCAGGAATTCAAAGCCAGACTGGGCAACACTGCAAGACCCTGTCTCTACAGAAAATAAAAATAAAAAAAATCAGCCAGGCATGTGGCACATGCTTGTAGTCCAGCTACTCAGGAGGCTGAGGGCTGGAGGATCACTCGAGCCCAGGAGTTCGAGACTGCAGTAAGCTATGATGACACCACCACATTCCAGCCTGGGCAGCAGAGCAAGACTCTGTCTCAAAAGAAAAAAAAAAAAAAAAAGGAGATAGCTGTTGCTATATGGTGGTGGCCCAGGGTGAGGACAGTGGAAGGAAAGGAGAACTCTGGTGAAGATTTGTTTAGGCTCAGGAACAAACAGGCCTTGCTGGTGGACTGGCCATGGGTGTGTGGTAGAAAAGGAAGATTTAAGAATGACCTTCAGAGGGTCTCATCGGTTTTTCCAAACTGATTTTCTGCTGGATTCAAATTGAGTAAGACACAATATCAAGAACAGTTCCGCAAATGCCTGTTACATGAATTCAATAAACAAAGTCACTGCTCTATTTCTTTGAAGGGCCTATTTTTGTATTTTCAATAAAGACACGAAGTTGGGCAAGGTGGCTCACACCTGTAATCCCAGCACTTTGGGAGGCCGAGGCAGGTGGATGACCTGAGGTCAGGAGTTCAAGACCAGCCTGGCCAACATGGTGAAACCCCGTCTCTATCAAAAATGGAAAAATTAGCCAGGTGTGATCGTGTGCCCCTGTAATCTCAGCTACTCAGGAGGCTGAGGTGGGAGAATTGCTTGAACCCGGGAGCCGGAGGCTGCAGTGAGCTGAGATCACGCCACTGCACTCCAGCCTGGGTGACAGAGTGAGACTCAGTCTCAAAAAAAAAAAAAAAAAAAAAAAAAAAAGCCAGAGGAGGCAGAAAAAGAAGTATCTGGTAAGGAGCAGAAAACAATTACAAACATGACCGGTATTAACCAAATATATCGATAATCACTTTAAGGCCAGGTGTGGTGGCTCACACCTGTATTCCCAGCACTTTGGGAGGACAAGGCAGGAGGATCACTTGAGGTCAGGAGTTCAAGACCAGCCTGGCCAACATGGTGAAACCCCATCTCTACTAAAAATACAAAAGTTAGCTGAGCGTGGTGGCATGTGCCCGTAATCCCAGTTACCGGGGAGGCTGAGGCAGGAGAATTGCTTGACTCTGGGAGGCAGAGGTTGCAGTGCACCGAGACCGTGCCACTGAACTCTAGCCTCAGCGACAGAGACTCCATCTCAAAAAAGAAGACGTGAATTCACAGTATGTATACCTATATGTGTGTATGTTTCTGGTTTGAATAAATGGGTAGTTGATGATGTCATCTGCCAATATGGACCACTACCCACCAGTGGATGGCAGAAAAACAGGCACAGGTAAGGATACTGACTATGTTTTGATTCGTATATATAGTCCACTAAAAATAGAGCTGGCCTTAGAAGTGTTTTAAGTCCTAGCATGAAACGCTATTACTCCAAGTCAGGTAAGTTAAAACTGGGGTGGTAACAGAACCCTATCTCCAATTGAGTATTTGTTACTTCATGCAACAAACCCAGATGGGGCTAGCTTTATGAGTGTGTGACCCCAGAAGCTGTGAGCCCTTCCCTTGGTCTAATGCTCTGTTGCCATCTTGAAATTCTAAATCATTTTATCTTTGAACTTGTATTTTGTAAGTGAAGTCCAGGGCCAATGGAGCATGCATGTGAGCAGAAGAGATCCGAGCCACGTGTGTGCCTGTCACTCCTAGTCATGGCATCCTCATACAGTATTCCTGATCCCCTGTGAGCGCAGATTCCGGCGGACCAACGATGCATGCAAGTTCAGCAAGATTGAAAGCAAAAAGTATAAAGTAAGCATATTATCACAACTACAAGGGAGTAAGCAGGGACACTGACAGTCCCCAGAGGCCCCTCCATTAGAGCCAGGAGTTGCTTCGAACACAGCAGAAAGAAGGCAATGAAACATGAAATGCAGAAAGAAACATGAAGACCATGGAGACCTCTCACATTCTTTTTTTTTTTTTTTTTTTTTTTAACAGGATCTTGCTCTGTCACCCAGGCTGGAGAGCTGTGACCTGATCACAGCTCACTGCAACCTTGACCTCCCAGGCTCAAGTGGTCCTCCCACCACAGCTACCTGAGTAGCTGGGACCACAGGTGCACACCACCATCCCTGGCTAGTTTTTGTATATTTTGTAGTGACAGAGTTTCGCCATGTTTCCCAGGCTGGTCTCAAACTCCTGGGGTCAAGCAGTCTGCCCGCCTCAGCCTCCCAAAGTGCTGGAATTACAGGCATGAGTCACCGTACCTGGCCACATTCTTTTTTACTTGCCACACTTCCCTGAATTAGCCAACTAGGTATGCAGAACAATGACATGGAAGGCAAGAGAAAGATACGGTAACCCACAGTTCCTTTCCCTATCATTGCTTCGTCATCAGTAAGTCAAAAGTAGAATATTGGTAGAATGTGCACATGCCAAAATATGAAATGAAAACAGTTTAAGTTGGTTTTGTGCAGCGTTTCCACTATTCTGGTAAGAATGAATGACATATATACGTATAAGCCAGGAAATGCAGGCTGTGTCATTTAGTGATTCCAATGAGTGAAATGATCTGATACTTGCATTTAAATCTGGCATGGAGCTGGGCGTGGTGGCTCACACCTGTAATCCCAGCACTTTGGGAGGCTGAGGCAGAAGGATCACTTGAGGCCAGGAGTTTTGAGACCAGACTGGGCAACACAGTCAGATCATATCTCAACCAAAAATCTTTAAAAATTAGCTGGGCTGCCAGGCACGGTGGCTCACACCTGTAATCCCAGCACTTTGGGAGGCCGAGGTGGGTGGATCATGAGGTCAGGAGATCGAGACCATCCTGGCTAACACAGTGAAACCCCGTCTCTACTACAAATACAAAAAATTAGCCAGGCGTGGTGGCAGGCACCTGTAGTCCCAGCTACTCGGGAGGCTGAGGCAGGAAAATGGCGTGAACCTGGGAGGCAGAGCTTGCAGTGAGCCGAGATTGCGCCACTGCACTCCAGCCTGGGCGACAGAGCAAGGCTCCGTCTCAAAAAAAAAAAAAAATTAGCCGGGGGAGGATCGCTTGAGCCCAGGAGGTTGAAGCTGAAGTGAGCTATGATTGTACCACTGCACTCCAGCCTAGGCAACAGAGCAAGACCCTCTTATTTAAAAAAAAAAAAAAAAAAAAAAAAGAATGTGGTGTGAGAAGCATTCCATCGGGTGGCTCTGTGTGCTGAGCTTGGGGTGGACGTGAATTAAGTTGTTGCCTGTGCTTTCTGCCCCCAGAACCTTCAGCTGGAACACAGCCCGAGATCTGATGTCCTGACTTCAACATTTCTGTAATTCCTCTGTGCTGGTCTCATGAGTGGCAGATTTGGTGGTGCTGCACGCTTCACGGCTCACCAAACTCCGCTTAGTTCATCCCACCAAGTGACTGGGAAATCAGTCAGATTGCCTGCCATGGTCAGTGAGAAGTGATTCTCACCATGGCACCTGGCACCCAGGAACAGGCTGGTCTCTCCTAGCCTGACAGAGGCCCAGGTGAGCATTTACCAGCACGAATGCCATGGGCTCTCCACCTGTGGCTGGGTGGAGGATGCTCGCAGACAGGCCTCTAATAATGACCAGTGGGTGAAGTTTACTCTGACCACAAGTAAGGATCCTGGCAAGGTCTCCCAGGCAGAATGCCGGGCTGAGCAGGCCATGTGACGTGGAAGAGAATGAAGTAGATACCCACTGTCCCCAACAAAATGACAATGACTTTTGTCGCTGTATTTTACATCAACAGGATCTTATCAAATTTACTTCTCTGAATCTTGCTTTCCCTTAAATACATCGCAGAAATGCCTCCAGGCCAGCAAGCAGTGCTCCTACCCACTCTTCTTAGCAGCTGATAGGCCAAGAGTACAGATGTGCCATATTTTATTCAATCATTCCCTGAAAAATGGGCATTTGTTTTATTTCCAGGGTTTTTTGTTTTGCCACTGCAAACAATGCTGCAATAAATATCCTTTTCTACTCAGGCTATTTGTTTTTTTCTTCTGCATGGTAGATTCTCAGGAGTTGCAGTGCTGGGTCAAAGGCTGTTTATGAAAAATTACATGGTTACATTTCGGAATGGTTTCCAGGTGAAGGTGCAGAACTGCACATATAATACATGCTTGTTTTTGTATTGAGCATCTCATCTCTGGAAGAACATGTGTGACATGGGTGTCCTCACAGGAGGGGACTGGGAGATCGTAAGTAGGGGAAGAAGACTATTGTATACCTTCTTTGTACCATTTGAATGTTTTATCACACGCATGTACTGGCTCATAAAACTTTTTTTTTTCAGCCCATGCTCTAAAAAGGCTGCAGTGATTCACATGTCCTCCAGCAACTTGGGAGGGTACTCAGTTGAGCTCATTAATCCTCTATATTTTTCTCCTTCAGGTCGTTCTTTGCTTTTTGGACCTGGTACGAGCTGAAATGTGTCAACTTTTACCTTCTTGTAATCTGTGACACCTATTCTACAGCCCTTGGGTAGGCAGAAGGCAAACTCTCAGAGATGCTAATTTGGACAAGTGGCCTGGCCCAGCACCTGCTAGCAGCGCCAGAGAGAAACTCGGAGCAGGAGGCAACGGGAGCTCAGAGGTCATGCTGTTTTAAACTCACACTGACCAAGCTGCCCTCACTGGCTGAGTGGACTAGAGTCCCCCAGATGCCCAAAGCCCCTCAGAAAGGGTAAAGGAGGCCTGCAGCACTGGCCACTGCCTGTGGGACCTGCACTCTCAAGAACAAGGCCAGAAACAAGACACAGAAGGGAACAGGGGACAAAGATGGTAGAAGAATCAAGTTCATACAAACAAGAGGCCTCTCGTTTACTTCCTGCAGGTCCAGCCTCCTTGTGAGGCTGGCCCAGAACCAAAGGCCACACCAGCCACTGCTTTCAATCCCCAGGAAAACAAAGCTGACCTAAATGCAGACAGCAAGGGCCCGAGAATGGCAGGATATCCAATGTGATGCATCTGCCGCTGCAACATTAGCTGAAACTCTGGACTCACCTGGGGAGGAGAGAGGATGGGGGGTGGGGGGAATGGACTTGGCCAGATGAGAAAGCAGCTCTGGAGAAGACGGGGGATGGAGGACATGAAAGAATCTCAAAATGGGCAGCAACTCCACATGCTTCGGGTAGTGGATTGAGGTTGGATGCTGCTGTTCCACAGCCCAGGAGACAGTTCTGCCCCTCACCCCACACTCTGGCCTGAGCTGGGCTGGGAGCAGGGGAGGTTCCCTGTACAGCACCAGAACAGGGCCCCAGCCTTTACTTAGATGCTTCCCTCCACCTGAAATGCCCTTGCCCTTCATCCCTTAAGACTCACGGTAGCTCACACCTGTAATCCCAGGGCTTTGGGACACTGAGGTGGGAGGAACGCTTGAGGTCAGGAGTTCGAAATCAGCCTGGGCAACATAGTGAGACCCCCATCTCTACCAAAAAAAAAATATCAGCTGGACATGGGGGCATGCACCTGTGGTCCCAGCTATCCAGGAGGCTGAGGGTGCTTGAGCCAGGAGCCGGGAAGGTCGAGGCTGCAGCAAGCCGAGATCACATCACTGCACTCCAGCCTGGGTGACAGAGCAAGACCCTGTCTCAAAAAAAAAAAAAAAGACACAGCCCAGCAAGGATGTGCATTCATGCATGTTGGGAGACACAGGAGACAACCTGTGTGTCTGTCAGCAGGGATCCAGCAATGATGCAGACACATGGGAGAATCCTTCCTGTCCCTCCTTCCCTCATCCTCCACAGCAAGGCCATCAGCAAACTCTGTTGCCACTACCTCCAAAATACATCCTGAATTCATTTCCTTTCTTTCTCCCTCCCAGGCCAAGCCACCACCATCATCTTTCATCCTAACAACTTCATGAGATCCCTCTCTGGCCTCCCCAGGCCACCTTTGCCTTCCTACATTCTATTCTCCACCCACAGCCAGAAGGATTACATCAAACAGGGATCACCTCCAGCTGCTTTCCAGCTTAAAGTTCTTCAACATATCTTGGGCCTCATCATCTTCCCCCATCACCCAAATGCTCCCGCCACACTGGCTGCCTTGACCTTCCAATTTCATGCTTGCCCTGGGGCCTTTGCACGTGTGGCTCTAGCTATTCTCAAGGCAGGCTTCCCCAGGGAGGTCTTCCCTGACCACCCAGATCAGGGGGCCCCTACTTCAATCTACTTTTATTGCTTACAGAGCAGTAAGCATGACTGCTGTTTTTCTTTTTTCAAGACAGGGTCTCACTCCACTGTTCGGGCTGGAGTGAAGTGGTGCAATCATGGCTCACTGCAGCCTGGACCTCCGGGGCTCAAGTGATTCCCCCACCTTAGCCTCCCAAGTAGCTGGGACTACAGGCGCACATCACCATGCCTGGTTAATTTTTGTTATTTTTTGTAGAGAGGGGGTTTCACCATGTTGCCCAGGCTAGTCTTGAACTCCTGGGCTCAAGCGATCCTCCCACCTCGGCCTCCCAAAGTGTTGGCATTACAGGTGTGAGCCACTAGGCCCGACCCACTGATTGCTTTATTATGTCTTGCTGATGAATATATGAACTCTATGGGTACAGGGCTCTCACCTTGTTCACAATGGATACCTAGACTGTTGAAGACTGCTGCCACTCACAAGAAAGTATCTGCTAAATAAATGTTCTAGCAGCTCTAAGAAAAAATAAGATATATCTGCGCACATCCATGTCTTCTCAGTGAATAAAGAAACAAACTGTGTAAGGAGAGACGTTTCTGTGTGCATAGAAAGAGACCCTGTTTGTTGGTCATTGCCATGAGTTGTACCCTGGGTTCAGCACAATCTTGATGAATACTCACAACCATCCTTGGAAGAAGGTTGTGTTATTATTACCCCTATATTACAGGGGAGAACATGAGGCTCAGAGTCACTTACTCAAGGTCACACAGTGGGTAACAGTAGAGGTGAGGCTCCATCCAGGCAGCCTGACTCCAGAGTGTGTACATTCTTTTTTGTTTTGTTTTGTTTTTTAGACAGAGTTTCGCTCTTGTTGCCCGGGCTGGAGTGCAATGGTGCGATCTCGGCTCACTGCAACCTCCACCTCCTGGGTTCAAGCGATTCTCCTGCCTCAGCCTCCCGAGTTGCTGGGATTACAGGTGCCTGCCACCACGCCCAGCTAATTTTGTTATTTTTAGTAGAGACAGGGTTTCGCCATGTTGGCCAGGCTGGTCTTGAACTCCTGACCTCAGGTGATCCACCTGCCTCAGCCTCCCAAAGTGCTGGGATTACAAGAGTGAGCCACCGTGCCCAGACCCTTTTTTTTTTTTTTTAATTTTGAGAGACAGGTTCTCTGTCACCTTGGTTGGAGTGCAGTGACTTGATTTTAGCTTACTATAGCCTCAAACTCCTGGACTACAGTGATCCTCCCACTTCAGCCTCCTAAAGGGCTGGGGTTATAAGCGTGAGCCAACATGCCCAGCTCATTTAAAAAATTTTTATGTTCAGTAGAGACAGAGTCTCCTTATATTGCCCAGGCTGGTCTCAAACTCCTGGGCTCAAGCAATCCTCCTGCCTCGGCTTCCTCAAGTGCTGAGATCACAGGCCTGTGTTCTTAATAGCTCTACTAACAGCAGTTGCTGCTGGGAGGGGGTCTGGAGGGAGAGGGCTGAGCAGGGTTATAGACGTCAGTATAAGACATAATTAAGAGAGATAGGGAGTGTCAGAGATGAATGGAGAGAGATGGAAACCAATCTCAACAGGAAACAGAAGTTTGATCTCTTGTGTGGCAAACACCTGTGAGAAACAAGCAGCAGGCTCTCCACCCACCTTCCTCCAACCCACCAAAGCCTCATGCTGGACAGCAGGGCTTTGCGACATGATTAACCATCCATATCACGCCGTCATAGAAAACCAGACCCTGTCCTCCTGGTCACTGGGAAAATCCCCAAAGCAGATGGGGAAGCAGTGTGGCAACGAGGCCAGGGAGCGCCATCTTGGTGGTCAGCTAGAGCCAGAATCAAATCACAGGTCTGCGGCTTAGCATCCTGTGGACGTGTGGCTGGTTACCAGCCCATTCAGAATCCCAAGCCTCCTCATCAGTAACATGGTGGGAGGAGTAATATCCACTCTCAATAGGGCTGTTGAGAGGGTTAAATGAGGTAACAGCAATTGAACGGTTGGAAAAGTAACTGGCACAGAAGGACCCTCAAAAGCACACTGGCAAAGATGTTATTACAACGGAAATACTGAAGAAATAAACAACATCCTCGACTCCTCATGTCTGAGGAGGTCTCTTGGGCAAATTGGACTCTGATAAGATTAAGCACACAGCCTAAGTGAGGGGTCCCTCCAGAGGAGAGTGCCTCCACACTGGAAATTTCCTTCTCTCTCTACCTATTCTCCATGGAATAATAGCCCAGAATAGGGCTGGGCGCGGTGGCTCATCCCTGTAATCCTAGCACTTCGGGAGGCCAAGGCGGGTAGATCACAAGGTCAGGAGTTCGAGACCAGCCTGACCAACGTGGTGAAACCCCGTCTCTATTAGCCGGGCATGGTGGCAGGCACCTGTAATCCCAGCTACTCAGGAGACTGAGGCAGGAGAATCACTTGAACCCGGGAGGCGGAGGTTGCAGTGAGCCGAGATCATGCCATTGTACTCCAGCCTGGGTGACAGAGCAAGACTCCTCTCAAAACCAAACAAACGAAAACAAAAAAAAACCAGGCCAGAACAAGGGTCGCTCAAGCAAGAAGGAGAGATGGACCCCAGACAGCTGGAGAAATTTTGTGGTGCAGGCATGCTCCTCAGTGCTTCACAGGCAGGACCCAGCAGAAGAGACCCAGCTAGTATTCCTAGCTCTCAAGGTGGCTTTGAAAAAGGAATGTGGCCAGGCATGGTGGCTCATGCCTGTAATCTCAGCACTTTGAGAGGCTGAGCTGGGGAGATTGCTTGAGGCCAGGAGTTCGAGACCAGCCTGGGCAACATAGGGAGACCCTGTCTCTACCAAAAAATTTTTAAAAATTAGCTAGGCCTGGTGGCATGCACCTGTAGTCACAGCTACTCAAGAGGCTGAGGCAGGAGGATTTCTTGGGCCCAGGAGTTCAAGGCTGCAGCGAGCTATGATCCCATCATTGTACTTCTGTCTCTAAGGGGAAAAAAAAGAAAGGAAAAGGAATGGGGGTAAAGGGAGAATTTTAACAGCTTAAAAGGTAGCCTAGCCAGGAGCGGTGGCTCACGTCTGCAATCCCAGCACTTTGGGAGGCTGAGGTGGGTGGATCACCTGAGGTCAGGAGTTCAAGACCAGCCTGACCAATATGGTGAAACCGTGTCTCTACTAAAAATACAAAAAATTAGCTGGGCATGGTGGCAGGTGCCTGTAGTCCCAGCTATTAGGGAGGCTGAGACAGGAGAATTGCTTGAACCCGGGAGGCAGAGGTTGCAGTAAGCTGAGATTGCACCACTGCACTCCAGCCTGGCAGACAGAGCAAGACTCCATCTCAAAAAAAAAAAAAAAAAAAAAAAAAAAAGCAGCCTATGGTGATTTCTCACCTCTTCCCCAGTCAGAACACCAGTGGGCTTTGCAGTTTGTTCTTCATTTCTTAGAGTCCATGAAAAGAGGGCAAGGCCTCTGGGGGCCTGAGGTCCGCATCTGCAATAGGAGGATAACATTCAGTCTTCAGACGCACTCACATTCATTCAACATGCACTCATGAAGCAACTGCTATGGGCCAGGCACTGCTCTAGACGCTGGGGATACAGAAAGGAACAAAGACAAAGATCCCTGCCTTCACGGAGCTCACATTCCAAGGAGGATGGTGTAGAAAGCAAATATAGAACATCAGACCGTGATAAACACCATGAAGAAAAATAAAGCAGAAGACAGCGACAGGGAGGGCCATTTTAGACAGGGTGCTGAGGAAGGCCGCTCAGAGATGGTGTCTCAGAGATCTCAATAAAGTAACTAAATCATACATGCACACACATGCACACACACACCAAGATACTTACACACATGTAGCCAAGAACACAGTGCCTGGTATGGAAAATGAAGGTGATCTAATTTGACAGTTAAGAGTGCTCTAACAGGGTATGCTTAAGTTAAGCAAAAAAAGGTAGAAGAAGAATTAATAATAATAATAATAATAATAAATAATGAAGAGTGCTCCAGGGCTGACTGGCATTGGAATCTTCACAAAACCTATATTCTCCTCACATTTTCCAAAATCCCCCCTCCCCCGGGCAATTACAAATACAATATTTGTTTTTTTCTTTTCTTTCTTTTTTTTTTTTTTTGAGACAGAGTTTCACTTTTGCACTGCACTGGAGTGCAATGGCGTGATCTCGGCTCACCGCAACCTCCGCCTCCCGGGTTCACGCCATTCTCCTGCCTCAGCCTCCAGAGTAGCTGGGATTACAGGTGCGTGCCATCACGCCTGGCTAATTTTTGTATTTTTAGTAGAGACAGGGTTTCACCATGTTGGCCAGGCTGGTCTCGAACTCCTGACCTCAAATGATCCGTCTGCCTTGGTCTCCCAAAGTGCTGAGATTACAGGCGTCAGCCACCGTGCCCAGCCAATTTTTGTACTTTTAGTAGAGACAGGGTTTCACCACATTGGCCGGGCTGGTCTTGAACTCCTGACCTCAAATGATCCGTCTGCCTTGGTCTCCCAAAGTGCTGGGGTTATAGGCGGGAGCCATCGCGTTCTTTTCGTTTTCCTGCTTAGCAGCACCACAGACACGGAAGGCCCCTCTTATCAGGGCCTTACTCTACCTTCCCGGCCGCATGGTATTCCGCTGCACAGACAAACCCGACTGATTCCTCTAGTGCCTTATTAAGGCACACACAAGCCATTTCCCCTTTTCTGCTCTGACAAACACTGCTGTAATGAATAACCTTGGACAAAGATCACTTCTCACACTTGGGAACATGTGTAGGTGAAGCTTCCTAGAAGTGGAGCTGCCGGGGTGAAAGGTGGGTGTGTGCCCGGTCATACTCACAGGAATGGCCAGAGTCCCCTCCAAAGCGACAGTTCTGCTTTCCCTCCCACTAGCTCCGGAGAAGCCTGGATGCCCCCCGCACCACTGCCCACAGCATGTGCGCACGCCTTGTGCTCTTGCCCTTCTGAGAGGTGCGAAGTAGTATCTCGGCATGATTTTAATTGGCATTTCTCTTATTACGCCCAGAGTCAGGTATCTTTCCATGTGTCTGAGACGCATTTCCTGTTTCTACAGATGCTGCCCATGTCAGTGTGGGGGACTGTCATCTCCCTGGAGAGTATTCTCATGCCAATATTCAAAGCCCTCCTACCTTTCTTGCCCTCTTCCCTCTCTTAACGTGCCCCACTCCCTAGAAGGTAAAAGGCGTGATGCCCCACACCCTGCAAAGCCTGCAAGGTCAAGCATGATTGGCCCTGTCTGCTTCTTGCACCTTCTACTGCTCCATCCCCACCTCACTCATGCTGCTTCTAGGTTCGGGCCTTTCAGTTCTTCGAGACTGGCTCTACCCCACCTCAGGCTCTTTTTATATACAGTCCCCAACCCCTACCCTGGACTCACCCCTGCCACCACCACTCCCCTAGACCAGCAAACTTTGACTGATGCTCTCAGCCCCAGCATCACCTCCCCAACTAGTTACATGATGTCTTGGCACCCAGTTTTTTCCTCCACCATTCACCGCCTGTTTATCTGGGTGCTTTTATTTTTCTTTGAGACAGCGTCTCACTCTGTCGCCCAGGCTTGCAGTGCAGTGGTGGGATCATAGCTCAACCTCGGGGGCTTAAGCAATCTTCCCCCCTCAGCCTCCCAAGTAGCTGGGACCACAGGTGCACACTAAAATGCCCAGCTAATTTTTGTATTGTTTGTAGAGATGGGGTTTCAGCATGTTGTCCAGGCTGGTCTCGAACTCCTGGCCTGCAGCAGTCTGCCCACCTCAGCCTCCCACAGTGCCAGGATTCCTAGCTGAGTGACAGGCAAGTCACTGTGCTCCGCTTTCCCTTTCTCCTTATGTCACTATTATCACTTCATTCATTCCCTTAGCAAAGTTTAGTAAGGAGCATATTTGGTGGAAAGGGTCATACCTTTAACAAAACAGATTTGGTTCCTGCCTTTATGGAGCTGACATTAAGGGGAGGGGGAAGCCCTGATCAGGTCAGATGAGTAGCTCAGGGAAGAAGGGCGGGGTGGGCTTCGGAGCAACCCCCTGGGAGTGTGTTGAAGGAGACATCTGAAGGAGGAGTCGGCATCAGCCAGGCCAGAAGGGCAGGGGTAGTGGGCAGCACGGTGGGAGAACCAAGAAAGCAGCCCAGGAGCAAGGCGAAGACATGGTGCATTCAAGGAAGGCAGGCCCAGCAGCTGGAGCGCAGTGCACAGGGATCTGCAGGATGAGGCGGGAGTGGGGGCGGGTGGCAGGCAGGGGCCAGAGCAAGCAGGGTCTGGGGGGCCACACTGAAGAGCTGGCCTTCCTGTAGAGAGTTGCAATGAGGTTTTAGTGTCACTACAGTCAAGAAGTGTGGCCCAATTGCTGTCCTTTGGCATCCTGCTTAAATGATTCCAGCTTAGAGGTCCTATGAAGATGTTATAGTAGGCACGTGGCAGGGGACAGAGGGAGCAATGACTTCATCCCTGCCTGTAGCTGATTGGCCGGGGGTGGGTGGGGGACATCTGACTCAGCTGAGCCTGTCAAAAGAACCCTTTCCTCGGCCCCGGTTAGTCCGGAGGGAGACATCCTCCACTCCTCGGGTTGTTTTGGACTCGGGCTGAGAGAACATGCGGTGACTCTCTCTGGGGGCCTGTACTGAAACGTGTATTGCTCAGCAGTCTGTGATGGCCAGGCTTCCTGTCCAGTAGAATACAAAGCAGAAAGACAGACTGAATATAAGAGAATGAATAACGCAGATCTAGAGGTGGGGAGTGAACAAGTGAGGAAGAGAATGCAGATACAGTGGCATGTGTGTCCTGGTTCCAATCCCAGCACCCAGCCCGCCCTTCCTCTATGGCAGGTTTTGCAACCAGCCTGCTAGTGTGAGCTCACCCCTCTTATTAGTGATTGGTTCGGGGAAGATCACATGACCAGTGCTAGTCCAATCAGACAGGAGCTCTGAGGTTTTGCATGATAGTTCGGGACAGATACCTTCTTTTTCTTTCAGGACAGGGATAAGGACACAAGCCTGAGCGGGTCCTGGCAGCTGGTGTGCAACTTTCAGGGGAGCCACGTTTGAGGATGACACTGACATCAGAGGGAACAATAAAGAGACAGAAGGAAAATGGGTCACTGGCAATAGCCCCAGGCTCCTGGACCAGCCAGCCCAGACATCTGCCCCACCTCTGGGCTTTCCAGTTGAATGAGCCAATCCTTTCCCCTAAAATTTATGTCTATTTGAGTTGGTGTTTTTGTTACTTGCAACCAAGTAACTGACTGGTCCTGAGGCTTTCTTCAGGTCTCTGGGCCGCCCCAGGAGCCTCTGGTTAAATGCCCACTTTTTGCCTAAATTGCTGCAGTACAGGAATTTGGCCAATGACTCAACTTGCCGAACTTGCCCACCGCCTCCCCAGCTCTAGAATGGGGATAATTATATACACTTGATTGAGCTGTTAAATGGATTAAAAGTGATTTAAAGACTGTCTAGCACACTGTAAATTCTCAACACGTTAGCAATTACTATTCGAAAGCACTGAAGGGTAGCTGAAAAGTCCCAATCCCAGTGAGCAATCAGCCACATCCCTCCCCTGTCTTGTTTGTAGTTCCTTTGTTCAGGTCAACAAGTCCCCTCCTCACAAACAGTCCCAGAGAACAGCTAACCCAGTTTCTGTCAGAAGGGTGGCAAATCTGGCCTGGGGGTGGGGGTGGGGGATGGATCTGAAATGAAAGAGATTTGACTCAACTTCCCGGTTGCTGGGTGGCGGAGGAAGCCCTCATGAGCTCATTTCTCTACCAAATACAAGCTGGGGTCTAAAGTTTCAAAACACAGGCTGGGGCACGCTGGCACAGTCCCGAGAGAGGACAAAGGAAAGAGGCGGGATGGAAGAGAAACCGCCACATGGCAGGTTCCACAACGAGCTCTCTCGGGAGGAGGCTCCTGGGCTGGATTCCAGCCACATCCGTTCTCTGGGCAGCTACGAGGCAGCAGGAAAAAGGGACCCTGCCACGTCTGTATTTACAGCTGGGAACTGGCGGTGGCACGGGAAACTCGGAAATAAACTCAAGTCAGGAAGTGAGAGGTGCAAGCTGCTTCCATAGCAACGCCCATCTGGGGATCCCTGCCCACAGCCGGAATCATTCAGAAGTGGGGCTTATCTAGAGACATACACCAAATTCACGTTTTCCATTTGCACCCAGAAAATGACACTTAAACTATACTTCCTTGGGGAGCCTCTGTGAATCTCCCTGTACTACAGCTTGAAAAATCCCATTCTTCTTCAGAGCACGCAGAACACAGTACTTATCCATATGGCTCTGCGGTTCTTGTGTTTTCTCCCTGGCTGTGGGCTCCACCAGGGAGGAGCTGTGCCTGCCTTGCTCATTGGTGCCTGGCCCAGAGTAGGGTCTTCAGTTGATGTTTACTGAATAAACTCTCCTGTTTTCAGTCTTATTTTTATTTTATCTTTTGAGATGGAATCTCACTCTGTTGCCCAGGCTGGAGTGTGTGAACTCGGCTCACTGCAACCTCCACCTCCTGGGTTCAAGCCATTCTCATGCCTCAGCTTCCCGAGTAGCTGAGACTACAGCAGCATGCCACCACGCCTGGCTAATTTTTTTGTATTTTTAGTAGAGATCGGGTTTCACCACATTGGCCAGGCTGGTCTCGAACTCCTGGCTTCAAGTGATCCACCTGTCTTGGCTCCCAAAGTGCTGGGATTACAGGCATGAGCCACTGTGCCCTGCCAGCACACCAGTGTTAACAGCAGCATTATTCACTATAGCCAAAAGGTAGAAGCATCCCAAGTGTCCATCAACAGATAAATAGATAAGCAAAATGTGAGATATATATATATACATATAAATTTTTTTTTTTTTTTTTTTTTTTTTTTGAGATGGAGTCTCGCTCTGTCACCAGGCTGGAGTGCAGTGGCGTGATCTCAGCTCACTGCAACCTCCGCCTCCCAGGTTCAAGCGATTCTCCTGCCTCCTGGGATTACAGGCGCACGCCACCACTCCCAGCTAATTTTTGTATTTTTAGTACCGACAGGGTTTCACCATGTTGGCCAGGATGGTCTCAATCTGTTGACCTTGTGATCCGCCCGCCTCAGACTCCCAAAGTGCTGGGATTACAGGTGTGAGCCACCGCACCTGGCCACAAAATGTGATATATACATATCATTATTATTTAGCCTTAAATATGAATTGGAATATTATTTAGCCTCATAAAGGAAGGAAATTCTGATATATACAACATGAATGAACCTTAAAGACATGATACTAAATAAAATATGCCAGCCACAAAAGGACAAATACCGGATGATTCCACTCATAGGAGACACTTACATTCGTCAATCTCATAGAGACAGAAAATAGAAAGGTGGCTTCCAGGGACTGGGGTCTTGGGGATGGAGAATATTGTTTTTCAGAGACAGAGTTTCAGTTTACAAGATGAAAAATGTTCTGTGGATGGATGATGATGGATGCACAACCATGTGCATGTACTGAATGCCACTGAACTGCACACGTAAGGTACATTTTTTTGGTAACTATATCTATCAGTAATGTAACTGGGCATAATAAAATTTCAGAAAATTAAACACTTGACTTCTAGGTTACTAAATGAGTTGTGCATATTTTCTTTTTTACAGTTTCCTTAAAGGTATAACTGACAAATAAAAACTGTTCATACTTAAGGTGGACAACTTGTATATACATATACATTGTGACAAAATCACCACAATCAAGCTAAAGCTAATTATAAAATATAAAAAAAATTTGTTATGTATATTGTGCCACAATAAAAGTTTTAAATGGTTAATTTTGTGTTATGTACATTTTATCATATTTTATCATAATAAAAAAGTACTAAAAAACTGCAGGGCCAGGCACGGTGGCTCATGCCTGTGATCCCAGCACTTGGGGAGGCCAAGGCGGCAGGATTGCTTTGAGCCCAGGAATTTGAGACCAGCCTGGGCAACATAGCAAGACCCAGTCTCTACGAATAATAAAAACCATTAACCAGGCATGGTGGCACATGCCTGTGGTCATAGCTATTTGGGAGGCTGAGGCAAGAGGATCACCTGAGCTAAGAGGCTGAGGCTGAAGTGAGCTATGATTGTTCCCACTGCACTCCAGCCTGGGCAACAGGGCAAGACCCTGTCTCAGAATTTTTTTTTTAAGTTTTAAAAAATGTGGTTCTTTTGCAAGATCAGAAGAACCACAAAAGAATTAGAGTTCTTTCATCTCAAGAGAAAGGTGGGAGAGAAGATAAATATCTAGAACAAGTCTGGGCAGGCGGAAGAATGGAGTTTGAGGGATCATCTTTGATATCAAGAACTTTCTAGGTAGAAATTTAATAGGCCTCAAGTACACCTTAAGGAAGGGTGGGGTGCAAACGTCTCTGGACACTCAAACATTAAGCAGAGAGCTTTATTCTGAAGTAACTCCACCCAACCTCCCCAGAAGCCAAGCTCACATGATTCCTTAACTTTTTAACATTTTTCCTGTTTATGAAAGTAGTATATATATATGTGATATATATGTGATATATATATATGTGTGATATATGTGTGATATATGTGTGTGATATATATGTGTATATGATTGATGTGTTATATATATGTGTGTTATATATGTTATATATGTGTTATATGTGTGTTATATGTTATATATGTTATATATATGTTATATATATGTTATATATATATATATAACATATATATATATATAAAAAACTTGGAACATAAATGTACAAAGAAGATTATAGAGTTACTCATTCTCTCCCCACCAAAGGGCAACCACTGTTAAGACATTGGTTCATTTCCTTCCAGTCTTTTTTTTCCCAGCATGTATATAGAGAAGTGGGGAAGAGACATTTTCTCTCTTTAAAGTCTTTTGCATGACCAAGCATGAGGAGGAAAAAAAAAAAAAAAGTCTTTTGCCCCTGCTTTCCTAGGAGATTTTGAACATCGAGTGAAAAATAACATTTTTCAACGATGAAATTAAGCCTATTTCCTCAAACCATGGACTGCTGGGGAGAAAAGTGCTTCCCTCTTCCTCTCCTCTAATTTCTGCTTCCATCTGAACCACTATTTATAAACCGAGGTTCTTTTTTTTTTTTTTTTTTTTTTGAGACAGAGTCTCACTCTGTGCACTCTGTTGCCCAGGCTGGAATGCAGTAGCGTGATCTAGGCTCACTGAAACCTCCGCCTCCTGGGTTCAAGCGATTCTCCTGCCTCAGCCTCCAGAGTAGCTGGGATTATAGGCACCCACCACCACGCCCAGCTAATTTTTTTAATTTTTAGTAGAGACAGGGTTTCACCATGTTGGCCAGGCTGGTGTCAAACTCCTGACCTCAGGTGATCCACCCGTCTCGGCCTCCCAAAGTGCTGGGATTACAGGTGTGAGCCACCACACCTAGCTGACCAAAGGTTCTTAATCCTAACTGTGCATGCCCATTACAACAGGATATGATAATACTGTCATAGCCACTATTAATTGAGGAACTACTACAGAAGAGGCAGTTTCAAACACTTAAAAAACAGTATCTAATTTAATCCTTAAATCCTACGAGGCAGGTACTATCATCATTTTACAAATGAGCAAACTGAGGCACAGAGAGGTTACGCAACTTTCTCAAGGTCACAAGTGTTAGTGGGGGTGGTGGGATTTGAATCCAGGGCATCTGGCCCCAGGTACCTTCTTTCCCCTGGTCCACACTGTTCAAGACCCTGGCAATCATGACCAACTATAAGCTTCATTCAGGGCTAGGTTCCCAGTGTCCCTATCGCCAGGTTTGTCATGATTTTTCATACTCCTCTCCAGACTCATCCTGTTTCCTAAAGGAAATGAGAAATTGCTGGAATTCAGCAGAAGTGAGACAGCCGGAAGCTACAGCTGACCACACGCACACGTGGGTCTCCCACTGGGCTACCCAAGAAACATTCTTAAACGATGACCTTTCTGGAGCAACCAGGGGTCAGTTCCTGGGTGGATCGCCCGCCCGGACTGAGACCCACCCAGTGCCAGATGGACTGCGGAAGCCCCTCCCTAACGTCCACAGGCAGCGGAATGAAGAGCACGTTCAGCGCTGGAAAACCCAGCCCACCACTCACTTCCATGTGCAACTAGAGAGAAGGCTGGGGCGGTTGCCTGTTTAACAAGGATGGGCAAGACTGCTCATGTGCGTCCAGGAGCGGGGCTGGAGTTAATATTTAGTCATTGTGGAAGATTGGCCAGTTACGTTTTTGCCGTCATCACACAGGTCCCTGGAGAAGAGCAGCTTGTGGCTCCCTCCACCCCATGGTAAAACCAGGCCCAGCAGTGAAAGGGATCCCAGGAGTCAGTCACTGGGGGGTTTGGTCTCCTCCTCCTCAGCAGGAAAGAGATGAGAAATTGATGCTTTGGCCTGAAATCCACTATCTGTCCAGTTGCTGAACCAGAAAAGGTCTCCTCACAAAGGGGATGAACGAAGAACTGCAAGGTGGTCATTTACCCATCGCCACCCTGGCTCAGGACCTTCCCAACTGTCTGTGGGCAGCAGGATCGCAGTGCTTTTCATGGTCACACAATTTTTAGTCTTTGTGTGTGTGTGGGTGTGTGTGTGTGTGTGTGTGTGTGTGTGTGTGATAGATAGGGCTGGTTTTTGTTCTGTTAACATGCTAAAAAAAAGTAGGGAGTAAGGTACAATGAACTCCCTTGTACCCAAACCTAGATTCAAAAATTGTCAAGATTCTGCCATATTAGCTTCATCTATTCTTTATTTCTTCCTTTTCCCCCCTTTTCCTTCTTACCAAAGTATTTTATTGTATTTATTTACTTTTGGACAGGGTCTCACTCTGTCTTCCAGGCTGCTACAGTGGTGTGATCTTGGCTCACTGCAGCCTCAACCTCCCAGGCTCAAGTGATCCTCCTGCCTCAGCCTCCTGAGTAGCTAGGACCACAGGCATATCCCACCATGTCTGGTTAATTAATTTATTTTTACTTTTAGTAGAGATGAGGTCTTGCTATGTTGCGCAGGCTGATCTCCAACTCCTGAGCTCAAGCAATCCTCCCACCTTGGTCTCCCAAAGTGCCGGGAATACACATGTGTGGCACCACACCCGGCCTGAAGTATTTTAAAGCAAATGCCGGATATCATGTCATTTCAACTTTATGCGTTTCGGTTTGCAGCTCTGAAAAACATGGACATTTTCTTACATGTCCATAATATTAGGCTGGTTCCATTACCAATCAAAATTACTATGTCCTACCACATACTCCTGGAAAAAATTACTATGAATTCTTTCCTAGAAGATAAGACACAGGGCTGGCTGAGGAACAGGGAAATGGGTCATCTCAGCCTGCAGTAACAGAGTAATGCTTTTCTGGAGGGACTCTAGGCGATACAAATCCAAAAAGGTTTAACAAGCCGTGAGTCGCTTCTGACTCAGATTTTCCATTCATGCACTCATCAAAAGAATATTTACTGATGTCTACCATGTGCCTGGCAGTGCCCTAAGCATTCTTCTCTCTGGTACAGATGTGGAAACTAAGGCACAGAGAGGTAAAGCTACTTGCCCAAGGTTATCTAGCTCTTACCAGCTGGGGCTGGGATTTGAATCCAAGCAGCCCAAGTTTAAATGGCAACACCAGGTCCTGGCAAGGTGCCATTTGGGGCCTTCTACCAATTGGGAGACCAGTGCTCTAGGTTCCAAAGAGCACTCTCTCTCTCTCTTTTTCTTTTCTTTTTTTTTTTTTTTTTGAGATGGAGTCTCGCTCTGTCGTCAGGCTGGAGTGAAGTGGCACAATCTCAACTCACTGCAACCTCTGCCTCCCAGGTTCAAGCGATTCTCCCGCCTCAGCCTCCGGAGTAGCTGGACTACAGGAGCGCACCACTGCGCCCAGATAATTTTTGTATTTTTAGTAGAGACGGGGTTTCACCATGTTGGCCAGGATGGTCTCGATCTCTTGACCTCGTGATCCACCTGCCTCGGCCTCCCGAAGTGCTGGGATTACAGGCATGAGCCAACGTGCCCGGCCTTTTTTTTTTTTTTTTTTAATGAGACAGTCTCACTCTGTTGCCCAGGCTGGAGTGCAGTGGCACAATCTCAGCTCACTGCAACCTCCATCTCCTGGGTTCAAGTGATTCTCGTGCCTCAGCCTCCCGAGTAGCTGAGACTACAGGCATATGCTACCACGCCTGGCTAATTTTTGTATTTTTAGTAGAGATCGGGTGTCACCATGTTGGCCAGGCTGGTCTCGAACTCCTGACCTCAAGTGATCCGCCTGCTTCAGCCTCCCAAAGTGCTGGGATTATAGATGTGAGCCACCGTGCCCGGCCCAAAGAACATTCTCTAACTGTACTGGTGAATGCCTACCATGTGGAATCTTCCCAAACCCTATGTATGAGGCAGGGAAGATTGTATTAGTCCCACTTTTCAGACAAGGAAACTAAAGTACAGAAGACGAAGGTATCTATTAAAAGTTGCACATGTACTTGTGGATATTATGTTGTGTATCTAGCATCTCTACCTCATCTTCCCCCACCCACTCCCAAATACCACCTTCTTGGATAGGCATACAACCCAAATGGAATATTCCCTGGGGCTAGTATAAAAACACTGAGGATTGGCCGGGCACGGTGGCTCACGCCTGTAATCGCAGCACTTTGGGAGGCTGAGACGGGTGGATCACCTGAGGTCAGGAGTTCGAGACCAGCCTGGCCAACATGGTGAAACCCCGTCTCTACTAAAAATACAAAAATTAGCTGGGCGTCGTAGTGGGTGCCTGTAATCCCAGCTACTTGGGAGGTTAAGGCAGGGAGAATTGCTTGAACCCAGAAGGTGGAGGGTGTAGCGAGCTGAGATGGCACCACTGCACTACAGCCTAGGCAACAGAGTGAGACTCTGTCTCAAAAAAATAAAATAAAATAAAATACAGAGGATGGCAGTGGAGGATTGTGGAGATGTTGGTCAAAGGACACAAAGCTTCAGTTGGACAAGAGAAATAAGTTCAAGAGAGCTACTGTACATCATGGTAGCAACAATTACTAACAATACATGGCATACTTCAAAATGGCTGAGAGAGTAGACTTTAAGTGTTCTCACTACAAAAAAAGCAAGTGAGGTAATGCATTATGTTAAATGGCTTGACTTAGCCATTCTACAATGTACACACATACCAAAACAGCATGTTGTATACCATAAATATATGTGATGTTTACTTATCAATTAAAAACAATAAAGGCTGGGCTCCCGCCTGTAAATCCAGATACTCGGGAGGCTGAGGAGGAAGGATCATTTGTGTCCAGGAGGTCGAGGCTGCAGTGAGCTCTGATTGAACCACTACACTCCAGCCTGGGTAACAGAGCAAGACCCTGTCTCTAAGTAAATAAATACTGGCTGGGTGTGCTGGCTCACGCCTATAATCCCAACACTTTGGTTGGCCAAGGCAGGAGGATCACTTGAGGCCAGGAGTTTGAGACCAGCCCTGGCAATGTAGTGAGACCCCATCTCTACACACACACATCCCCCAAAAATTTAAAAATCAGCCAGGTGTGGTGGTGCATGCCTGTACTCCTAGCTATTTGGAGGCTGAGGTGGGAAGACTGCTTGAGGCCAGGAGTTCAAGGTTACAGTGAACTATGATCATGCCCTTCACCCCAGCCTGGGTGACAGACCTAGACCCTGTCTCGGAACAAAACAAACCACTGAAGACTCTAAATCCTCTTTCCACTGAGTTGATAAACCAGGAGGATCTGCCCGACTCCAGCCTGCTGGCAGAGCGAAGCCAAGGAGAGCCCCAATGGCACGTGTGGGCCCCATACTCGGGCTGCATCTGAAGCTCCCCTCCTACAGACTTCCCAGTGACATAAGACAAATTCACCTTTCAACCCAAAGAGGCTTCCTTAACCCACCCAGCATACACTGTCCCAACCCGCTTTTGTTCATTCTGTGCCCTCTGCCCAGGCCCCACCTCCTCAGGCCATTTTCCTGTGTATCTGGCAGAACTCCTACTAACCTTTCGAAGGCCAGCCCAACCACCCCTCTTCACAGTTCTCCCTGATGGTGCCCAAGCCGAGTTTCTCTTTCCTGTGTTCCCCCGCACTTGCAGCTCATCTACTCACCACGCTGCATTATGGCCGGCTGGGTGTCCCCCTCAGGAAGGTAGCACTGCACAGGGGTTAAAACTGCAGGCTCTGTGGGAATACATGGCTTCAGATCCCTGCTCTGTCCCTCCACGCTGTATGAGATGCCAAGCAAGCCATTCTCTCACCTCTCTGATCCTTGATTTCTCTCATCTATAGCAAGGGTGGTAATAGCACCCACCCACAGCAGACACTTGGTTGTCTAGCGGATGCCACTGCCATCCCCTGTCTCTTGCTGTCTCTCACGGTACAGACATGTGCTGCCCCAGCCTCCCTTGCAGCTAGGGCCGGCCCCTGGCTCCTTTATGGCCAATGGAATGTAAAGAGAGGTCTGCTGGGAGGAGGGGTATTTATAAGAACATATTCTCTTTCAAACGGAAAGGCACGTGAAGAGGAAACCTTTCCCCTACTCCTCTCCTCCTAGCTCAGGATGCCGTGTCTGAGGATCTGATCCTCAGGCTGGGGCAGCCATCCCATGACCACACAATGACCAACCCCACCAGCACGAACGAAACGCCTGCACACAGAGGGTTGAACACAGAAACATAAGTGCCTGGAGTTCCAGGTGAGCACCTCTGCACCAGCCATGGAGCTTGTCTCCTCCAGGATGTTTGCAATGGGGCGTCTCTACTGCTCAGCCAGGAGTCACCAGACGTCTTGTTACCTGCAGCCCAGTGTGTCCCAACTGACAGATCGAAAGATCACATGGTAGAGGGAGGGTTCAATGCCATCAAGCATGGGAAGTGCTTGGCACTCACTCACATTGGTTAAAGATTATTACCACTATCACAGGTAGCTGCTCAAGGCCATTCCACAGCTCTCACATCCCACTGCAGGAAGAGAAGGCGCTAGCGATAAACACTTGGTATATTTCCTCATCCATCCCACCACCTCTGATGTGGGAAACTACAGCAGCCAGGGCGGCTGCTCCACTCTAGAGTGGCTGTGCTCAGACCTTCAGTGGTTTTCAAGAGCCAAGGAGGAGAGAGGCAAAGGGGGCCGAACAGCTCAGCAACCTCCTGAGGGAGCTTCAGCCTTTCCACCGCTGAAAAACAACTTCACAGCCCAGCCCTGACCCCTTTCTCCTAGCACCATGTCTCCCAGATCTCCACACACTGGCGC
Source organism: Homo sapiens (assembly GCF_000001405.40). Classification (NCBI taxonomy): domain Eukaryota; kingdom Metazoa; phylum Chordata; class Mammalia; order Primates; family Hominidae; genus Homo; species Homo sapiens. The sequence goes on along the minus strand of NC_000019.10, from coordinate 37,994,357 downwards.
CACTTGTACCATATCCCAGAGCACCTGAGCTACGGCTTACTTCACACTTTAACTATACTCACTTTTATTTTTGGCTTAAGTACCAACTTTAGCCTCACCCAATGCAGAAATAGCCATGGGATACTAGGTTTGACATGCTGTTTAAATTCTTTTCCCGGCCAGGCATGATGGCTCACGCCTGTAATCCCAGCACTTTGGGAGGCCAAGGTGGTAGGGTCACTTGAGGCCAGAAGTTCAATACCAGTCTGGACAACAAAGCGAGACCCACATCTCTATAAAAAATAAAAATAAGAAACTTAGCCAGGTGTGGTGGTGCACACCTATAGTCCCAGCTTCTTGGAAGGCTGAAATAGGAGGATTGCTTGAGCCCAGGAATTCTTGGCTGCAGTGAGCTATGATTGTGCCACTGCTCTCCAGCCTAGGCGACAGAGCAAGACCCGTCTCTAAAAAAAAATAATAAAATAAAATGAAATTACTTTCCTGCTATGCATTGAAATAAAAGTACAGCTATTAAAATGCTTCAAGTGTTTATTCATACGGCACCTTGAACAATCTGGTGGAATCCTCTGACCTTGGGAAACCTGTCCCCGTGGCAAGACAACATCACACCTGGTCGACACGCTCCTGGCCCCTCCTTCACACACTTTTTCAGGTACGTTCTGGAAACACAAAGGCTCGAATGCTAGCTCTGAACAAGCCCTCCAGAGGAGGAGCTCTCCACAGATTCCCCCGTTAGGGATCTGTTCCCCTGAACGTATCTGCGATTTACACTTTCCACTTATGATGCTTTCTAGGATGGTTTAATAATAATAGCCTGGCCAACACAGTGAAACGCTGTCTCTACTAAAAATACAAAAAATTAGCTGGGCATGGTGGCGTGCACCTATAATTCCAGCTACTCGGGAGGCTGAGGCAAGAGAATCGCTTGAACCCAGGAGGCGGAGGTTGCAGTGAGCCGAGATCGCGCCACCGCACTCCAGCCTGGGCAATAAGAGTGAAACTCCATCTCAAAAATAATAATAATAATAATAGCAATAAAAACAGCCAACGCACAATGAGAACTTTCTCTGTGCCAAGAGCTGGTTCAAGGGCTTCATATAGATCATCTCGTGATCCCCACAGCCCCATGTGAAGTGGGTGTCATCCCCATCTCACAGATGAAGAAACTGAGGGGCAGGGGGCTAAGTCACTTATTCAAGGTCTCATAACTCAGACCTGACACAGCCAGGGTTTGAATCCAGCTGACTGACCATAGGGCCCACCCTCCATTGCCCTCACTATTCTGCTGTCCTCAGAACAACCAACGGTGACTGGGTACCACCTCTGTGCTTAGCACCGTGCCTGACACTGACCCAGCGAGTCTGAGGATCCTGCCGGGGTCACGCAGCTGGGAGCACCAGGGACCCAGGTCTGCTGACTTCCCGCACTCACACTCGCCCTGCACAACTGACCACAGAGCCAGCACGTAGGCGACCTGAATGGAGCCTCCCAAAGCCCTGGAGGACCTCCACTCCCAGATTCCTTGCTGTCCCCATTTAGCTCATGTTCTTCAGTCCAGAAAGGCCACTCTCCTCTGAAAGGAGGAAAACAGGCCCACAAAAACCACATGGAGCCTCATGTCACCACTTTTCAAGGCCAAAGGGGAGTAGCTGACCAACTTGGAGTTTTCTAGAACCATCCCATTCATAATTTTTTTTTTTTTTTTTTAAGACAGAGTGTCACTTTGTTGCCCAGGCTGGAGTACAGTGGCGCAATCTCAGCTCACTGTAACCTCCACCTCCCAGGTTCAAGTGATTCTCGTGCCTCAGCCTCCCATGTAGCTGGGATTACATGCATGTGCCACCATGTGCAGAAAATTTTTGTATTTTTAATAGAGACGGGGTCTCGCCGTGTTGGCCAGGCTGGTCTCGAACTCCTGACTTCGAGTGATCCACCTGCATCGGCCTCCCAAAGTGCTGGGATTACAGGCGTGAGCCACCATGCCTGGCCCTATTCATCATATTATCTGTGCAGTTCCTCCTTGCCTGACTGCTAGGCCTCAAGCTGACATTCTTAATTGTGCATTATGATCATGACAGCTCATGCCATGGGGCTTACTTACCTTGAGTGCCAGGGCCTGTGCTAAATACTCCCCAGGTACCTACTCACTCAGTGAACCCCGCAGCCTTAAGAGGTTGGGACTGCTCTGGCCCTTGCTGTAGAAGGAGGAAATGCAGCCCAATGGAGGCTAAAGCCACTTGCCTAAAGCCCTGGAGCTGGAAGTGGTGGTTCCCCAGGCCCTGCCTCTAGCCACGTGGATGCCTGTCTGTGGACTGAACACTCTGCATAAGATGACCTCAGTGAATTATCATCCTTTATCCCTCCCTCCAGCCCAAAGTCAACGAGGCAGGTATTTGAAAAATGAAGAGCCTGAGGAAGGAGGTGAAGTACCTGCCCCAGGTCATGCAGCTAGTGCAGGGTGGGGCCCGAACCCAGCTGCCTGCAGTGTGACTCCAAGCCATCAGCTGCAAGGCTCCACAGCCTCACACCCAACTCCAAATGCCCCAAACCCCACCCCGGTCCTAGCAAGCCCCCAAGAGAAATCTGTCTCCAGCTCCAAAGCATCAGGTGGAGGGTCATCTGTGCAACAGATCACCGTCACAGGGCTGTCTTGAGTGAAAGGAGCCTCCGGAACTCCAGGGCAGAGAGCTCAGCTGCTGCATTCCCGGGAACAGTGACTCTGCACGGTCCCTGCCAAGCTGTCTGCACAATGGGCCCACTGAACTCACATGCAGGTGGGGTACATAAGCCAGCCCAGGGCTTTCCAGGGTGACAGCAGCTGACCAGCCATATAGCTTTCTTCCTGCCTTCAGGTTTTCCTCCATGGCCTTTGCTCTGGGGATGTGGGGAGGTAGTTCTTCCCAGAGCACCAGGAATGGGAATGTCTGCTCCTTTCCATGCTGGCAGGGCCTTCCTCCCATCCCCAGAGAGATCAGCCGGTTTGGCCCTGTCCAGCCATCTGATACGTCCACAGAGCGCTTAAGAGCATGGAATTGGAAGCCAGATGGCCTGGGTTCAATCCCAGCTTTGAGACTATTTTTTTTAAAAGGCCAATAAGCACTTTCTTTCTTTCTTTCTTTCTTTTTTGAGACAGAGTCTTGCTCTGTTGCCCAGGCTGGAGTGCAGTGGCGCAATCTCGGCTCACAGCAACCTCTGCCTCCCAGGTTCAAGCGATTCTCATGCCTCAGCCTCCCAAGTAGCTGGGATTACAGACACGTGCCACTACGCCCTGCTGATTTTGTATTTTTAGTAGAGGCAGGTTTTCACCATCTTGGCCAGGCTGGTCTTGAACTCCTGGCCTCAAGCAATCTGCCCACCCCAGCCTCCCAAAGTGTTGGGATTACAAGCGTGAGCCACCGTGCCTGGCCCCTGCCACTTACTATTAACAGGCAGTGGACAAGTTACCTCCCCTCTCTTTGCCTCACTTTCCCCATCTGGAAAAAAAGGCTAACAACAGTACCAATGCCACTAAGTCATCATGGGGATTAAAAAGCACTCGGAATACGGCCTGGCACTGAGCGTGTCTGCTGTTGTTGGTACCAGTGGTCCAATTAAACACACACATGCCCCTTGAGTGGACAGAGATGTCTGCTGGGCCTCTGAGAGCGTGTAAGCACTTGCCAGCTACAAGTCAAGGAAAAACCAGACTCCAGCAAAGAACCCTACTGGGCTGCTGGCAGCAGAGGACACGTTAGCCCAGACTGGGGCGGGGTTCTCGCTGTGGGCTGACTAGCTGAGCAAGAGCTGTACTCATCGTCCACCTGCAGTTATGTGGCTATTGCTGTATCTATTCCTTGTCTCCATGCCCAGCCAGAAGAGAGCGCTCTGAAGTCAAAGCTGGTACTCCAGATCCCATCGGACCTGGCTTCCGCCAAAGTTCCACAGGTATTCACCCCACGACCCCGCCTGTCTCACTGGCTGCTTTCCTCCCATAGGCTCAAGGTAGTGCCCAACATGCAAGAGGCCCCAAAAAGATACATAGGAATGAATGGAGGTTTTTAGATCTTTTAACAAGAACACCCACCACCTTGCCAGGCCTAAAAGAGACCCAAAAAGATGCCTCTGTCCCTACCCCCAGGTAGCTGGTGATCTGGTCCACCCAGTTACAAAAATCAAGATGTGGGTATAAAATGACCTGGGAATTCTTCCAGGGTGGTTGAGCAACCAGAAGAGGCATGCGGCCGTAGGGCAGAAACAGGAGCTGACCCCACTCCAGAATTTCACAGAGGAAACGCCAGAGAAGGAGCCTCCCCTCCCCCACTCCACCAGGTGAAACCCTAAATATGCATGAGGGCCAAACAAAAGGTCAGGTGGGGGGGTCTACGTCAACAAGCACAGCAGGGAACCCCAAATCCTCTACTCTCCAATGGCCCGGCTCAGCCAGGCCCCAGCACCCCGACTGAGTGCACGGGAAGCCAAGGCTCATTCTGGCTGTGCCACCCAACAAGCAGTGCAATGATGTAGGGAGTTAAAGAATTCATCCTAGCCAGGCACGGTGGCTCACGTCTGCAATCCCAGCTACTTACTGGGGAGGCTGAGGCAGGAGAATCGCTTGAACCCAGGAGGCGGAGGTTGCAGTGAGCTGAGATCACGCCATTGCACTCCAGCCTGGGTGACAGAGCGAGACTCCATCTCAAAAAAAAAAAAAAAAAAGAATTCATCCTAAGCAGGGAGGCCTGATGTGTGTTCTGAGGATTTCCCTATTCAGAGGGAGACCTTGGGCAGTGACTTAATCAGAACCTCCATGTCTTCATTTGTAAAATGGAGCTCAAGATAGGTGCTGCATAGCTGGGTGCAGTGGTACACTGAGATTATGCCTGTAATCCCAGGGCTTTGGGAGTCCAAGACATGAGGACTGCTTGAGGCCAGGAGTTCAAGACCAGCCTGGGCAACACAGTGAGATCCCCGTCTCTACTAAATATTTTTTAAAAATTAGCCAGGAGTGATGGCGCACACCTGTAGTCTCAGCTACTCAGGAGGCTGAGGTGGGAGGATGGTTTGAGTTCAGCAAATGGATGTTGCAGTGAGCTATGACTGTGCTACTGCACTCCAGCCTGGGTGACAGAGCAATATCTTGTCTTTAAAAGCAAACAAACAAACAAAAAACAGGAGCTGCCCCACAGAGTTAGGAAGGTTCCGTGGGAGGATGCACAAGGCCAGGCACAAAGAAGCACTTAAGCAGCAGTTCACTCATTCCCTCCTCAATCACACAGCCAACACCTCCTACACGGCAGGCACCGTGCTGGGGAAACCACAGGAAAGCAGACAAGGCCCCAGCTCTAACAGGGCTTATATTGCATGAGAAGGGGAGAGGAATCTGTTTTTGTTTGGAGGTCAGGCTTGTAAAGAAGGCCTCGCTGGGAGGGTGACTTCTGAGCAGAGAAACCTAAGGGAAGCTTCGCAGGAGCAGCCAGAGGACTGTGTGGAGTGGGAGGGAGGACGGCCCGCGCAGAGATCCTGGAGAGCGAACGTGCCTGGTGCGTTCTAGGAGCAGGGAAAGGGTCAAAGAGCAATGGGGCAGGAAGCAGAGGACAAGGCAGAGAGGTGACAGGGCCAGATCAAGGGGGCCCAGTGGGCCACACAAAAGACACTGACTTTCCTCTTTTTAATTCTTATTTATGTATTACTTATTTATTTATTTTTGAGATGGAGTCCCGCTCTGTCGCCCAGGCTGGAGTGCAGTGGTGTGATCTCGGCTCACTACAACCTCTGTCTCCTGGGTTCAAGCGATTCTCCTGCCTCAGCCTCCCGAGTAGCTAGGATTACAGGTGCCCACCACCATGTCTGGCTCATTTCTGTATTTTTACTAGAGACAGGGTTTCACCATGTTGGCCAGGCTGGTCTCAAACTCCTGACCTCAGGTGATCCACCCGCCTCGGCCTCCCAAAGTGCTGGGATTACAGGCATGAGCCACTGCACCCTGCTTCTCTTTTTGATAATAATTTTTTAAAAATTATAAAATTTTTTGTAGAGACAGGGTCTATGTTGCCCAGGCTGGTCTCGAACTCCTGGGTTCCAGCAATCCTCCCACCTAAGCCTCCCAAAGTGTTGGGATTACAGGCGTGAGCCACTGCACCTGGCCTTGACTTTTCTCTTGAGTGAGATGCTGGTACTCCAGATCCCATGGGAGGTTCTGAGCAGGGGAGGGCCGTGACCTCAGGTGTTCACAGGCCCCACCTGGCTGAGTGCAGAGGACAGACCAGGAGAGGTAGGGCAGGAGCCAGCAGGATAATGAGAGACTGCTGCCTTAGGCCAGTGGGAGCCAAGGACAGACAGGACCAGCAGGGGGACTGTAGGAGGAGGGGAGAATAGAGAGAGAATTTGGGACAATTTCCAAAGGAGATAATACCACCAAGCCTAGAATCTTCTCTACTGTTATTAAAAGGGACTTTATGGTGACTTCATTCTGATTCCCACTCTCCCAACACAAATACCAAGCTCCGTTTATTATCCTTTCCCCACTTGCTAGTCCAGCCACACCCACCATTTACTGAGCAGTAAAGGCGCCGGGACAGTGGCTGTCAAAGTGCAGCAGACGGGAGATGCACCAAGAGCTTGTATCCCCACTGGGGCCTGCCCCAAACTAAAGTGGCCATGACTGCTACTGTGGGACCTGAGCATCGATGTGAGTGACCAGCTGGCCTAGGGGGTCCCAGGCATGGTGAAATTAGAGGGTGCGAGGCCGCTGGTAACCAACTAGGGACAACACTGCCCCACCTCTATTCCAGGGGACATTTGGAGACACTTTTGATGATCCCCGCTGGGGGGTGCTGTTACTGGCATCTAGTGGGTAGAGGCCAGGGATGCTGCTGAACAGCCCATAATATGCACAGGACAATTCTGACATCAAAGAGTGATCTAGCCCCAAAGGTCAACAGCGTCAGGGTTCACAAACCCTGGTCTAGGCTCCCAAATCCTAATGGGTAGTCAATCACCAAGGGGTCTGGGAAAAATGCAGCTAAGGATTCAAAGTGCGTGTCCCAGATTCTACACATCTGAAAAGCAGACTTCTAGGCCCTTGATTCTGACACCTAAGGTCCGGGAAACAGCATCATCTACATCACCTGGGAGCTCACTGAAAAAGCAGATGTGTCCGGGCGCGGTGGCTCACATCTATAATCCCAGTGCTTTGGGAGGCTGAGGCGGGTGGATCACCTGAGGTCGGGAGTTTGAGACCAGCCTGGCCAACATGGTGAAACCCCATCTCTACAAAAAATTCGAAAATTAGCCAGGCATGGTGGCACAAGTCTGTAATCCCAGCTACTCGGGAGGTTGAGGCACAAGAATTGCTTGAACCTGGGAGGCAAAGGTTGCAGTGAGCCGAGATCGCACCACTGCACTCCAGCCTGGGTGACACAGTGAGACTCTATCTCAAAAAGCAAAAAAAGAAAAAAGAAAACGCTCAGCTCCTCCTCAGACCAGATGAATGAGAACCTGCATTTTATCACGACCCCCAGGTGGTTCTCAGCTACATTCAGTGATTGTGAATGCCCCTGAATTCAGAGAGTGTCCCTGAAGGCACATCAGGCAGCTAAGAAAAAAAAGTCTCCACACCTAGGCCTCAGGCCCTTTACACAGGAAGAGGGGAAAGGGGAAGGCAGGCACGGGCACGTTGTAAACAGTGCCCACCTGATTCTAATAGGGTTCGTGCAGCCAGGGTTAAGAAAAGAAGAAGCTGCCCTGGAGGAAGCAGTCTTCTCTCCCTGGCAAGCAAGAGCAGTCCCTTTTGTGGAGGCACCACACAGGCCCCCAACGCTGGCGACAAACATCCTGACAATTCTCAGCTTCCTGGCATCAAATAACCTGCTTTTCCCCAGCAAAGGGGCTGCTTTTGGCACCTGAAGCCTGGCTGACTGCCAGACGCCAAGCTCCTGGGCAAGAACCGGGCTGGTGTGGAGAAACAGAAGTCGAATGCAAGTGTCTTAACTGTTGACAAGAAACTAGAGGAAAGAGAAAGCCATCTCACCTCGAGTTAAAATTGGAAGGTGATAACACTTATGTAGCACATCCTGTGTGCACTTTTCTAAGCACAGGAATTACTGTCCCATTCTACAGATGGGAAAGCTAAGGTGAGGCACATGGAAGGCATTTGCCCAAGGTGTAAGTGGGGAAGCCGGAGTTTAAGCCCTGAATCTGGGCTCCTAACTGTGGCTCTATCCAGGAAGCCCTGTTGCTTTAATACCTTCCCCACCTTTGACACAAAGAAAAGAGATGGTTAATTCCCCCACAGCCCCAAGCAGCATGCCCAGTCTGGCTTGGCTGCTTTCTGGAGCTTCTCTAGGGCAGACAGCTTTGAGCTGATCTATCTGGGGAAGGAGAAAGTGGGCTTCAGGCACAAAGCGCCACCGCTTTGCTCGCATGACGGCGCAGCTGGGTCACCTTTGGAACAAAAAGGACAACCACATTCTTGGCTGGGAAGTCAGGGAGTCCACCCAAGGGGCGAAGGGTCTCTTCCCTGTGGCCCCGCATCCCTGGGTAAGGGCCCTGGGAAGGCTGGGAGGAGCCAGGGAGGGGCCCGGCCTCTGGGCCCACCACCTCTCTTCCTAGACGCCAAAGTCAGCTCCCCACAGCCATCCTCTCCAAACACCCCTAGGATGGAAGCAAATGGAGGCTTTGGGGAACAAACTACAAATCCCTCCCAACACATTCTCACCCTTGTTCACCCACCTGTGTGCATGACTGGCTCCTTTTCATCTTTCAAGTCTCAGATTAAATGTCACCTCCTCGGACAGACCCCTTCCTCATCCCTCTAAGACACCCCTCCCACCACTACCACTCACTTCACTTTATCCTGGTTTAGTTTCTTTCCTTCCTTTCCTTTCTTTTCTTTCTCTCTCTCTATTGTCTAGGCTGGTTTTGAACTCCTGGCTTCAAGTGATCCTCCTGTCTCAGCCTCCCCGGTAGCTGGAACTAGAGGCATGTGCCATCACACTTGACTAAAACAATTTTCTTCGTAAAATTGGCTGGGCATGGTGGCACATGACTCTAGTCTCAATCAGGAGGCTGAGGTGGGAGGATTGCTTGAGCTAGAGAGGTTGAGGCTGCAGTGAGCCAAGATTGCACCACTGCACTCCAGCCTGGGCAACCAGAGAGAGACCCACACTCAAAAAAAAAAAAAAAGAAAAAAACAATTTTTTTAAGAGATAGAATCTTGCTCTGTCGCCCAGGCTGGTCTCAAACTGGCCTCAACTGATCCTCCTGCCTTGGCCTCCCAAAATGCTACAATAATTGAACGTCTTAATAGCACTACCAATCACTTCTGATAAATACTGTTTATTTCTAGTCTGTCTCCTCCACCAGACCTTGTACTCCAGGACAGCAAGGACTAGGTCTGTCTTCTCTGCTGCATACCTGGGCCTTGAAACAGTGTTTAGCACAGACAAGAGGCCCCAGAAATATTTGTTGAAGGAATCCACAAATCTTGACTTCCAGTCACGTTCATGAAATGACTATTCTCTTCTTCAGGGATCACCACAAGGACATGCTCTAGTTTGCTACAGAGTTGCCTGCATGAGAGGCATCTGTGGAGTACCAGCCATATTCCACAGCAGCCTACAGAACAATCACTACTGTTGTCATTAACGTTTATGACACCAACAGTAACGCAGCTAACATTTAATGCACACTTGCTATGTGTCAGGACCTATGCAAAAAGATCTTTACTAGTTCCAAGCTCATTAGTAAGCTGGTCACATAGTAACTAGTTCTTTTCCTCACTTTGCAGAAATGAATACCGAGGCTTAGAGATGGTTTGTTACTTGCCCTAGCCTAGTCTGCTAGTTTCCAAGGTTTTCTCTCTTTCCTTAATGTTTCGCAGCCTCACAATAATCTATCTGGGGGATTTCTTTTTATCCAGTCTCTGCTTGGCACTCGTTGTGAGCTTTCAGCATTGAGATGCAAGTCTTCAATTATGGCACATTTTTAGCATTAGTTCTAATATTGCCTCCCCACCACTCCTTCTAGCTTTATTTCTGGAAATCCTACTAGATGTATGCTTCTTCTCACTCCACCCGTTTTGTTACTTCTATGTATTTTATCTCTATTCTATACTCAGAGTGAATTTCATTTACTAATTTTCTCTTTGACTGTGCTTGGTGTTACTTGCCCAAGGTCACACATTAGTAAGGATGGAATCCAGCCCTTAACCGCCTCGCTGCCCCGCCCTGCGCAGGGCTCACACAGCGCTCCCTGAGACTGGAAGGACAGCGCATCTGCAAAAAGTGCCTCATTGTTCTCAGGAGATTCAGCCGGGCTGGGTCTTTCTCCCAACTTCTCCCACAAAGAACACATAGTTTCGTGCAACTCCAAAAATCTCCACTCGAATCATGCCTGTATGAAGCAAGCTTACTGATCAGGGTTACAGTTACAATTCCTCATCAGTGCTGAGCAATCTTTTTTTTTTTTTTTTTTTTTGAGATGGGGTCTCGCTCAGTCACCCAGGCTGGAGGGCAGTGGTATGATCTTGGCTCACTGCAACCTCTGCTTCCCAGGCTCAAGTTATCCTCCCACCTCAGCCTCCTGAGTAGCTGAGACCTCAGATGCATGCCACCACGCCCAGCTAATTTTTGTGTTTTTTGTACAGACGGGGTTTCACCATGTTGCCCAGGATGGTCTCGAACTCCTAAGCTCAGGCAATCCACCCACTTCAGCCTCCCAAGAGTGCTGGGATTACAGGTGTGAGCCACCATGCCAGGTCTGAGCAATCTTTTTTGGATGAAACCACTGTTTCTTAGGTTCACAAGGTGAACAACATCTCCCCTGGAACTGAGCTGGTCTCTCCGCATACCTGAGGCTAAGACTCGGTTACTCTTCATGGTCAACGCTACTGCACGGTGCCTAGGAGCAGCTGCTAACTCTTAAGCCAGTGCCTGTGCCAGATGCTTTAACATTTCAACTCACGTAACCTTCACAACTGCTCCGTGGGGCAGGTCCTACTATTATCCCACTTAACAGATGAGAAAACTGAGGTCCTGAGAGGTGCAGTCCCTTGTCCGAGGTCACCCAGCAAGTAAGCGACAGAACTGGATTTCAACTCCCAGCACGTGGCTCCAGGGTCGGCTTTCAACCACCACCCTCCACTGCCTCTCTAGCCCAGATGTGGCATTTGCCCAGAAGATACTGCAAGTTAAGTTCTGTTTAGATGTTAGTTCCATCACATGAGTCATTTATTTATTCATTTGTTCAGACGTGTTTTTAAAACCTACTGCACAGCCAGGATTGGGCCAAGGGAAGTAGATGCAAGGCCCCTGCCCTCCCAACATTTTGCATAGATCAACTAACAAATGAAAAGGCAATTTCAACATGGCCTGGCTGGGATGTCGGGGTAGAGGGGCAAGGGCACCATGGTATGCCTGCCAGAGAACCCTCGACCCCAGGAAGACAACCCAGGGAGGCCACAGGAACCTGTAAGGTGGGTCCTGAATAGCCAGGAGGAGCTAAGGGTGGACAAAGATGCCCCTGCTTGACCCCGTCCCTCTTTCTGGCTGCCACAGGTCACACCGGGAAAGCCCAGGTTGTCCAGCCCCAGCCTCTCTCCCTCCACAGCCACATTCATAAGCACCATTAACTGGGAGAGCCATAAGCCACTATACAGCCCTTGGAGGCCAGGGTCTTCCAAAAGAGTCCATTATGGAGAAAGCTCTGAAGACGTGCATGTGGCCTGCAAAAGCTGGAGCCATTTACATGGCGGGCTTTGATCCAGACGGTAGAGGCTGCCCCTAACTAGCTTTGTGACCTTGGGGAAGTGACATAGCAGCCCTGGGCTTGTCTCCATGTCTGTAATGGACCTAACACTGTCCCACCTCATAGGGCTACTGCGAGGATTACATGAGTTCACTCAAGTAACCGCAACACCAAGCACATGGTGAACGCTGGAAGAACATTACCTATGATTATCTCCAGTACCTTGGCCAGCACTAGGCACACAGTAGGTGCTCCCTGGCCCCAGGGGACGCAGCCATCTGCAAAGATCAAGGACCCAGCCAGAGGGAGGAGATGACCAGGAAGGCCTCTGGGAGCCAATGGAGTGTCCACCAGGCAATCAGACAAGCAGATAAAAGAGACCTGCCCTGAAGAAACTGGTTCTGCCGCCTTTCTCTGGCTGCTCACAGCCCAGTTCCCAGAGCCTGCCTCTCGACTTTGATCTGGGACATTAAATTGTTTCTCTGATCAGACAGATACAATTCGAGAACCTTTACAACTGTGTCCCTCACAGTCTTCCTTCCAGCACTTTATGTTGGGAGTCCGGCTGTTTTGCCACATATCACGGGTGACTTCTTGCAAACTGACCACAACGTGGACATGCGTAAGATGCTGGAGCCAGCCTCTCTGATGGCAAGATAGATTAACGTGCTCACAAATACGTACTGCACACAGCTGTGGTGGTGATATTTATATTCTGTGTGGGAGGCGATTAGGAAAATTCTCCATCTCTCACCCTTCCCTGCAGTTATGGGTGGTCATGTAACTTTCTATGGCCAATGACTCATAAAGGGACTAAAGAGACAATCCTCTCTTCCAGGGCCTCCTTTCCTAAATACTCACGGAGCAACTCTACCCTAACCCTTTGACAGGAAAGGATTTGCGGGAAGGTGTCCTGCAGAAAAGGTGAGGTGGTACAGCTAACGAAGGGCACTGCTGCTGAAATGATGGCGACGCTGCTACCACTGGCACTGCGTCATCTGACAATACTGTACAGCAGAGGCTGTGAAATAATAGGAATAATAATAATTGCCGGCATCTATGGGACCAAGAGGCAAGTATTATCACTTTCATTTGCAAGTGACAAAAATCAAGTACAGAGAGGTTAAGTAACCTGCTCAACACGGACAAGAAGTGGCAGAGCAGGTATTAGAACTCAGGTGATCAAACCAAAACTCTTTTTTTTTTTTTTTTTTGAGACAGGGTCTCCCTCTGTCGCCAGACTGGAGTACAGTGGCACAAGCATAGGTCACTGCAGCCTTGACCTCCTGGGTTCAAGTGATCCTCCCACTTCAGCCTCCTGAGTAGCTGAGACTACAGTCACGTGCCACCACCTGGCTCATTTTTTGTAGAGGTGGGAGTCTTGCTGTATTCTCCAGGCTGGTCTTGAACTCCTGGTCTCAAGCAATCCTTCCGCTTCAGCCTCCCAAAATGCTGGGATTACAGGCATAAGGCACTTCACAGAATCCCCAAACCTTTAATCATGAGCTATACTAACAAAGTATGAGCCCAAACCAGCCCTATAAAAAGAACCAAAGCCATCTCTATCACATCTTGAGCACTCACTATGTGGCCAACTTGGAACTGAGCACGGTGTATGCATTACCCTCCAAACAAAGCCTGTATTTGGCACTACGACTGTGTCTACTGAAAAGATGAGAACTGATGGGATGTGTCCCGTGTCTCATGACTAGAAAGAACTGAGGAGGCAGGAGGAACAGGCCTGAAACCTCCCAGACACCAGGTCACACTTCTTGAGCGCAGCTCACAGGAGAAATTCTTCCATCATTAACCAGCCCCAATAACCCTCTCTCGAGGACATTCTTGGCCTCTCCTTGGTCATATGGAATGACGGCCAAGTGTACTTGGCCACAGAGAAATCAGGGCATGGAAGGAAACAGAGCAGAACCCCACACCCGGGTGAGCTCAGAATTAAAGGCACGGTTCCTCCATTGACCATCAGGCCTTGCTGAACCTTCATGCCTCGACGGGCCCCCTCCTCCCTGGCCTCAGCCTCCCAGGCCTTCCCCCTGCTCTGGAGGGAGCCACGCTCCCCGGAACCTGGAAGCATGCTGTTCACACTGTTCCCTCTGCCTAGAATGCTCTTCCTCATGCTTCCCCCACCCTAAGATACACCTTTCTTTTTTGCCTTATTAACTCCTACCCACCCTTCAGTTTCCACCAGAACACTAAAATAAGAGGATCTCCAGGGCATACTGTTCAGTAAACATTTGCAAAGTGCAGAGCAGAGTACTGAGTAGGCTACCTTTTGTCGAAGGAAGGAGAAGACAAAAATATATATTCATATTTGCTTGTATTGATATAATGATACCTTAGACGGATACCCAAGGGAAAATACAAATCATTACGTAAGGGGAGAAGGAACAAGGTGGGCAGGGAGAGGAGTGGAGGACAGAGACTGCTCACACATCCACATAGAATTGATTTTGAAGCATATAAATGCATGACCTATTTTTTATTTAAGTGCCACAAATAAAAACAAAGTGGGAGTGATGGGGAGAGGGTCAAGGAAGGCCTGTGAGAGCAGGCCTGAATACATCCCTCCACAGGACTGCCCGATACTGTCTGACTCTCCCCACCCACCGGCCTGTGGATTCCTGAGGGCAGGCCTAGACCTGCCCTGGCTCCCAGCCAGCGGCCTGCCACGCAGCCAGGGCCCAAGAAATGCTCAGAGTGAGTGTGCACGCGGAGGCACCAACAGACCCACCGCCAGCCGAACCTGGGCATGCCCACGGCTTGCAGCTGGGCTCTGCTTTTGGGGAGCACAGTTAGCACGCAAGAAAAGTGCTGAGAGCCAACTGTCTCTAACACGCATTACTAAAGGAAAGTGTGTAGTGCAGGGATCAGCAAACTTCTTCTGTAAAGGGCCAAAGAGCAAATATTGTAGGTTTGGGGGGTGGGTCACACTTGTCTCTGTTGCAACCACTCAATTCTGCCATTACAGTGTAAGAACAGCCACAGACAATACACAACCAAATGGGCGGGCCGTGTTCCAATAAATATTTATAGACAGTGAAACCTAAATTTTTTTTTTTTTTTTTGAGACAGAGTCTCGCTCTGTTGCCCAGGCTGGAGTGCAGTGGCACGATCTCGGCTCACTGCAACCTCCGCCTCCCGGGCTCAAGCAATTCTCCTGCCTCAGCCTCCTGAGTAGCTGGGATTACAGGTGTGTGCCATCACGCCCAGCTAATTTTTGTATTTTTTTTTTTTTAGTAGAGATAGGGTTTCACCATGTTGGCCAGGCTGGTCTCAAACTCCTGACCTCAGGAAATCCACCTGCCTCGGCCTCCCAAAGTGCTGGGATTACAGGCGTGAGCCACTGTGCCTGGCGAAACCTAAATTTCATATAGGTTTACGTGGCATGAAATAGTGTTAACTTTTTTTTAACCTTTTAAAAACGTAAAACCCATTTTTAGCTCCCTGGCCATACAAAAACAGGCAGTGAGTTGGATCTCGCCCGCAGGCTACAGGTGGCCACCCTTAATGTTGAGCCCAGCTGCCATGTTTATAGATTTGCTTGTACTCATGACTTCTGAAAGGAGATGTGAGAAACAGGTCACAGTGGCTGCTTCTGTGAAGGGTTTGGGTGTGGAAGGGAAACTGCCTTTTTTTCTGGTTTTGTTTTTGAGACGGGGTCTCTGTCACCCAGGCTGGAGTGCAGTGGTGCGATCACAGCTCACTGCAGCCTCAACCTCCTGGACTCAAGCAGATCCTCCCACCTCAGCCTCCCGAGTGACTGGGACTGTAGCCCTGAGCCACCGTACCCAGCTAATTTTTAAATTTTTTGTAGAGACAGGGTCTCACTATGTTGTCCAGGCTAGTCTGGAACTCCTGGACTCCAGTGATCCTCCCGCCTCAGCCTCCCAAAGTGTTGGGATTATAGGTGTGAGCCACCGTGCCTGGCCTTTTTATTTTTAAATATTGTACTATATGCAAATTAATAAAAATAATATTGTTTTAAACTTAGTACTAGAGAGAGAAAACAGGCTGTGCATGGTATAGAAGGACAAACCCAAGCTTTGGAGCAAGAGACCATGGCCAGAATCCCACCTCAATTTCTCACTTGCTGTGCACACAACAGGCAAGTTATTTTCCCTCTCTGAGCCTCAGCACAATGGGGATCATATACTGGCTTCATGGGCCATTGTGAGGAGTCCATGGGTTAATCCCTTTGCACAGCTCAGGCACCTGGAAAGTGGTGGCTATTATTATCTTTGTTATTAAGAGTCATTCATGGGGAAAAGTCCCTCTCCAAAGGAAGGCCCTAAACATAACTGTGGCTCTGAAACTCCCCTAGAGAGCCCGCCCAGTCCCACGGCCCATCGCCCAACTGTCCACATAATAGATGCCTTGTGACGTGAGGAAGCTCATTTGTATTAGCGACTGCATTCCACAGAGATGCATCCTGGAGCCACGTCTGCACATCCTGTTCAACAGAGAAGGCAGCCAGCTCCCCAACTCTGGGTCTGCCCTCAACTGTCACACCGGACAGGCTGCAGGACCATGCACCTATTAGATAATTTAGTCCCCATTTATTAAACACCTACTGTGTGCATGGACACCCCTCTGAACCTCATCCTGGAGACTAAAGGTACAAACATGGATTTCTTTAAAATAACTAGTGGGATGCTTTTGTTGTGTGTTCCATAAAACTCTTGCACTTCCCTGTGTGTTTATTCATTGAGGAAACATTTACGAAGGACCTCCTAAAGGCCAGGCACTGTTCTAGGCATTTAGTTTTAACCAGGACCCTCAATTTCTGGACTACAGGACCTGTGAGGAGGAGACCGTGCAAATCACTGTCCCTTCTGTGTCTTCTGTGCTCAGCAGAGGCCATGGCACAAAGCAGGGAAGTAACCAACATTTGTTGAGTCCAGTTACTGAGCATGGAGGACACGGGCGCTCTGGACCTGCCTGGAGCCTGGAGTCTCTGCCCCAACTTCTGGTGACAGCAGCCCACTTTTCCTGGGGACAACTGTTTCTCCCTCGTTCCTCCTACTTCTGTGGGGGGGGGCGTGGAGGGGACTGCCAATCATGGGACCTGCCCACCCACCTGATCCAAACTGGGCCAATGGCTTCCTCTTGCTCAGGGATTTCAATTTCAAGCTGCCAATAAAAATAATAATGAGGCCGGGTGAAGTGGCCCATGCCTGTAATCCCAGCACTTTGGGAGGCCAAGGCAGGACCTCAGGATCACCTGAGGTCAGGAGTTCAAGACCAGCCTGGCTAACATGGCAAAACCCTGTCTCTGCTAAAACCACAAAAATTAGCCGGGCATGGTGGTGCGTGCCTGTAGTCCCAGCTACTTGGGAGGCTGAGGCAGAAGAATCGCCTGAACCCAGGAGGTGGAGGTTGCAGTGTGCCAAGACCACACCACTGCACTCCAGCCTGGGCGACAGAGCAAGCCTCCATCTCATAAAAAAAATTTTTTTTAATAAAATAAAAATAATAATGGTAGGCTAGGTGGGTGAGGTGGCTCATGCCTGTACTCCCAGCATTTTGGAAGGCTCAGGTGGGTGGACTGCTTGAGCCCAGGAGTTCAAGACCAGCCTGGGTAACATGGCAAGACCCTGTCTCTATAAAAACATACAAAAAATTAGCCGGGGATGGTGGCACATGCCTATAGTCCCAGCTACTCAGGCGGCTGAGATGGGAGGATCACCTGAACCCAAGAGGTTGAGGCTGCAGTGAGCTGTGTTTGTGCCACTGAACTCTAGCCTAGGTGACAGAGTGAGACCCCATCTCAAAAAAATAATACTAATAGTAATAACCACAGCACTTAATAAAAATAATAGCAGCTAGTATATATCTAGCCACATACTCTACACTACACACTGTTCTAAACACGTCTCAAATATCAACTTACTGAATCCTCAAAGCAACCCTCCGGTTCTCATTCCCATCTTATAGCCGACAAACTGATGCACAGAAAGCTTGAGATGCTTATGAATAAGGAGTGAGGTTGGGATTCTCACCCAGGAGGCGGGCTGCAGTGTCTAAGCTCTTCAATGCAGGGCCCTAAAAAAGTGCCCAAGAATATCCACTGAGAGACACCCCAGAGCTGCTCGACCCTTTTAGGGCCTCAGGGTGCCTGAGTTGATTTCTGTTGCTTGCAACCCAAGAACCTGGATTGATAAAGCAGATCACTTACTGGGTTTCACACTTTCTGCCAGACTGGCCGGCACTGCTTCCCAGTGCTGCAGTGCGGGGGCATCTTACAAATATTTTACAAGTTGGAGTCAGTGATCAGGGCATTCAGGGGCAGCCTGCATCTCCAAGAGCAGCCATCTTTCCACCCCAGGGAGAGAAACCCAATAAGAGACGTACAACAAGACGAAGACCCAAGGAAATCCCCTCCAGGACAACCCTCCCCTGGGGCGCCGTGGGCATGTTTGGTGGAACACTCCTGTGCATAGGTCAGTCAGCATCCCTGGCCCCCACCACTCATTGTGAGACCAACTCCCCATTTCTTTTCTTTCTTTTTTTTTTTTTTAAGACAGAGCCTTGCTCTGTCACCCAGGCAGGAGTGCACTGGTGCAATCTCAGCTCACTGCAATTTCCACCTCCTGGGTTCGAGTGATTCTCGTGCCTCAGCCTCCCAAGTAGCTGAGATTACTGGCGCCCGCCACCACGCATGACTAATTTTTCTATTTTTAGTAGAGATGGGGTTTCACCATGTTGGCCAGGCTGGTCTTGAACTCCTGACCTCAAGTGATCTACCCGCCTCGGCCACCCAAAGTGCTGGGATTACAGGCGTGAGCCACTGCGCCCGGCCAACCCCCCATTTCTGAATGCCTCCTGGGGGTGGTAGCCAGAGGCTGCACCCCTGACTCCCACAACCAAGTCTGTGTCTGGCAGTCCCTGTCAAGCAGTCCTCTAACTTGGATTCTGGCCTGGGTGGGGTGATTTTTTATTAGCCATCTTTAGACCTACAACATACAAATTTTAATTTTAATGACTAATTAAACCTATAGAGCCCTTGCCACAGGCCAGGAGCTGTTCTAAAGTTTTACATATAGTAACTCATTTAATCCACCAGTGACATCCACCAATGAAATGGGCACCATGACCAATATCACTCCCATCTTACAGATGGGGACCCTGAGCCTGGACACACTGTGACGTGCTGGTGGGTGGGGAGCCTCGACTTGCAGCCGTCTCCTCAGAGTTCAGTGGGAGTGAGGACTGGGGTGATGTGTCTAGGGCTTTCCAGTTCCCCCTGGAAGTGCTCTGTTCCCTCTCTGCCACCATTCAGCTCTAGGCTCGGCCTACACGGTGCCTCCTCGGGAAGCCCTCCTTGCCATCCTCCTTCCTGGTCCCCGGGTCAGGCCCTGGGTTCCGCACATTAATATGCTCTCCTCGCTCTCTCTCTGTTTCCTGTTTGGTATGTATCACAGCTGCAGTTGGGACTCTGAAGTTATCTGTTGAATGCCCAAGTCTCTTGCGTCCCCTCCAGGCTGTCAGTTCCACGACGGCCGGGATTTGCTTAACGATGTTCCTGTGTCCAGCAGCCCAGATCTGGAGTCTGGTAGGCACCGTAGAGATTTGCTGAGTAACAAATTAACTACTTTTTTTTGCATTTTTTGTAGAGGTGGGGTTTCACCATGTTAGCCAGGATGGTCTTGATCTCCTGACCTCGTGATCTGCCCGCCTCAGCCTCCCAAAGTGCTGGGATTAAAGGCGTGAGCCACCACACCTGGCCACAAATTAACTACCCTTTATAAATTCATGTTTAAAACTAGGATAAGGGAGAAGGGCTGGCCTAGAATAATGGGGAATGGAGAGATTCCACAAGAGCCACCTGTGTGTCTGATGGTGCTGTTGGGGAAGGGGATGTACCACTGGGTGTTAGAACAGAGGGAGGGGAGGCTGGGATGGCACAATCACGTCAACTCAAAAGTCATCATCAGTAACAAAGATTCACGAAATGAAAGCATGAAGGAAAACACAAACTCCTCTGTCCAGGCTGTCAAGCCTTCTGCTCCTGCATCTCACCCTCTGCCCTCATGACAGTACCGGCTAGAACCAGACTCTCTGTTCAAACCCCACCTCTGCCATGAATCAATACTTTTTTTTTTTTTTTTGAGACACGGTCTCACTCTTGTTCAGGCTGGAGTGTAGTGGCACAATCATGACTTGCTGTTGCAGCCTCAACCTCCCAGGCTCAAGTGATCCTCCCACCTCAGCCTCCTGAGTAGCTGGGACTATAGGCACGTACCACTGTACCTGGCTAATTTTTTTGTAGAGATGGGATCTCACCATGTTGCCTAGGCTGACCTTGAACTCCTGGCTCAAGCAATCCTCCTGCCTCGGCCTCCCAAAGTGTTGGGATTACAGGTGCAAGCCATCATGCCCAGCCACAAATAAGTAACTATATGATCTTGAGGAGGTCGATGAGTCCCTACACATCAGGAAAGTGGGGTATGGCAGGACCCATCTCATAAGGTTGATGAAAACAAATACTGCCAGGCACCCAGGAAGTGCTCAATAAAGTCCAGCTGTTACCAATGTTAGATCAGCATCATGACCCTTCAGCCTTTACAACCAGGACAATGGGGAAGTCACTTTGCCTCTGGGCTGCCCATGTCCTGTTAATTTGCTGCCGGAGGCCTGAGCTGCCCACTCTCTGTTGCTGATCTTCCTGGGACTCCAGGCCAACACATCAATCCCTCTTCTGCCTTGGGTGATCGAGGGTGGAGTCTGACACATAGAATCAAGAGTTCCAATATAGCATCACCATCCAGTCATCTGAGAAGCCAAACCACACATCTTACTGCACAGTAAAAAGGCACAGAGAGGTTGTATCAAATGTTTACCTCTCATAACTTCAACTAGGATCCCCTTACCCCTCACTAAAGGACAAATAATTTAAGCAGAACAGATACCCAGCATTCCACTTCCTAAGCATTTGCTCTGGTGTGAGTGTGGGATGGGGGACAGGCATACGCTACTCCCTCAGGCAGCCTCAGTTCTTCGTCATGCGAGCAGCACTCTCAGAGTGCTGAGAGGCGTTTTAGTGCTTCAAGATGCGCCCCCCTCCCGCTTTTTTTTTTTTTTTTTTTTGGCCAGGCACAGTGGCTCACACCTGTAATCCCAGCACTTTGGGAGACCGAGGTGGGTGGATCACCTGAGGTCGGGAGTTCGAGACCAGCCTGGCCAATATGGTGAAACCCCGTCTCTACTAATATAAAAAATCAGCTGGGCATGGTGGCAGATGCCTGTAACCCAAGCTACTTGGGAGACTGAGGCAGGAGAATCACCTGAACCCAGGAAGCGGAGGTTGCAGTGAGCCAAGATTGCGCCACTGCACTCCAGCCTGGGTGACAGAGCAATACTCTATCTCAAAAAAAAAAAAAAAAAAAGATGCGCTTTTTTTTCATACACCATGGTCCCCAAAGCCAAACTAACTCCTCTGGCAGGTGCTTATGAGAAGAACACGTGTTCTGACCTGGGTGAGAAAGTGGCTGCACAGTGTGTACTGCAGTACAGTATTGACTTCTTGTCCCCCAATACCTATCCTCCCCCCTTTCCTTTAATAACGGAACCCCTATATTTTAGCCAGGCACCTGATTGACTTGAATGAGGACTACATTTCCCAGCCTCCCTTGCAGCTAGCTGTCGCCATGTAACTAATCAGGATCACAGGGAAGGAGTGAAGGAAATGTGTGCAACTTCTGGGTCATGCTCTTTGAAGCAGGATAGAATTCAGGAGCTCCACTAATTTGGGGGGAAGGGGGCAGAATTACCTCTTTATTTTCACTAATCTCTAACAGAAATTCAGCATTTTCTTCAATTAGGAATATAGGCAAACTATAGTTTTCATGCTTACAAATTTGTCACCAACAGAAACCACAGGTATATTATCACATTGCAGTTTTGTTGGTTTATTTTGTTGAGGCAGGGTCTCCCCATGTTGCTCAGGCTGGAATGCAGTGGCACAATCACAGCTCACTGCAGCCTCAAAATCCTGGGCTCAAGGGATCCTCTCACCTCAGTCTCCCAAGTAGCTGGGACTACAGGTGCACACCACCATGCCCGGCTAAGTTTTTAAATTTTTTGTAGAGATGGGGCTTCAGTATGCTGCCCAAGCTGGTCTCAAATTCCTGGCCTCAAGTGATCCTCCCACCTTAGCCTCTCAAAGCACAGGGATTACAGGCATGAGCCACCACACCCAGCCCACAGTTCTTACAAACGTCTCAAAATAGCACTTATGCCCTTTGTTACTTTGGAATTATGGTAGTTAGATCTGCCAATGGATTTTGCCACACTATATCACAAATTTATCTTCGTATTTCAAAAACTACATTTTAAGACAATTAGTTTCCTTTGTCATCCTACATTTTATAAACTTAAAAACACAACTGAGAGAAAAAGATGTCAAAGGGCCCATGACACACACACACACACACACACACACACACACACACACTAGGTATCTCTGCCTTATTCCTAAAAAAGCTAAACATAGTTACCACATGACTTAGTAACTCCACTCTTAAGTATGTAGATATCCAAGAGAACTGAAAAATATCTTTACACAAAAACTTATATATGAATGTTTATAGCATTATTCATAATAGCTAAAACGTGGAAACAACCCAAAGGTCCATCAGGTGATGCCTGGATAAGCAAAATGTGGTCTATCTGTACAACAGAATATTATCCAACCCAAAAAGGAATGAAGTACTGATTCATGCACAACATGGGTGAACCTTAAAAACATGACACTCAGGCCGGGCGTGATGGCTCACACCTGTAATCCCAGCACTTTGGGAGGCTGAGGCGGGCGGATTGCCTGAGCTCAGGAGTTCGAGACCAACCTGGGCAACACAATGAAACCCCGTCTCTAATAAAATACAAAAGGAATTAGCTGGGCATGGTGTCACACGCCTGTAATCCCAGGTACTCAGGAGGCTAAGGCAGGAGAACTGCTTGAACCTGGGAAGCGAAGTAGCAGTGAGCCGAGATCGCGCCACTGTACTCCAGCCTGGGCAACAGAGCAAGACTCTGTCTCTGCAAAAAAAAAACCCCAAAAAACAAAAAACATGACACTCAGTGAAAGAAGCCAGACAGAAATGGATACTGCATTATTCCAATTACATGAAATGTCCAGAACAGGCAAATACATAGAGACAGAAAGATTAGTGGTGCCAGGGGCTGAAGGGATGGGAAAATCACAGGGCAGAATCAGGGAAGCGGGAATGGGTTCAGGGTTTCTTTTTGAGGTGGTGATCATGTTCTGCAAATAGATTGTTATGATGATTAAAGAGCCTGGAAAATACACTGAAAACCATCAAATGTTTTAAAAGGGCAAATATGCCAGGTGCAGTGGCTCACACCTGCACTCCCAGCACTTAGGGAGGCAGAGACAGGAGGATCACTTGAACCCAGGAGTTTGAGACCTGCCTGGGCAACAGAGTGAGACCCCATTCTCCAAAAAACAAACAAACAAACAAACAAACAAAAAAAAGCATGGGAGGTGGGGGAGGAATAAATTTTTAAAAAAGGGCAAATTTTAACACACATAAATTATATCTCAAAAAAAAACACAACTGCCTGAAAAAGAGGAGGTATAACCTCTCCTCTTACATCCTCCCCACCACAGGCCAGGCTGCACACATGGCAATAATGGAGAATCATTCTGGACCATGCAGATGAAAGCAACACCCCAGGAACAGGGAGCAACAAGACGGCAGGGGCCTGGGCTGCTCACTCTCAAACTGTTTCACAGGAGGGAAATAAACTGCCCTCGCATTTAAGCCACTACTATCCTGGGTCTGTTACAGCAGCCAAACCTCTACCTCACTAATACCCGACATCTTTAGAACGTGAAGGTAGTTGTGACTCTCTAGCATGTTTGCTTTACCCAATGACTGCTGAAGCTAACTCTTCTGAGATGCACCACCCATCCACGGCACAGCCTCCATGCCCTCCACATCCTGCAGGAGAGGAGGGTTCAACCGCCTTTGCAGTCATGCCAGTTCAGGGACCTCTTCCCTCTGCACAGAAGCTGAACGGATGGCTTTAGTGCGAAGAAAGAACTGTGGCTTTAGTGAGAAGAGAGCGGCCTGGAAAACAGCTTCCGGCTGCAGGAACCTTGACAAACTGCAGAGATTCAGAACGGTATCTGCAGCATGGGAGAGCTCCTTAGAGGTAGTCCAATAACCAAGTATTAAAATGCCTGTCCTGGCCTCTTCAGATAGGAGATGACTAAGAGGCTAATTAAAAATGTGTGTTAATCGTAGTACTCCACTTAACGTGGTGAAATTTTTATTGTTGGGAGATATACCATCTCCACTGGCCCCAAGACTCCAAAAGGAAAGTCACTTTGGGCATCACTAATACCAGCCAGCCTGAAAAAATATGGCTGCAGTATGAATTCATTTAACTTACGAGTAACATTTTCACTTTGAAATTTCACCGCCAGGGTTTTAAAAACTTCCGGCCAGACTTTGTTCCCTGCTCTAGTCCAATGACAAACTAACCAAAATTTTAAATGAGTAACAATTCTATTTCAACCACATTCATTTAATAAAGGTTTTTTGTTTTGTTTTGCACACCTAGTATGTACTGGGGATGCAATGCAAAGCAAAAATAAATAAATAAATAACAGGTCTGGGCTTGACCTCCTGGGACTCACAGCCAGCCCAGTGAGGAAGACGGGCATTAAACATGTAAAGACAAACATAACGTGTAATTAAATATTATGATAACTGCTATGAAGCTTTGCCAAGCAGGAATAACAAGCGGCCTAGTTTACATTCAGGACAGTCCAGAAGGGCCTCTTTGAGGACTTGACATTTAGGCTAAGATCTGAGGGATAAGAACGAGAAGGCTAGAAGACAAGCAGTCAGGAAAAGCATTTCAGGCATAGGGAAGGGCACACACAAAGGCCGGAGGAAAGTGTGGCATATTTGAGAAATGAATATGAAAGACTGGCTGGTGTGCAGTAAGCAAGGCCAGCACGGCTGCATCACGGGGGACCTTATAAGCCATGATAAGGATTTTTGTTTTTGTTTTTTATTTATTTGTGTTATTTTTTTTTTTAGACACAGTATAACTCTGTCACCCAGGCTGGAGTGCAGTGGCACAATCTCAGCTCACTGCAACCTCCACCTCCCGGGTTGAAGCAATTCTCATGCCTCAGCCTCCCAAGTAGCTGGGATTACAGGCACCCGCCACCATGCCCAGCTAATTTCTGTATTTTTAGTAGAAACAGGGTTTCACCAAGTTGGTCAGGCTGGTCTCAAATCCCTGACCTCAGGTGATCCGCCCGCCTTGGCCTCCCAAAGTGCTGGGATTACAGACGTGAGCCACCACACCTGGCCTATAAGGTTTTTTTCTTTTCTTTTTTTCTTTTTAACAGAGATGGGGTCTCTCTTTATTGCCCAGGCTGGAGTGCAGTGGCATGATCATGGCTCACCGCAGCCTTGAACAGCTAGCTCAAGTGATCCTCTCACCACAGCCTCCCTAGTAGCTGAAACTACAGGCATATGCCACCATTCCTGGTCAGGATTTTTGAAAGTTATTTTAAGCACTGGAGCATATTAGAGAGTAACTGATTTGTTTCCCCCTAGCAGCCATTGTCTCTGTTCCTAAAAAGAACACTATTTTCATTTGCAATCCAGATGATCCCCACTTTCAGGACATGATGTGTCAATGGGGTTCCACACCTGACCCAGGTCTAACTAAGCCAATCGACCACCTTCCCCTCCCTGGTCATAGCAATGGTTAACAGCTGGACACATGACCCAAGCCAACTCACAGTGAGCTTCAGAATTTCTGCAGAAAGTTCCACAAGAAAAAAAGAACTCACTCTCTCTTTTTCCACCAGACCTGATGTCAGGCCAGAGTTGCTGCAATCATAACTATCAGAGGACAACCAATTTGAGACTGGAACCAACTTGGGAGATCAAGGAGAAAAACCCAGCATTAGTAATAACATTATTTGAGCTCTGGCTCAAGCTGCACCTAAAGCAGGTTATCCCTGGACTTCCATCATGTTATCTCCATTTCCTTCGGACAGTTTGGGTTTGGTTTTCTTTTACCTGAGACTCAAAGACCCTGAATGCTAGAAATGGGAAACCACTGAAGGCTTTATACATGGGGTATATCACATGATTTCATTTCTGGCTTTGGAATGAAAACCAGAAATGGAATAGAGGAGGCAAGAATAGAAGCAGTGAGCTAATTAGGACTGCAATTGTCCCATTAAGAGATGAGGCCGGCCGGGCGCGGTGGCTCATGCCTGTAATCCCAGCACTTTGGAGGCCGAGGTGGGCAGATCACCTGAGGTCAGGAAATCGAGACCCTCCTGGCCAATATGGTGAAACCCCGTCTCTAACAAAAATACAAAAATCCGCTGGGCATGGCAGCGCGTGCCTGTAATCCCCGCTACTCGGGAGGCTGAGGCAGGAGAATCGCTTGAACCCGGGAGGCAGAGGTTGCATGAGCTGAGATCGCGCCACTGCACTCTAGCCTAGAGACAAAGCTAGACACTGTCTCAAAAAAAGAAAGAAAGAAAGAAAGAAAGAGATGAGGCCATCAGAACCCATTAATGAAACTAACATTTACTGAGCACTTACTATGTGACAGGAACTGAGCTAAAGGCTTTACTTGTATGAATCAATAACGTAAGTGGCTGGGCGCCAGGGCTCACTCCCGTAATCCCAACACTTTGTGAGGCTGAGGCGGGTGGATCGCTTGAGCTCGGGAGTTTGAGACTAGCCTTGGCAACATGGCAAAACCCCATCTCTACCAAAAATACAAAAATTAGCCAGTCACATAACCCAGTCTCTAAATAAATAAATAACTTTTTTTTTTAAAGTTTAACAACCCTAGTACATGGGTAATTATCATTCCTATTTTTTTCCATCATGAGTTGAACTGTGTCCCCCTAAAATTCACGTGTTGAAGTCCTAACCTTTGGTGTTTCAGAATGTGGCCTCATTTGGAGATAGGATTGTTGCAGAAGTAAAGTTGGGATCAAGTAGGGTGAGCCCCTAATCCAGTATGACCAGTGTCCTTATAAGAAGGGGAAATTTCCAGCCGGGTGCGGTGGCTCACGCCTGTAATCCCAGCACTTTGGGAGCACAAGGCAGGTGGATCATGAGGTCAGGAGTTCAAGATCAGCCTGGCCAACATGGTGAAACTCCGTCTCTACTAAAAATACAAAAATTAACCAGGCATGGTGGTGGGCGCCTGTAATCCCAGCTACTCGGGAGGCTGAGGCAGAAGAACTGCTTGAACCCAGGGAGGCGGAGGTTGCAGTGAACCGAGATCACACCACTGCACTCCAGCCTGGGCGACAGAGCAAGACTCCATCTCAAAAAAAAAAAAAGGGTGGGGGGGAACTTCCACATGGACACACACAGGGAGAATGCCACATGAAGATGAGGGCAGAGATCAGGGTGCTGCAGCAGAGGCCACGGAATGCCAAAAATGCCCACAAACCACCAGCAGCTGAGGGAGGGGTACAGGACAAAGTCTTCTTGATAGACCTCGGAAGGAACCAACCCAGCCCGAGCCCAGACCTTGATCTCAGACTTCTGGCCCCCTAAACTCTGAGATAATAAATTTCTGTTGTTTAGGCTACCGGGGTGTGGTACTTTGTGATGGCAGCCCTAATAAAACTGAGGTCCAGAGGGGCGAGGTCACCTGCACCGAATTCCCCAGCCACCCGTGGAAACTGGGCCTGTCCGCCCCAGAAGTCTGTGTTCCCAACCACTCCACTGTTGTTCTGCCCTCGCGGGAGCTGCTCCACCCCCACGCCTCCACGCACTCCTGTTTTCCACCTGCCAGACTGACATCTGCCTTTCCCTTCCCCCAGTGCCTGGACAGAGGCTGAGAGTAAGTGGGCATGAATGAGTGTGGGCCTTTGGAGGCAGCCCTGGAGTGGGACAGTTCTGAACAGTGTTCTAAACAGAAGAAAACACTGGGGAGGAGGGTGGAGGCGGATCAAAATCACCTCCCCATCCCAGATGGCTGGCAGGACAGGATCCAGTCTCTCCCATAACAGACTACAGAACAGAGCCTGCCCCAGATGGACGGTGCAGAGGGAGGTGGGCACGGCAGGAGTCATCCAGAAGCCACAGGAATGCTCCTGGATCCCAGATCAGGACTCTGAGACCCACCGCTCCATGCTGGTCTCATAACATTCCTCCAGCTTCCATGAACTGAGGCCCAGTAGCTCTCCACACATGGAGGAAAGGGAGCTCTGTCCAAACCTGTCCTTGCCATCATGAGCAAGTCACTGCAAAGCATCCCTCACTGAGCCCGAGGCAAGGGGACATGTGTGGCTGGCAGGTGCCCGAGGCCACTGTGGCAAGCTGGGAAGGACGGAACCTGCCAGCTCCCTGCAGTGCCGATTCCTCCTCCTGAGGAACATTTCTTCAAACAGATCAGTGTTTCTGGATGAAGGCTGCAGTGGGCAGCATTAAAATCCAAGTGGAATTAAAAACCAATTAGCACTTATTTCAGAAAAAAACAGCGGTGGATCACACGGCAGGGGAACAGGGGGATTCTGTCTGTGTCTAACCAAATGGTACTAGCAGAGTGGGTGGAGAACTGAGCCCGGCACACACTTTGGCCGTGCAAAATAATGTGATAGATCACAGACTGCCAATTCTAACATACACATTTCCCCCAAGTGCCCACCGCACACAAAGATCAGGAAGGTGGCAGGTGCTTCTGAGGTGGGCAGGAGGTGGCAATGCCCAAACACAGAACGCTGGGTCCCAGACATGAAGCCTGGAGAGACAGGGGCGTGTTTCAGGAGGGTTGACGTGGAATTTAATGTCACCCAACACCATTTGATGATACCGACATCAGAAAAATTCCAGATACAATTAAGGAATCTAGAATGCAGGGACTAGGGGTGGGGGCAGGGAGGTGGGTAGAAGACAGTCTGCTGTTCTTTTCCTCAACATTTCATGACAAAAAGTTACAAAGAAAATGTGAATCTAGAAGTTTAAAACAAAAACCAGGCCCAGAGCAGTGGCTCACGCCTGTAATCCCAGCACTTTGGGAGAACGACGCAGGCAGATCATGAGGTTAGGAGATTGAGACCATCCTGGCCAACATGGTGAAACCCCATCTTTACTAAAAATACAAAAATTAGCCGGGCATGGTGGCACGCGCCTGTAATCCCAGCTACTCAGGAGGCTGAGGCAGGAGAATCGCTTGAAGCAGGGAGACGGAGGTCACAGTGAGCCAAGATTGTGCCACTGCACTCCAGCCTGCCAACAGAGGGAGACGCCTTCTCAAAAAAAAAAAAAAAAACTAGAAATATAAAAAGAACTGATAAAATCATAATCCCTGTGGGAAGCAAACATATTTCTTTTCAGGAGAGTAACAGATAAAATTGACCAAAATTATGGCTAGAGAGAATCTGAGTAATACAAACTAGCAAATTTGATTTTAAAAGTTCATATAGAACCCCTTGCCAGAAAACAGATGAGATTAATTCTTTATAAACTATCCATGGGATGGCCATAAAAATTGATCCCATATTAGGAAAGAAATTTTCTTGAATTCCCCAAAACAGATAATTTTCTATCAGAATACTTTCATGCTAATGCATTTACATGAGAAATGAACAATTCTGGAAAAGGGTATAGAGAATTCTATCTAACTCAATGGTTCTCAACCTCAGCTGCATGTCACAATTACCGAGGGAGTCTAATATATGCTGATGTCCAGGCCTCACTCTCAGAGAATCTGATTTCACTTGACTGGGCATCTTACTTTTCAAGGTTCCCCGAGTCTATTTTATGATATTAAGAAATTACTATTAAATGCTGGCCGGGCGCGGTGGCTCACAACTGTAGTCCCAGCACTTTGGGAGGCTGAGGCGGGTGGATCACTTGAGGTCAGGAGTTCGAGACCAGCCTGGCCAACATGGTGAAACCCTGTCTCTACTAAAAATACAAAAATTAGCCAGGCGTGGTGGTGGCACATGCCTGTAATCCTAGCTACTTGGGAGGCTGAGGCAGGAGAATCACTTGAACCTGGGAGGCAGAGGTTGCAGTGAGCTGAGATCGGGCCATTGCACTCCAGCCTGGATGACAGAGTGAGACTCTGTCTCAAAACAAACAAACAAACAAACAAAAAGAAAGACAGAAATTACTATTAAATGCTTTAGCTGTGATAATTATATCACCGTTGTGTTTCTAAAGAGAAATTTTCTCCTTTTATCTTATTTTTTTGAGACAGGATCTTGCTCTACCACCCAGGCTGGAGTACAGTGTCATGAACATGGCTCACTGCAGTCTTGACCTCCCGGGCTCAAGCAACCCTCCTGCCTTAGCCTCAGACCACAGGCATGCACCACCATGCCTAATTTTTAAAAAAATTTTCTGTAGAGATGGGGTCTTGCCATGTTACCCAGGCTAGTCTCAAACTCCATCCTGTCTCCACCTCCCAAAGTGTTGAGATTACAGGTATGAACTACTGCATTCAGCCTCTTCTCCCTTTAGAACTATTTACTGAAATATTTATGGGTGAAGGGAAATATGATATATGGTACTTGCCTCAAAACAATGGGCTGAGGAGTGGGCAAAGTCAGAATATAAACAAAATAAGCTTGGTCACACCTGGATAATATAAACTCCACTTCTTATATGTTTGCAATTGTTCATACTAAAAAGTAAAATTAAAAAACAAAAACCAAACCCAACAACTCAAAAAGCTTCCAAATTGACTGAAATATGTAGCTAGAGCTACATATTTAAAGTTTGGAAATTTGGAAAGACTTCTGGGTATGTCTTAAATTAAAGAGAAAATCAAAAGTCAAAGCTGCTAACCAGACTTCTGGAATGGGGAAGTGGAGAGGAGCTCAGAAAAGTATTTCCCACCAAAATCAACAATGAAAGTAGACAGAATTGCCAAACACAACCATTTGAGGATTCTAGAAATCAACCAAAGGCATATAACTACCCAAGAAGCAGTTACTCAAAAACTCAATAAATAAACGCTGAACTTCAAGTAAGAACAGTGGGAACATGTGGCGTTTAATTTGGGGTTCCTCCCATCACACGCACCAGCTCCATCAGTTTGACCAAGGCAGAGCAAGCCATGAAAACTTTGTGGCTGGACTGGGGCCTAGTGCCAAACAAATGGGGAAGACCAACATCACAGCTAGACTGTGGTTACGATCTGGCTGGAGCCAGCAGCAGGCCTGTAGACCAGCCAGAAATTTAGCAGGAAGATCCAGGGAATGAGATAGCCACACAAGGCCTTGGTAAGGTCCCATGCAGCCCTGCTGGTCTGGAACAATGTGCATATATACAAGGTTGCACACAAGCTCCAGAGAGACTAGAGGGGGCCCTTGCTGTCCACACATCCCTGGCCCAACATGAGGCCTTGAGAGTGTGCAAGGGAGACACCAGATGGCCAGGCAGAAAGTAATGGCTGGGGCCGACTCAGGAACTGCTTGGAAAAAAAAAAGGAAGAAACTGAACTTTGAAAATATTCCCCAACCCACAGACACAGATCCATTGGCAAAGGATGGAAGCTTTATTGGCTCAAGGTGTTTCAGCACAACCTTTAATCTGACCACTAAACCATGCTGAACCAAAGGCAACCCCTAGTAAGTTATGCTTAAAATTAAAACAATTTTTTTAAAAGAGAAAAGAGTCTATACCACAAGGGGACAAACTCCAAAGAATTAGCCCAGGATACTCAGTAAACAAAACAAAAGGAGAAAAATGGCAACGGCAACCATGGCCTGGAAGGTAGAAATCAGAATCCACAGCTGCTACAGTGTATGATCTAAAATGTTCAGTGTTCAACAACAAAACAAACTGAGGCTGGGTGAGGTGGCTCACGCTTGTAATCCCAACACTCTGGAAAGCCAAGGCAGGAGGATCGCTTGAGCCCAGGAGTCTGAGACCAGCCTGGACAAGATAGGAAGACCCCATCCCTACACGTATGCATGTGTGTGCACACCCTCGCCAAACACACAAAGCTGGGCATGGTGTTGCATGCCTATAGTCCCAGCAACTCAGGAGGCTGAGGCAAGAGAATCATTTGAGCCCAGGAAGTCAAGGCTGAGAAGAGCCATGATCCTGCCACTGCACTCTGGCCTGGGCAACAGAGTGGAACCCTATCTCAAAAAAAAAAAAAAAAAAAAAAAGGCCGGCTGCAGTGGCTCATGGCCAAGCACGGTGGCTCACACCTGTAACCCCAGCACTTTCAGAGGCCGAGGCGGGCAGATCACCTGAGGTCAGGAGTTTGAGACCAGCCTGGCCAACATGGGGAAACCCCATCTCTAGTAAAAATACAAAAATCAGCCAGGCGTGGTGGCGCAGGCCTGCAATCCCAGCTACTCGGGAGGCTGAGGCAGGAGAATTGCTTGAACTCCGGAGGCGGAGGTTGCAGTGAGCCAAAATCGTGCCACTGCACTCCAGCCTGGGCAACAGAGTTAGACTCTGTCTCAAAAAAAAAAAAAAAGAATGAAAGAAAAATTGTGAGACACACAAACAGTAAAATGTGACCCATACTCAGGAAATGAATCAGTTAATAGAAATTGCCTTCTAGACGGCTTACAAGTTACATTTCAAACAGCTATTATAAGTATGTTCAAAGATAAATAAAATAACATTTAAAGAATTAAAGGAAAGTAGAAATAATAAATAGAAATTAGAAAAAAAGCAATGGAAATTCTGATAACTGAAATAAAAAATTCACTAGAGGGGCTCAACGGCAGATTTGAAAAGAACCAGTGGGCTTAAAGATAGATCAAAAAAAGTATATAATCTGTACAGAATTTAAATAATCTGTAAGAAAGATTGAATACGAATAAACAGGCCTTCAGAGACATGAGGGACATCATCAAAGGCATCAAGACAGACATAATGGGAGTCCTATGAGAGGAGAGAGAAAGTGCCAGAAAAAAAAATCTGAACAAGTAATAGCCCAAAACATCCCAAATCTGATGGAACACATTAGTTTACACATCCAAGAAGGCCAAGAAACTCCATATACAATAAATAGAAAGAGAGCCACACTGGACACAACGTAGTCAAATTGGTTTTCGTGTTGTTTTGTTTTTAAACATAGTCAAATTGTTGAAAGACAAAGACAAGGAGAAAAGCTTCAAAGTAGGAAAAGAAAAAGTCTACACACAGGGAGCATCAGTACAAATGACAGCTCATTTCCCACCACAAACAATGGAGGCCAGAAGACATCAGGATAGCATTTTCAAAATGCTGAAGAAAAAAAAACTGTCAAATAAGAATTCTATAGCCAGCAAAACTATCCTTCAAAAATCAAGGTGGAGAAGGGCACAGTAACTCATGCCTGTAATCCCAGCACTTTGAGAAGCCCAGGTACGAAGATAACTTGAGGCCAGGAGTTTGAGACCAGCCTGGGCAACACAGCGAGATCCCCATCACTAAAGAAAAATTTTAAATTAAAAAAAAAAAAAAGGGTTGGGCACGGTGGCTCACACCTGTAATTCCAGCACTCTGGAAAGCCAAGGCGGGTGGATCACTTGAGGCCAGGAGTTCAAGATCACCCTGGCCAAGATGGTGAAACCCCATCTCTACTAAAAATACAAAAATTAGCCAAGTGTGGTGGCGGGTGCCTGTAAGCCCAGCTACTCAGGAGGATGAGGCGGGAGGATCCCTTCAACCCAGGAGGTGGAGGCTGCAGTGAGCCAAGGTCACACCACTGCACTCCAGCCTGGGTGACAGAGCAAGACTCTGTCTCAAAACAAAAAAAAATATATTTTTTTTTAAAATTGGCTGGGTGCAGTTGCTCATGCCTGTAATCCCAGTACTTTGGGAGGTCAAGGTGGGAGGATTGCTAGGGTCCAGGAGTTCAAGACCGGCCTGAGCAACATGGCAAAACCTCATCTCTACAAAAAATTTAAAAATTAGCTGAGTGTGAGGCTGGGCGCAGTGGCTCACGCCTGTAATCCCAGCACTTTGGGAGGCCAAGGCAGGCGGATTGCAAGGTCAGGAGATCGAGACCATCCTGGCTAACAAGGTGAAACCCCGTCTCTACTAAAAATAAAAAAAAAAAATTAGCCAGGCGTGGTGGTGGGCACCTGTAGTCCCAGCTACTCGGGAGGCTGAGGCAGGAGAATGGCGTGAACCCAGCAGGCGGAGCTTGCAGTGAGCCAAGATCATGCCACTGCACTCCAGCCTGGGCAACAGAGCCAGACTCTGTCTCAAAAAAAAAAAAAAAAAATTAGCTGAGTGTGGTGGCGCGCACCTATAGTCCCAGCTACTCAGAAGGCTGAGGTGGAGGATCGCTTGAACACAGTAGGTTGAGGCTGCAGTTCAGTGCACTCCAGCCTGTGCTACAGAGCAAGACCCTGCACCAAAATCAATCAATCAAGGCAAAATAAAGGCATTCCCAGACAAAGACTGAGAGAATTCACTGCTAGAAGATTTGATCTGTAAGAAATATTACATAAATCCTTTAGGCTGAAAGGAAAAGAGGCCATATAACTCCAATTTACAATAAGAAAGAAAAAACATGAGAAAAGGTAAATACATGGGCAAATATAAAAGATGGCATAAATACATTTTTTCTTTTCTTCTCGACTGATTTAAAAGATGTAAGATTTCATAAAATAATTATAAAACCATACTGTGGGGCTTGTAACATGTGACAATAATAACACAAAAGAGGGAAAAGAAAATGAAACTATATTAGAGCAAAATTTCTATATTTAACTAGAACTAAGTTTTAATATTAATCTGAAGTAGGCTGTGATAAATTTAGACGCATGCTGTGATCCCTAGAGACCCAATTAAAAAAAAAAAAAAAAGAAAGTTTTTTAAAACCCAACAAAATAAAAATGAAACACTAGAAAATATCTGCTTATCAGAAAGACGGCAATAAAGGGAGAATAAAAGGAGGAAAAAAGATGTGAGGCATACAGAAAACAGCAAAAATGACAGATGTTAATCCAAACACACCAACAATCACATCAAACGTCAATGAATGAAATTTACCCTTTAAAAGTGTGTAATTCACCATCACCACAACCTGAGCTTAGAAAATTTTTATCATCTCCAAAATAAACTCTGTACTCCTAGCAATCACTTTCCATTTCCTGTTCACAGCATCCCCAGCCCTCAGCAAACACTAATCTATTTTCTGTCTCTGTAGATTTGCTTACTCTGAACATTTCATATAAATGGGATGAAGCAAGATGTGCTCTTTTGGGTCTGGTTTCTTTCATTCATGTGTGTTTCAGGGTTCATCCATGTTGTAGTCTGTATCAGTACTTCATTCCTTTCTATGACAGAGTAATATACCATTGTGGGTCTATATCGCATTCTGTTTAGCCAATTATCAGTTGATGGACATCGGGTCATTTTCACTTCTGGGGTTACGAATAACGCTACTCTGAACATGTATGCACAAGTAATTATGTGAACATATATTAGTATTTGAGTATATACCTAGGAGTGGAATTGCTGGATCATATGGTAACTCTATGTATATATTTTTTTGAGTAACTGCCAAATTGTTTTCCAAAATGGCTACACCATTTTACAATCCCACCAGCCATGTATGAGGGTTCCAATTTCTCCACATCCTGGCCAACACTTGTTATTGCCCATCATTTTGGCTCTAGCCATCCTAGTTGGTGTGAAATAGAATCTTGTGGTTTTGATTAGCATTACCCTAATGATAATTATATTGAGCCATTTTCATGTGCTTATAGGCCATTTGGATGTTTTGGAGAAAGAGCCATTCAAATCCTTTGCCCATGTTCTATATTGGGTTGTTTTTATATTGTCAAGTTGTGAGAGTTCTTTGTATATTCAGCACATAAGTCCTTTATAGACATGATTTGCAATTATCTTCTCCCATTCTACGGTTTGTCTTTTTATGTTCTTGATGGCATCCTTTGCATCACAAAAGTTTTAAATTTTCATGAAGTCCAATGTGTCTATTTTTTTCTTCTGTTGTTTGTGCTTTTGTTCTTTCTTCTGTTGTTTGAGCTTTTGTTCTCACCTAAGAAACCATTGCCTAACTCAAGGTCACAAATATATAATCTTATGTTTTCTTCTAAGAATTTTATAATTTTAACTCTTACATTTAGGTCTATGATCTACTTTGAGTTAATTTTTGTATATGGTGTGAGGTAAGGGTCCAACTTCATTCTTTCACATGTAGATAAACATTTGTAGTTTTTGTTTTTTGTTTTCAGACAGGGACTCACTCGGTTGCCCAGGCTGGAGTGTGGTGGCACAATCATGGCTCACTGCAGCCTTGATCCCTCTGGGCTCAGGTGATCCTCCCACCTCAGCCTCCCTGGTAGCTCAAATTACAGGTGCACACCACCATGCCCAGCTAATTTTTTATAGAGCAGGGTTTTGCCATGTTGCCTGGGCTGGTCTCAAACTCCTGGGCTGAAGCAATCCAACTACCCTGGCCTCCCAAAGGGCTGGGATTGCAGGCATGAGCCACCATGCCCAGCCTATTTGTAGTATTTTTGCAACTTCTTGTGAGACTGAAATTATTTCAAAAGAAAAGGTAAAAAAAACTTTAAAGGACTGAAATCATACAAAGTGTGGCATCCTATCTCCAAATATCTCCACTAAATAAGATACTTTTTAGGCCAGATATGGTGGCTCATGCCTGTAATTCCAGCACTTTTGGAGGCTGAGGCAGGAGGACTGTTTGGGCCTGGGAGTTCAAGACCAGCCTGGGCAACACGGCAAAACCCTGCCTCCACAAAAATAAAAAAAAAATTAGCCAGGCATGGTGATGCATGCCTATAGTCACAGCTACTCCAGAAGCTAAGGTGAGAGGATCACTTGAGCTCAGAAGTCGAGGCTGCAGTGAGCTGTGATTATGCCACTGTACACCAGCCTGGGCAACAGAAGACTCTGTCTCAAAAAATAAATTAAATTAAATTAAAAATTAGCTGGGCATGGTGACATGTGCCTATAGTCCTAGCTATGCAGGAGGTTGAGATGGGAGGGCTGCTTGAGCCCAAAAGGCCATGATTGTGCCACTGCACTCCAGACTGGGTAACAGTGAGATCCTGTCTCAAAAGAAAAGAAAAAAGAAAAAAAAGAAAAAAAAATTCCATTCACAATAGCATAAAAAAAATACATAAGAATAAATTTAACATAAGTGTAGACTTGTACACTGAAAGCTACAAGCACTGAAAAGCTGAAAGAAATTAAAGACAATCTAAATAAACAGAGAAGCATTCTTTGTACACAAACTGGAAGACTAAACATTAATATGGCAATTCTCACCATATTGACATGTAGAGTCAACACACAGTCTATCAAATCCCAGCAGGCTTTTGTGCAGATATTGACAAGGTGATCTGAAAACTTGTCAGTATGCAAAGGACCCACACAAGCCAAAACAATTTTGGAAAACAAAACAAGGTGAGGACTTAACACTTCCCGATTTCTAAAGTAACTTTAAAGCTACAGTAATGAAGACTGTGGCACTAGCAGTAGGATAGACATTTAAACCAATAGATCAGAAGAAACAAACCCTTATATTAATAATCAAATGACTTTTACCATAGTGCTACCTAATTCAGTGGAGGAAAATGGTCTTTTTTTCAACAAATGGAGCTGGGATAATTGGATATTAATACGCAAAAAGATAAATTTAGGCCCCTTATGTAATACACAAAAATGATATCAAAATTAATGATAGATTCAAAGGCAAGAGTTAAAAGTATGCAACTTCTAGGAGAAAACATGAAAGAAGAACTTCATGATACTGGGTCAAAGAGTTCTTAAATATAATACCAAAAGCACAATCCATAAAAGACTAATTGATAAACGGAATTTCCAAAATTAAAAACTTTTATATTAGGGTGGGCGTGGTGGCTCACACCTGTAATCCCAACACTTTGGGAGGCCAAGGTGGGCGGATCACTTGAGGTCAGGAGTTCAAGACCAGCCTGGCCAACATGGCGAAACCCCATCTCTACTAAAAATACAAAAATTAGCTGGGCATGGTGGCGTGTGCATGTAATCCCGGCTACTCAGGAGGCTGAGGCAGGAGAATTGCTTGAACCCGGGAGGCAGAGATTGCAGTGAGCCGAGATTGTGCCACTGCTCCAACCTGGGTGACAAGAGTGAGACTCAGTCTCAAAAAAAAAAAAAAACAAAACTTTTATACTTCCAAAGGCATGACTAAAAAAATAAAAATATTTTCTGGGAAAAAATATTTGCAAACTACATATCTGATGAGTGTTATCCAGAACATATCAAGAACTCTTACAACTCAATGAAATAACAAGATTAAGAAATAGGCAAACAATACAAATACATATTTCACCAAAGAAGATACACGAATGGCCAATAAGCACATAAAAAGATGATCAACAGCATTAGTCATCAGAGACATGCAAATCACAACTACAATGAGATACCACTGCACACCCACCAGGATGGCTGTAACAATAAGCGTTGGTGAGGATAAAGAAATACTGGACCCCAGCCAGGGGCGGTGGCACGCACCTGTGGTCCCAACTATTCAGGAGGCTGAAGCGGGAAAACAGCTTGAGCCCAGGAGTTTGATACTGTAGTGCGCCATGATCACGCCTGTGAATAGCCATTGTACTCCAGCCTGGACAACATCATGAGACCCTATCTATGAAAATGGCGCAGCCACTTTGGAAAACAATCTGGCAGTTTCTTAAAAACTTAAACAGAGTTACCAAATGACCCAGTAATTCCACTCCTGAGCAGAAATGAAAACATGTCCACACAAAGACCTGAACATAAATGTCTATAACAGCACTACTCATACTAGCCCAAACTGGAAACAATCCAAGTATCCATTAACGAATAATGGTAATGAAATTATCCATTCATGGTTAACGAATAAACAAAATGTGGTTTACCCATACAATAGAATATTATTCAGCAATAAGAACAAATGAACGACTGATATGAGCTATCACCTGGAGGAAGCGCAGAAACATTATGCTAAGTGACGGAAGCCTGGTACAGAAAAGACTACATACTGTATGACTGCATGTATTTGAAATGTTCAGGAAACGCAAATCTACAGAGACAAAGAGCAGGTTAGTGGTAGCCTGGGCCTAGGCGTGGAAGCAAGGACTGCCTGCAAAGAGGTACAAGATGGATATCTTTTGGGGTGGTGGTAATATTCTAAAACTGGATTGTGGTGATAGTTATGCAGCTTCACAAATTTACCAAAAACAGCTGAATTGCATACTCTTTTTTTTTTTTTTTGAGACAGAGTTTTGCTCTTGTTGCCCAGGCTGGAATGCAATGGTGCGATCTTGGCTCACGGCAACCTCCGCCTCCTAGGTTCAAGCGATTCTCCTGCCTCAGCCTCCTGAGTAGCGGGGATTACAGGCATGTGCCAACACACCTGGCTAATTTTGTATTTTTAGTAGAGACGGGGTTTCTCCATGTTGGTCAGGCTGGTCTCAAACTCTCGACCTCAGGTGATCTACCCACCTCGGCCTGCCAAAGTGCTAGGATTACAGGTGTGAGCCACCATGCCTGGCCTTTTTTTTTTTTTTTTTTTTTGAGAGACAGCATCTCACTCTGTCACCCAGGCTGGAGTGCAGTGGTGTGATCCCGGCTCACTGCAACCCCCGCCTCCTGTGTTCAAGCAATCCTCGTGCTTCAGCTACCCAAGTACCTGGGACTACAGGCATGCACCACAATGCCTGGCTAATTTTTGTATTTTTAGTAGAGACAGGGTTTCACCATGTTGTCCTTGCTGGTCTCGAACTCCTGGCCTCAAGAGATCTGCCTGCCTTGGCCTCCCAAAGTACTGGGATTACAGGCATAAGCCACTGCGCCCAGCCTGAATTGCATATTCTGAATGGGTGACTTTTATGGCACGTGTGTATATATACACACATACAGGCGGTGGTGGTGACAACTTCTGTAACCTAATCACCTCTGGACTTCCCACTCCATATGAAACCGCCTGGTTCTTAAAGCCGAGAGGCTTCACGCTTGGATGTGCTTATCACTAGGGGTTTACGGAAACTTAACAGATACAGGAGTATCTTGAAAACAGTGTTTTCAAGGGAAGCAATGTTCAGATCCTCAACATCCACAAGTTCCTCTTCCTAAAACTGATCTGGCTGCAAACCAGCCTGTCTCCTTCCCCACTGCCCACCCGCTGTTGTGCACTCCCCCATTTTCCCAAGGAGCACGACCGAGAGGTGTGTAAACCTCCAGGACTCCAAACACACAACATCAATATTGGTTTCGGGGAAGTAGCCTTTAGTGAACAATAAAAAGCTACTTAAACCCCCAGACTTGCCTGTCTTTCCCTGACTTAAGTATCTTTCTGCCAAACATGAAACTGGGCTTTAAAAATAGGATTTTCTGAACCATAGTAGGATCATGAATGTCAAAGCAGTATAGGTTAGTGGCTCTGATTTGTTCAAAGGGAACATTTTTCAGGACCACTGAATTTTTCTAGATCCACCAAGAAAAAATTCCCAGGGAAAAATTTACATGATTGCTTTCAGCTTCTGTGTACTTTACTCAATAAGGTAGTAAAAACTTTTTTTTATCTAACCACATCATAAAATATTTCAATTACATTCGACCTTCAAAATGTGTACTATTTTCTTCTCCCACAAATAAGACAAATTTAAAGTTACCATAAGCTTATTTTAGATGTTAGCTTTACAGTGTACAAGGAGGTATACAGGGGCTTATCAAAATTCTTTTGGGGAGGATGCAAGCAAAAATGTTTAACGATGATCAGATTAAATTTGAATAATCCTGGCTAACCCATGCCCTAATTCCTGGTGGCTGAGCTGTAGGAACTCAGCATGGGGCACAAATTCTGGGGAAAGCAAGATTTCAGACAATGGCAAAATCACACGTGCCTGGGGGTACAGCCAGCAGCGAGGAGTCAGTCAGGCCTCACAGCCCCTTCTTTCCCAGCTTTCAGGGGCCTCAAAAGCAAAGCTGCTCAAGGGAAGATTTGAAAAGGGATTTTCTGAACCGATAGGTCAATTCAAAAGATTTCCTTTCATTCGAGTAAAAGGGCTTTCGCCCCTCCTTCACCTCAAGTAAGTTTGGCACGCATGCACACACATACACACACACACACATGAGGAATGCATTCACCTTAAATTACCTTGAACTAAGTCAGTGATTACCCTCTTGAATATTTCCCACTATTAGCAAAATTCCTCCTAAGAGCAGACTTTGTTCCGAATTGGTCATGAACTCTATCCAGCTCTTTCCAAAGTTACCTGGGGAGGTACACACTGGGTCAACCATTATCCTAATAAAGTGCACAGATCTGACCAAATTCCTCCTGAAACATGATGCGATACGCCAGGTTTAGCGGCCAGTGTGCAAGGCTGGGTCATGGGCAGGAAAGGAATGTTTTTTTCCAAAGAGGAAAAAAACTGCAGACTTAAACTCTACTTTCATTCATTTGAGAAGGATCCTGGGCCCCCTCTATGGATAGGATTGTAAGCTGAGAATGCGGGTTCACGCCATTCTCCTGCCTCAGCCTCCTGAGTAGCTGGGACTACAGGCCTCCGCCACCACGCCTGGCTAATTGTTTTTGTATTTTTAGTACAGACGGAGTTTCACCATGTTAGCCAGGATCTCCCGACCTTGTAATCCACCCACCTCGGCCTCCCAAAGTGCTGGGATTACAGGCGTGAGCCACCGTGCCCGGCCAAGAATCCTCTGTGCATACACACACTCTGAAGTGTATGCAATCACCCAGGATGGTGTTCAAAATGCAGATACCCAGGCCTCAGGCCCCAAACCAGAATCTCCAGCAATGTGGAACAGAGCTGCTGTAT
This sequence comes from Homo sapiens, assembly GCF_000001405.40. Classification (NCBI taxonomy): domain Eukaryota; kingdom Metazoa; phylum Chordata; class Mammalia; order Primates; family Hominidae; genus Homo; species Homo sapiens. The sequence goes on along the minus strand of NC_000019.10, from coordinate 37,952,821 downwards.
TTTAACAAGTTCCCCAGGCCAGTCTGTTGATCACATAAAGCTAAGAACCGCCACTCAGGAAAGTCTAGCAAAGTGGTTCTCAAATATCTGATTCATACAAATCATTTCTGGAGAATTATTTATTTATTTTTATATTTTATTTTATTTTTGAGACAGAGTCTCACTCTGTTCCTCAGGCTGGAGTGCAATGGCACGATCTTGGCTCACTGCAACCTTCACCACCCGGGTTCAAGGAATTCTCCTGCCTCAGCCCCCTGAGTAGCTGGGATTACAGGTGCCTGCCACCACACCTGGCTAGTTTTTGCATTTTTAGTAAAGACAGGGTTTCACCATGTTGGCCAGGCTGGTTTTGAACTCCTGGCCTCAAGTGATCTACCCACCTCGGCATCCCAAAGTGCTAGGATTACAGGCATGAGCCACTGCGCCTGGCAGAGAATTTTTTAAATTTAAATATAGATTCTAGGGTCCACTAAAATTACTGTATTACTTAGGACTCTTTCGGTTGCAAGTGGCAGAGACCCAATTCAAACTGACTTGAGGGGAAAAAGGGCCAATGTTTTGGCTCCCATTACTGAGAAGTTCAGTTACCCAAAGAATTTGTCTGTAATGAATTATTTCCATCTCCTTTCCACTCGACCCTCTGAGCAAAGATGGTCCCCAGGCCCCCAGCAGCATTAAGCTTACACTCTACAACTTGGCACCTCCATAGGAAGAAAGCTCCTCTTCTTTCCTGGGAGCTCCAGAGAAAGACCTGTCTTAATTCTGATTGGACTGACTCACCTCCTCCCTTCCTTGAACCAATCCCTATGGCAGGAAGATAAGGAATGACCTGAACTGCCCAGGCTACTCCTAAGGCATTTCTAAGTCCAAACCAGGTAGACCAGGACATTCCACAACAGTGGGGCTTTTTTTTTTTTTTTTTTTTTTTGAGACAGTCTTGCTCTGTCGCCAGGCTGGAGTGCAGTGGTGTGATCTCGGCTCACTGCAGCCTCCGCCTCCTGGGTTCAAGTGATTCCCCTGCCTCAGCCTCCCGAGTAGCTGGGACTACAGGCGCCCGCCACCATGCCCGGCTAATTTTTTGCATTTTAGTAGAGACGGGGTTTCACTGTGTTGGCCAGGATAGTCTCTATTTCCTGACCTCGTGATCCGCCCACCTCAGCCTCCCAAAGTGCTGGGATTACAGGTGTGAGCCGCTGCGCCTGGCCCGGGGCTTTTTTTAAGTTGTTTTTTTTCCCACTTCTGTTTCTAAAACTTCCTTCTAGAAAATGTGAAAAATATACAAAAGTTTAAAGAGGAAGATGAAAATAATCTGTAAAGAGGAAGATGAAAATAATCTGTAATCATCCTACCAACTAAAATTTTTAGATCTTCACACTCAAAGCTGTGCACATGAGCACTGGTCTCCTGATTAGAATCCTATTCTGTACAAAGGATGACACTGTGGTTGAGTCTTCATGACAATTCTCCCAAAACTGAAGATAAACATTGTAGTCATTTTCATGTTTGTTCAGCCAACACTGGTTTGCTTCCCTTTTCCAGTTAATTTGCTCTTGTTTGTAACCCCTCAAGATGTGGGTATTTCCTAAGAAGAATCTCTGGATCACAGTACAATTATAAAAATCAGAAAGTGACAGCCTTACGGTACTGTGATCTAACGGACAGACACAATTCCAGTTTCAAGGGCATATTCCAGATTCCCTGCCATATCCCCAGTGCCTGGGGTAAATAATAAATTGCACACAGCGGTCTCAGTAAGTGAACGGACGGGATGGAGGAAGAGCAGTTCCCAACAGGAAAACCCCAAAAGAATGGTGAATGGTTGTAGGGCGGCCAAACCAGCAGATGATCTTCCTCTCCACCTGCGGGAGCAGATGCTCCAGGAGTGAAGCCAGAGAATCCCAACTGTTACCAAGATTCCCCAGGTGATGCCAACCCACAGCCAGGTTTAAGAATCACCGTCTGGGGAATAGATATAACCAGACACAAACACAGCATTTCCCCAGAAGCTTCTTCCAGATCTGCCTTTCACAAGAGAAGAAGGAAAAGTGCCGCATGCCGGGGTACTGGGGACAGGCGGATCAGACCTGGGAGGGCTCGCAGCGGAGGGAGCAGCAGACGGGCTTGTGGGGAGCAAGCGCCAGTCTCGGCACAGAAGGGCCCCGCGCAGCCTTCATGACAGAGGCGAGGCAGGCCCTAGAACCAAGCCCGCCATCAGCTCGCGTTCAAGTGTGATCAGGAGCTGGGGCTGCACTGAGCAGGGAACTTGGGATCTCTTGAATTTCCAGTCGCCCCAAATCTCAGACGACAAACGTACATCCAATGATCGAGCCCTGTAAGCTCTTTCTTGTCCTTACTACGCAGATGAAGAAACCAAAGCTGTTACTCACTTGGGCAAGGTCACAGAGCTGAGATCAATCCTACGCTCTTTATTCCCAAGTCCTATCTTGAACTGTAGAGCACCATCCGGCCTCAGGAAGGAAAAGTAAGGATGACAACGATGATGATGAAAACTAATACTTTGAGTGCTTACTGTGTATCAGGCTCAGACTGAGTCCTTTACCTAAGTTTGTCTAATGCTCTGAACCACACCCTGAAGTAAAAGGCTTTAGCATCCTCATTTTACAGGTGAGAAAACTGCAGCCCCAAGAGTGAGGTGATGAGTCCAAGGTCACACAGCTAGCAAGTGGCAGAGCTCTGAATCCAGACAATGTGGTCACACTCTTTTTTTTTTTTTTTTTTTTTTTTGAGACACAGTCTGGCTCCATCGCCCAGGTTGGAGTGCAATGGCGCCATCTTGGCTCACTGCAACCTCTGCCTCCCGGGTTCAAGCGATTCTCCTGCCTCAGCCTCCCGAGTAGCTGGGACTACAGGCATGCACCACCACGCCCAGGTAATTTTTGTATTTTTAGTAGAGACAGGGTTTCACCATTTTGGCCAGGATGGTTTCAATCTCTTGACCTTGTGATCCGCCTGCCTTGGCCTCCCAAAGTGCTGGGATTAAAGGCGTGAGCCACTGCACCCGGCCAATGTGGCCATGTTCTTAACCATGATATGATGTTGCTTCATATGAGAAAAGGGAAATGTACCCTAGGCCAGGACAGCAGGGGAGTGGGTCTTTCAGGCTTCCTAGAGTCCCCTCTCCAACTTTTTTTTTTTTTGAGACAGAGTTTCTCTCGTCTCCCAGGCTGGAGTGCAATGGCGGGATCTCAGCTTACCGCAACCTCCGCTTCCCAGGTTCAAGCGATTCTCCTGCCTCAATCTCCGGAATAGCTGGGATTACAGGCGTGCGCCACCACACCTGGCTAATTTTGTATTTTTAGTAGAGATGGGGTTTCACCATGTTGGCCAGGCTGGTCTTGAACTCCTGACCTCAGGTTAGCCGCCCACCTCAGCCTCCCAAAGTGCTGAAATTACAGGTGTGAGTCACTGTGCCTGGCCTTATAGTCCCCTTTGAATGAAAACTGTGCATGTACACAGGCACGGGTGGGATGGCCATGCTTATTCTCCAGCCATAGCTCACTGGATGAGAGGTGACCATCTGTGGTTGCGACCTGGAAATCCCATAAAAGAAGGAGCAATGAGGTGGCCAAATGCCTGGAGAAACCCAAAGAGAGAAGAAAGCAGAGATAAAGAAGAGACAGAGATGGGAGATGGAGACAGAAAATCGCCTAGGCCTCAGGCCTATCGATCCTGATGCCAGGAGACAGTGCAAGTCCTAGGCCTCAGGAGGCATCTCACAATTCTTTGAGGCTTAGGTGGGTCTAAGGTGGGTTTCTGTTATTTTCAACCAAAAGAACCTAAGGTCCACCTGGCTCCCTCTCTGATGCCATCTCCTGCCATTCTCCCCCGCTGCCCTCCTGCCACAGTGGCATCTGTGAATTGCTGGGAACAAGCTCTGGAAGCTCCAGCCTTGGGGTTTGCATCTGTGGTCCTGCCTGGAATGTGCCTTCCACGGCTGGCTCCTTATCTTTCAGGCCTTGACTCAAAGGCAACCTCTTTAGAGGCCTGCCTTGGTCACTTCTAATAAAACAGTAGCCTCCCTCAATCTCTAGCACTTCTCACTACATAACATTACGTCATGTATCTGTTGTATCTAGGATCCACCTGCCTTCTAGAATGTCAGCTCCAAGAGCGTGGGGGCCGTGCCTGTCCTGAGCCCTAACTGTGGCCCCAGCACTTGTGTGCCATGGCATAGGTGCTCAGGAAATACCCGAGTGGTATCTGCCTACCCACATTCTAAGCACACCTCCTGGGAACTTTCTTCCTACCTTTGGAAACAGAGGAACAATGACTAATATGTATGTGAGTGTTTACTATGTGCCAACCACTCTTCTTTTTTTTTTTTTCTTTTTTTTAAGACCGGGTCTCACTCTGCTGCCCAGGCTGGAGTGCAGTGGCACAATCACGGCTCACTGCAGCCTTAACCTTCCCAGGCTCAGGTGATCCTCCCACCTCAGCCTCTCGAGTAACTGGGACCACAGGTGCATGCCACCATGCCCAGCCAATTTTTGTATTTTTTGTAGATACAAGATTTCATCATGTTGCCCAGGCTGGGCTCTTCTCAGCACTTTACATAAACCAATTTAATCCACTGTGAGGTTTTTTCCCCCAGGATGAATTAATAGCCCCAGAACATTGCCTACTGCTGCTTGTTCTCAATTGTGCTTGATGTCAGCGTCTTCCCTGGTTTGGCCCAGCCATGGGGACAGAAGAGTCTTTCATGACACTTCCGCTGCCTAAGTGGCCACCATTAACTTAAGGGGATTCAGAAACATCCTGGTCACTGCCTAGCCAGGGCCCCGTGGAGGGGGCTCCTGAAGGATCAGACATCTGAGACGTCCACGCCTGCCAGCAGCCTCCACTGGCATCTGACATTGCCACAGAAGTCTTGGCCAGGGCAGAGGCAGAGAACAGGCCTAAAACATAGAACTCCAGCATAGGGAAAGTGCTGCAGGCTGTTACAGGTGGACAAAAGGGAGATTTGGCAAGAAACTGCAGGAAAAACTGCTGAAAACATATTACAAATAAGGGGGCTGGTTATTAAATAAATCTGCAATATTTCCAGCCAGGCTCTGCCCCATCCAAGCTGTGAAATGTCACGCAAGAAACGACACCTCTTTGTGCTTCGGTTTTCTTGCTGTGAATGGGAATATTATCAATCTGCTTCATTGAGTTACGGCAGGAGACTAGAAAGGTAAACTTGACAGACCAGGGCCTGGCTCACAGTAAGTTTGAGTTTCATATTAGTGGGAAAGAACGGATTATTTAGTCAGTAGGATAGGGACAACTCATTGACTACTGAGGTGGGGGAGTTGGACTTTTTTTTTTTTTTTGATATGGAGTCTCACTCTGTCGCCCAGGCTGGAGTGCAGAGGCGCAATCTTGGCTCACTGCAACCTCTGCCTCCTGGGTTCAAGCAATTCTCCTGTCTCAGCCTCCTGAGTAGCTGGGACTACAGGTGCCTGCCACCACACCCAGCTAATTTTTTGTATTTTTAGTAGAGACGAAGTTTCACCATGTTAGCCAGGATGGTCTCGATCTCCTGACCTTGTGATCCGCCCGCCTCGGCCTCCCAAAGTGCTGGGATTACAGGCGTGGGCCGCCATGCCTGGACGGATTTGTTTTTAAGAGACAAGGTCTCACTCTGTTGCCCAGGCTGGAGTGCAGTGGCGCAATCCCAGCTCACTATAATCTTGAACTCCAGGGCTCAAGCAATCCTCCCACCTCAGTCTTGCCAGTAGCTGAGACCACAGGTGTGCGCCACCACACCCAGCTAGATTTTTTATTTTTTGTAGAGGTGGGGTCTCACTATGTTGCCAAGGCTGGTGTCAAACTCCTGGCCTCTTGGCCTCAAGTGATCCTCCTGCCTCTGCCTCCCAAAGTGCTGGGATTATAGGCGTGAGCCACTGCGCCTGGCCCAGGAGCTAGATCTTTATCTCACAACCAATTCCAAAATAAATATCAGATCCTAGATGTAAAAACAAAGCCGTAAAATAACTAGGAAGAAAATATTTATCTCATCCTAAAATGAAAGCCAAAGCATACATAAAACAAGCAAAACAAAAAACACAAAGGAAAAATAGCTCTAACAACACAAAAATTAAGAAGCCTCTGAATGTTTAACAAAAAAAAACTAAAAGATAAACAATTTAGGAATATAAATTTGCAACATAACAAAATGATTCATATCTTCAACATGTAAAGAAATCTTCCACAAATTAACAAGAAATAAAAATACCCCCCAGAGAAATAGGTAATTAACTAGGAAATACATGATTAATAAACAGATACATATACAATAAACTTCACCAGAAATCAAATAAATGTAAATTATTAGTTACTTTGGTAACTTTTGGTTACCCAAATAGCAAAGATTAAAAAGCATTCTGGGCCATGGATGGTGGCTGATGCCTGTAATCCGAACACTTTGGGAGGCCGATGGGGGAGGATCGCTTGAGGCCAGGAGTTCAAGACCAGCCTGGGCAACAGAGCAAGACCCCATCTCCACACACACACACAAAAAAAAGTGTGGGGAGGGAAAGAAGCAGTGTGAGCCCAGCGTTGGTGAGGATCCAGGAAACCAGAACTCCTGTACTGGACCCTTCCGGAATACAAGTCAACAATAAATATCACAAGTCTTTATTATTATTATTATTTTTTTTTTTTGAGACAAAGTCTCGCTGTTGTCCCCCAGGTTGGAGTGCAATGGTGCATTCTTGGTTCATTGCAACCTCTGCCTCCCGCGTTCAAGCAATTCTCCTGCCTCAGCCTCCTGAGTAGCTGGGATTACAGGCGCTTGCCACCACGCCAGGCTAATTTTTGTATCTTTAGTAGAGACGGGGTTTCACCATGTTGGCCAGGCTGGTCTTGAACTCCTGACCTCAGGTGATCCTCCCGCCTTGGCCTCCCAAAGTGCTGGTATTACAGGCGTGAGCCACCACGCCCAGCCACAAGTCTTTAAAAATAGACACTCTGTTTCAGGAATTGCAACTCTAGGACTTTGTCCCAAGAAAAACTTAAGAAGCAAACAAATGATTTTTGTGTGTGAGATGTTCAGAGTTCCAATAATGAAAGATGGGAACAGCCAGTATGTTCAACAACAGGCAACAAATAGAGTGGAATGCTATGTAGCCATTAAAAAGAATGCCACAGACCTTGACCCACAGACACGGGGGGATCTCTTAAGCTAGACTACTCAAGTGTAATCTGCAGGACGGCATACCTAGAGTATGTCTATAAAACAAACTGCGGTACTCACATAGATGTATAATAAAAAAAAATAGCTGGCTGGGCGCGGTGGCTCACACCTGTAATTCTAGCACTTTGGAAGGCTGAAGTGGGCAGATTGCTGAGCTCAGGAATTCGAGACCAGTCTAGGCAAAATGGTGAAACCCCGTCTCTACAAAAAATACAAAAAAATATCAGCCAGGTGTGGTGGTACACGCCTGTAGTCCCAGCTACCGGGAGGCTGAAGCAGGAGAATCACTTGAACCTGGGAGGTGGAGGTTGCAGTGAGCCGAGATCGCACCACTGCACTCCAGCCTGGATGACAGAGTTTTGACTCTGTCTCAAAAAAAAAAACAACCTAAGACATGAGTACAGACAGTCTCTGACTTGCAATTTTTTGACTTTACCATGGCACAAATGGCTGCAATTTCAATGTACTTTGCATTTTGAACTTTTTCCAGGCCAGCAATAAGCAGTACATGAGATACTCAGCACTTTACTATAAAATAGGCTTTATGTTAGATTATTTTTCCCCAACTATAAGCTAATGCAGGTGTTCTGAGCACATTTAAGGAAGGCTAGGCTAAGCTATGATGTTTGAAAGGTGAGGTGTATTGAATGCATTTATTTATTTATTTATTTATGAGATGGAGTCTCGCTCTATCACCCAGGCTGGAGTGCAGTGGCAACAACCTCGGCTTACTCCAACCTCCGCCTCCAGGGCTCAAGTGATTCTCCTGGCTCAGCCTCCCGAGTAGCTGGGATTAGAGGGACCTGCCACCACGCCCGGCTAATTTAGTACTTTTAGTAGAGATGGGGTTTCACCATGTTGGCCAGGCTGGTCTCGAACTCCTGACCTCAAGTGATCTGCCCGCCTCAGCCTCCCAAAGTGCTGGGATGACAGGTGTGAATGCACTTTTGACTTAAGGGTAATTTCAGCGTATAACAGGTGCATCAGAACATAACCCCATCAAGGATCACCTGTACTTAACAAACATGCTAGGCACTATTCTTTTACATATTAATACATTAACAGGGTAAATCCTTAAAAGCCTATGAGGTTGGGATCATCACCATCATTTTAAAGATGGAGAAATCAAGGCACAGGGAGATTAAGTAAAGGCCCAAGTTCACACAGTCAGTACACAGCAATACTAGGACTTGAACCCAGGCACCCTGGCTCTTAACAAACAATCCACTGCACAGACCAAGACCTGGAAGTGTGCACTTAATATGCATCTGGGCAGGACCTGGGGGCAAAGCCAGGCCACTAGGTCAAGACAATGAAGCAGATCTTCATGCTTTTTTTTTTTTTTTGAGACGGAGTCTCACTCTGTCACCCAGGCTGGAGTGCAGTGGTGCGATCTCAGCTCACTGCAACCTCCACCTCCTGGGTTCAAGCGATTCTCCTGTCTCAGCCTCCCAAGTAGCTGGGATTACAGGCGCATGCCTCTGCACCTGGCTAATTTTTTTTATTTTTAGTAGAGATGCGGTTTCGCCATGTTGGCCAGGCTGGTCTCGAACTCCTGACCTCAGGTGATCCGCCCACCTAGGCTTCCCAAAGTGCTGGGATTACAGGCGTGTCCGGCCCATGCTTTCTCTACATACTGCTCTGCTGTTGGAACGGGTTACAGCCAGCGTGTGGCTTCTGTACATTTTAAAGCAGTAAAGATTTTTTAAAAACACTTTTAAAAAATTGATCAACATACAATCCTTGTCAAGAGGCCTAAACGCAAGCAGAGGCAGCACCAAACTCAACATGACTTTCCACAGGAGACCACGCTAAGAGAAGGAGGTCACACCTCTTCTGAGAGGACACCAAGTAAAGCCATTTGGCTGGCTGAGGTGTCACATACAACACACACCCTGTGAGTGGTGAGCTCCCTTTACAGCTGGAGTTCTGGAGAAGGTGATAAGGAGGATTTGATGGGTGAGAACACTTTCAGCCCAATCAGTTAAGCAGGCTCAGGGCTCAAAGTCCAGGGCCTAGATGCACACCTTATCTGGGCCTCGTGTAAAGTGGTCAGCAATCGAAAGTCCCCGTTTTCTGCCCTGTAATAATTACTGTCATAAAAGGTGTGTTGGAATCCAGGTTAGTGGGAATGGTGAAAAGGCCACTGATGTGGATTTGATCCCCTCTTGACTTCAGAAATGTATGACACTGACATTTGGCTCCTCCTGGACACAGGCTGTGTCAATACCATGAATTAACAGCTGTAGTTGGAGTGAGGGAGAAGAAGAGAGCGTGGTCGGACTGTGGGTGGGGCTATCCACGTTCCAATCCAGCCCCAACAGCCTATGTGACAAGGATTAAGGACTTCACTTCTCTGGGCCTCAGTTTCTTCGGGGTTGAAATGGGCATTAAGAGTCTACCATATGAGGGCTAGACGAGATGTGTGTAGTAGAAAACCTCAGCTCTTGGCCAGGCAGAGTGACTCACGCCTAGAATCCCAGCAACTTTGGGAGGCCAAGGCAGGAGGATCACCTGGTGCCAGGAGTTTGATACCAGCTTGGGCAATGCAGCAAGACCCTGTCTCTACAAAAAAAAAAAAAAAAAAAAGAGAGAGAGAGAGAGAGAGAGAAAGAGGCTGGGTGTGGCTCACGCATCTAATCCCAGCACTTTGGGAGGCCGAGGCAGAAGGATCACTTGAGGCCAGGATTCCAGACCAGCCTGGAAAACCTGTCTCTACTAAAAATACAAAAATTGAAAGAAAACCTCAGCCCATGTTAAAGGGGACTGGGGCTATCCTTACTACCACAAAATCCTGCAGACCAAAGCCTGAACCCGCTGGTAAACCTTTCAACCCACTCACCACCCAGCATGACCAATCCCTAAACAAGTTCTGTTGGGCCACCCACTTCTTGTCCCCATTGCCACCACTCTCATCCGGGACTCTACTTCTCTCCTCACTGCAAAACAGGCTGCCCCTCACTGCCCTACTTCCACTCCCACCTTCAATCTATGCTCCACGCCGTAGCCAGAGGGCATGGGAGGACACTCTGAATCAAACCCACACCCTCACCAGGCTCCCCCGCCACCCCCGTCTCCTGCCCTCCCCCTCCTTCCCACCCCCACCCCACACTCCTTCACACGTCAAACTCATTCCAGCCTCAGCGCCTTTGCACCTGCTGTTCCCTCTGCTGGGAAAGCTCTTCCCTGATCTTTCACAAGGCTGGCACCTTTGCATACCACTCCACTCTCAGCTGGCATGTCACCACCCCGAGGAGGCTCTCCCCCAACGACCCCAGTTTTCCAGCCTCCCACAATCCCTTCTACTTCCAGGCGTGTCTCTCTCGCCATTCTGCTTTCCTGACTCCACAGCATTATTCATCCCCATCTGGAATTATCTTATTAATCTGTTTACTTCTTCCTTGACTGTGTCCCCCAACCTAAACAATGAACTCCAGGAGGACAGACCTTATCGGGCTCCGTCCCCGGCACTGGAAGCATATGTGATGTTCAGTAAATATTTGCTGAATGAAGAAGTTAACAATGGAATGAATGAATGAGTTTGCACATCACTGCACAATAAATCTTCTGCCCCCAGGAGGAATGTGTTGTAATCTCTAGCAGCAAAGAGGCCCTTAGATATCGTGCAATATAATGAATAACTGATCCCAAAGCATCTAAATGATTTCAAGCGTGCTACTGCTCTCAAGAATTTATGACCCAGACAACAGTGGCTGGGGTCAGGGCTCGCCCCTGGCCAGGTTACCAGGGCTTGCCTCTGCAATGGAGTAGAGCCCTTTATTGTTCTTTTGTCTAGGAATGGAGTTTCAGATCAGAAGAAATCCAAATACTCAAAAACCTCTTGCCCCAAGCATAAAGGACTAATTCCTTGGCGTAGAGCAGGAACTCACCAAAGACTATAAGGTCTGACAATGCACGACAGGGGAAAGAGAGAGAAAGATGGGAATGTCCACAGTCTCATTACTTCGACAAACACCCGCAAGGCCCCACCCGGTCAAAGGTAAGGCCTGGAGCAGCCGTGCCCACACAATGAGATGACTGGACTGGTTCATCTGTTTATTGGCAAGCTCAGGACAGGGTATGAGCAGTGGTGGAGACCGGCAAATGTCAAATGAATGAACATAAAAACAAGGAAGATTTGAATCTCTGCAGGAAAAAAAAAAAAAAAAAACACACAACAGATTAGAAACCACCAGCCCAATTGTTCAATAGTCATTTCTAAGGCAAACAAAAGTTCAAAAGAGCCAGTACCCTCAGGATAACTGAATAATAGATGAGGGGCAGGTTCTCTCTAGAGGAATAGTCCCACTAATAAATGAAGAGGTGGACAGAATTACAACAGCACAATTTTTGTACACCCCAAATGAAATAATGGCTCTGAGCAATGGTCATCCACGGCCACTAACACCAATACAGAAAGGGGCCCCCAGCTTTACATCCCTAACGGATACACAGCAACACCTAGGAGGACGGCTAGCCCTGCCTGCCAAAAAAGAAACAGTGTGTGTGTGTGTGTGTGTGTGTGTGTGTGTGTGTATGTGTGTGTGTGTGTACATCTCAAACCTGAAATTCACCTACTCTGCAAATCCAATGATTCATTTATAGGAAACACAGAGATAGAAGAATAAGTTAAACACTGCAACAGGGATATGATCGGTCAGATCCAGGCCTGATCATATACAGGACAAATGACATGGCCTTTCTGAACATATAAACTGCAAGAGAAAAACAAAGAAAAATCAAGCCAGGTGTGGTGGCTCACTCCTGCAATCCCAGCACTTTAGGAAGCTGAAGTGGGAGGATCCTTTGAGGTCAGGGGTTTGAGACCAGCCTGGCCAACATGGTGAAACCCTGTCTCTACTAAAAATACAAAAAAATTAGCTGGGCGTGGTGGTACATGCCTATAATCCCAGCTACTAAGGAGGCTGAGGTGGAGAATCGCCTGAACTCGGGAGACGGAGGTTGCAGTGAGCTGGAGGGAGGGAGAAGCCATAGATTAAATGAGGCTTCACACGCAGATGAACCAACTCCAATGGTGAGCCCTGTTGGGTCCTGATTGGAACAAACCAATTCTAGAAAGATATTTATGAGATGATCTGAGATGTTAACACTGTGCGGATACCAGATGATGTAAGCAATTAATGTTAATTATTGTCATGATTAAAATGGTCTTCTCATTATGTCTTTAAAGAATCCTTATCTTGCAGATACTCAACTATTTAGCGTTAAAATAATACAGTAGAGGGTGGGTGGTGGTGGATATAGAAGAAAACAGAGTGGTCATGAGTTAGTAAGAGGTAAAGCTTTTTTTTTGTTTTTTTTTTTGTTTGTTTGTTTTTAGGCAGGGTTTTTTTTTAGCCTGTCACCCAGGCTGGAACGCAGCGGTGCAATCTCGGCTCACTGCAGCCTTGACCTCCTGGGCTCAAGCAATCCTCCTGCCTCAGCCTCCCAAAGTGCTGGGAGTACAGTTGAGAGCCTCTATGCCCAGCCTCCTTTATTTTTCTTCACACCCCTTATCTCTGACGCACTAAGTAACTGACTTGCTTACTATCTAGCTGCTCTTTTAAAATACGAGCTCTGCAAGGGTGGAGACCCCGTTTGCTTTTCCATTACTCTCTTCCCAGTTCCCAGAATAGTGCCTGTACAAAACAGGTGCTCCATAAATATCTGTGTAATTAATCAAAGAACCAAAAGTGGGGAGGGCATCATCTACAGGTACCATCCTGGTGTCTGATGGCTCCTTTCAGCTCCACTAGGGAACACCTCAGAACTAGTGACATTACCGGCTGCCTACTCCAATATTGAGTCTCCCCTTTTCACTTAGCAATCAAATCTAAATTTTAGCTAAGAATAAGGCCATGGGAAATAAAACTACATTTCCCAGGTTCCCCTGCAGCTACATATAGTACTGAGATTAAATTCTGGGCAAAGGTGTAAGCAGACTTGCTGTGTACAATTTAAGTCTCCTTTTTTCTTACTTGCCTCCTGGGACGTAATGGCTAGAGCTTGGGCAGCTGTCTCATACCATGAGGTGGCAGGATACAGGTGGTGGAGCCAGAAGGTGGAAGCAGCCTGGGTCCCTGATGAGAACACAGGCTCGCCTGTCTATTACGGGGCTCCTTTACGTGAGAGAGAAATAAGCTATCTTGCTTAGGCCACTGTCACTTTGTTGAAACTAAATTATATGCGGTTGAAACTAATCCTTTTTTTTTTTTTTTTTTTTTGACATGGAGTCTCACTCTGTCGCCCAGGCTGGAGTGCATGGTGCAATCTCGGCTCACTGCAGCCTCCGCCTCCTGGATTCAAGCAATTCTCCTACCTCAGCCTCTTGAGTAGCTGGGATTACAGGTGTGTGCCACCATGGCCAGCCTGTAGTTGAAACTAATCCTAACAGATACATCTGATACCAAAATGCAACGGCACAGTGGGTAGAACAGGTATAGTCAGTCATACATCTGTACTAACATATACAAATGCCCAGAAGTTGAGGACTGTTTCAAAGAGTGGATCACTGTGAGCTGGAGGTACACAAAAAGGTATCATGGAATTGGGGGGAGAATAGCAGGGGAAAGAAAACAACTACAGAAAGGATGACCCGAGGATCATAAACTTTTATTAGGTTAAATAGGCTGCCACCCCAGGATTAGTAGCCACAGTATATAAAGAACACCTACAATTCAATAGGAAAAAGAAGCAAAAGTGGCCGGGCACTGTGGCTCACGCCTGTAATCCCAGAACTTTGGAAGGCTGAGAAAGGCGGATCACCTGAGCTCAGGAGTTTGAGACCAGCCTGGCCAACATGATGAAATCCCGTCTCTACTAAAAATACAAAAATTAGCTGGGTGTGGTGGCAGGTGCCTGCAATCCCAACTACTCGTGAGGCTGAGGCAGGAGAATTGCTTGAACCCAGCAGGTGCAGTTGCAGTGAATCAAAATCACACCACTGCACTCCAGCCTGGGTGACAAGAGTAAAACTCCACCTAAAAAAAAAAAAAAAAAGAAAAAAGAAAAAAAGAAAAAGAAGCAGATGTGATGAGCAAGCAATATCCAGAAGGAGAAACATGAATGAAAAGATATTCTGCCTTACTAGTCTTCAGGGGTAAATTAACCACAATGAGATTTCATTTCCTATCCACTAGGCTGGCAAAAGTAAAAAAGTTTTACAAAACCAAATGTGACAAGGATACAGAATAAAAGAAACTCATCCTTGGTGGGATGTTTAAAGAGCAGCTCAGTAATATCTGGCAAAGCTAAAGATGATCACAACCTACAATCCAGAAATCTCATGTCCAGTACATACCTGAAAGAAATGCTTGTCCATGTGCACCAGGAAGTGTAACAATATTCACAGCAGCCTGTGAACAGCAAAAAATCTGAAAACAAAATGTCCATTGGCATGGAAATGCCTAAAACAAAAACATGGTATATTCAGCCAGTGGAATACTCACATGGCAGTAAATAAAAATGCATGAGTCCCAGTGGTACCAGTCTAAATCAATGTTAGAATCATAATATTAGCTGAAAAATGCAAGTCTCAGAAAACTATGTACAGTATATCTTTTTCTTTTTCTTTTTTTGAGGTGGAGTCTTGCTCTGTCGCCCAGGCTGGAGTGCAGTGGCACCATCTCAGCTCACTGCAACCTCCGCCTCCTGGGTTCAAGCAATTCTCCTGCCTCAGCCTCCTCAGTAGCTGGGACTACAGGTGCGCACCACCACACCCAGCTAATTTTTTTGTATTTTTAGTAGAGATGGGGTTTCACCATGTAGGCCAGGATGGTCTCAATCTCTTAAGCTCATGATCTGCCCACCTCAGCCTCCCAAAGTGCTGGGATTACAGGTGTGAGCCACCGTGCCTGGTCTTTTTTTTTTTTTTTTTTTTTTTGAGACAGGGTTTCACTCTGTCGCCCTGGCTACAGTGCAGTGGCACGAACCAGGCTCACTGCAGCCTCAACCTCCTGAGCTCAAGCAATCCTTCCTCCTAAGCCTCCTAAGTAGCTGGGACCACAAGTGCATGCCACCACACCTGGCTAATTTTTAAAAATTTTTTTGTAGAGATGAGGTCTTGCCATGTTGCCCAGGCTGGTCTCAAACTCCTGGGCTCAAGAAATCCTGCTGCCTCAGCCTCCCAAAGTGCTGGGATTACACACATGAGCCACCACACTCAGCCATATTTTGATAAAGTTCAAAAATCATTCTTTTAAAGCAAAGAATAATAAACACAAAATTCAAGATGGTGGTCACTTCTGAGAGAGCAGGCAGGAAAGTGAATGGGAAGTACCACATAGGTACATGTAAGTTACTGGTAATATTCAAGTTCTTGGGCAAACAGTGGGCTAACGGCTGTTCATTATGATAGATGAATATTTTTTTCATGGACCAAAAATGCCAGTGTATCATGCACCACGCATTATGATTAATCCAATTCTGTGTGTCCAAAGGCCATCTTTAAAAAGTTAATACAGGCCAGGTATGGTGGCTCACGCCTGTAATGCCAATGCTTTGGGAAGCCAAGGCAGGAGGATCACTTGAGCCCAGGAGTCTGAAACCAGCCTGGGCAACATAGCAAGATCCCATCTCTACAAACAAATGAAAAAAATTAGCCAACCATTCTATTCCAGCCTAAGTGTCACAGTGAGACCCAGACTCTCAAAAGATTTTAAAAATTAATGCATTTAGAAAGAGGTGAGGAAGAATATATACTAGGTTACTGACAGATGAGACCAATGAGGCAGGAAGCAGGAGTGGAGGGGATGGAGTAGTAAGTGGTTTTTGTTTCATGTTTTATTCTGCTGTCAATTACATATTCATTTCAACAAGAAATGTTTCCTGTAATTAACCAAAGCAGTATAGCCAAATGGTTCAGTACATGCCTCCAGAGCCAGACCAGGAGAGACTGCATCTCAACTCCACCATGCCCTTGTCAGAGGAAATATGGCAAGTTACTGAACCTCTCTGTGCCTCTGTTTCTGCCTCTGAGAAGAGGGGGTGATAACAATGCCCATTTCATAGGGCCACTGTGAAGATTCACTGAGTTGGCTTATGAAAAGTATTCGTAACAGTTCCTCTACACAAGGTAAGCCCTTAATGAGACTGGCTACTATTCTTATCATTAGACTAACTTCGAACACTGATATGAGAGAGGTGAGCTCAGCAATGATCTGGTCAATGTCTGCAAATAATCCTGCACACTCTTACAGTCTTTGGGAGAAGCCCAGTGCCCTGCCCATGCCAGGAATTTACTAAACAGTTGATAAGTGAATGTATGCTGTCTCTGTTTACCCACCACTTCTGTGGCTGTCTGGATGGAGTGCTGGCAGGTGAATGCCCAACATGTCCACTCTCCGTCTTCTTCCTTATTGACCCTTTGCTCAGGGTGGCAATGGGCCCAACTGAAAAACTGTAGATGTCCTTGCAGCAAGGAGTGGCCATGTCACAAAGTTCTAGCCAAATAGTCACAAGCAGACGTCTGCTAAAGATTTCAGGGAAGGCTTTGGCTTCTTGATACAGGTGCTGTCTCCTTTCCTTAGAGCCCTGGTTCTGCCTGCCCATCACAAGGATATCAGGCTGGAGGTAGAGCAACCATTTTATGAATATGAGGCTAAGGATGGTGACCTGGAGCAGCAGAGAGAGGGTAAGGTGAGCGTCACCTTAGCCTGCTGAGCTCTGCACTTCTTACATGAGAAAATGAACCCCATGGTAGCCAGGATAGAAAGGTGCCCACAGTGGACCACACCTCCT
The DNA here is from genome assembly GCF_000001405.40 of Homo sapiens. NCBI lineage: Eukaryota > Metazoa > Chordata > Mammalia > Primates > Hominidae > Homo > Homo sapiens. The sequence continues at coordinate 37,935,885 of NC_000019.10, read as the reverse complement.
GGAACTTGTTTTGTGATATCCCTCCCATACTGAATCTGGGCTGACTCTTCAACTCACATTAACTAACAGAATGAAGTAGAAGTGATGTGGAGCCAGTTCTAAATCTATGCCTTAAGAAGGCTCACAAAAGCCCTCAGCTGCCGTGTTATAAGTCCAGCTACAGGCTGGCCAGGCCACATGAAAGGAGAGGTCCCAAGACTATGGACAGACATGGACCCAGCCATTCCCAAGGTGCCATTTCAGTAAAGCCATGTTGAATGTTCCAACCCCATCCACCCTCTGACTGCAGCCACATAACAGACCCCAAGCAAGACCAGCAGAAGAACCATCCTGCTGAGCCCCAGTCAACCACAGGTTCACAAGAAATAAGAAACTGCTGTCATTTTAAGGCCTTAAGTTTAGGGGTGGCTTGTGGTGCAGCAATAGACAACTAGAACAAATCTCTATCTGGGTACAACGCTGTACAAGTTTCCTGAACACAAGCATAGTCCCTAACTAAAGTGCCACCTGAAAAAGAAACACACAATCAATCACAAATCCCAACAAAAATCTCTTGCACATTCTGATTTCCAACCAAGATTGTTAATATGAAAAAACATGAACTGTCCTTTCACTCTTATTTCATAATAAGTACATTAAACACAACTAATCTGGCTAAGTGTGATGAATCTATTAATTATTCTAATAATAAAAAAGCATTTAAAAAATGCTTTTTGGTTCAACACAGTGCTGGACTTGGTGAGAACCCTCCAAAAATACATCTTCTATCTGGACGAGAGGCATCATTGCACTACTGTTACTTCATATTCATTCTCAAAGGCCTAGAACTTAACAAGGTGGCCAAACAGGTTGGACATCTGCAATCTAATTAAAGAAGGTTATCAATAAAAATAATAATTTGTGGGAAAAAAAAACTCTAGGAGAAAAGGGAATGCCTATCAGTGATGTCTTGGCCAAATCAATTATGGTGCATCCACACCACTGTGTGTTACGCAGCCACTAAAAAGAGCAAATCTCAGCACTATGCAAGGACTCAGAGGCATTCCACATGGCACTGCTATGTGAGAAGAGCAAAATGCAAGAAAATAAGTGTAATATTATCTCCTATAGGATTATATAACCATGGAGAAAAATGTGGAAAGATACATACAGTCCTTGATTGTTACCATGGGTGAAGGATTGCGGGAGGATGCTGACACAGGGGTGGAACCAGGGTCGGGGGTGGGCACAAAAAAGGACAGACCGAAAATATTAAAAAGGGGCTTGAAAAGAATTCTTAAAAAGAATTGTCTTTCTTAAATCTAATTTGCTATCTATGCACTAGACACAGCACTGAGTCACCTGATCTCACTTTGACTTCTCGTTTAATCATCTATTAATTATCCCCATTTTCCAGATAAGGAACCTGTGGCCCAGAGAACTACTGTGCCCACAGTGTTGGGGCTCAGGCATTACATGAAATAAGTGTAATAGGAGAGTCCTCAACTCAACCCCAAACTCCCGCACTGGGAGCTCAAGGGACATATGTGTTAAATGTTGCAGAAGAGCTTCCCTCCTGCTCTGCACATTCTTAAAATAGCAGCAGGTCCTGACATGCGATGATGTATGCTACAGCGGCGCGAAGTCCATCAGCACCTCAGTCCCCTGGTGCCTCATGCTGGGAGAAATCCAAGAAGGCCACTGACCTCACTCATGGAGCTCAGGGAAGCCCTGCCCAGGATATTTTTACAGAATCAATTGCTGACACCGGGAGCTAGAAAATAGATGAGGACGTGTCAGCTATTACACGGTCAGATTCTTCGCGCTCACCATTTAATTAAAACTTGTTCAGCCCCAGAGCAAGAATTATTACCCATTAAAGCAGGGGAGATGGCTCAACTGTGCCTGGCTGGTTAATTGCTACTTCCCAGGCACTCCCTGGCCTCCCCCTGCAGGAACAGCAAGCAGGGGCTGGAGATACATATGAGATGTGTGTATATGGGTGGTATCTTCCACACAGTCTTCTCCACCTAAATGAACCTGACATCCTCTCCACTTACTAGGCCAAGCTTTCCTGTTCCATGCCACAGGCACCCAGGCTGCCCAGATGAGTCACTACCAGGCCTGGGCTGCACAGACTGCAGGGGTTGCAGGACAGGAAGGCAGAGGGCTGGATGCTGCAGGCAGGTGCCAGAGAGCCACTGGGTGACCAGGGGGAGGCATCTGCACATGCCGCCTCACCCACAGCCACAGGTTCCTGGAAAAGCTGACACCCTCCTCAAACCCCAAACGGGGCTGGCCACCCATCCTTGGATCATGTTGCACCTGATATAAATTCATTCATATCACAATTTAGCCCGCATCTACCACGTGCCAGGAACGGTTCTACAAGGATGGACACAAAAGTGCCTGTGCTTCTATGGAGCCTAGAGCTGGGAAGCAGAGCATAGACAAAATATGTCAAGTGGAAGTAAATGCTATGAAGAAAAATAAAGCAAAGAGTAAGGGCGAGGGTGAGGGAGAAGGTGCAATTTAATAAGGAGAGAGGCCTCATGGAGAAGGTGACATCTGAACAGAGACTTGAGGGAAGGAGGGAGGGAGGCGGCGCTGGGGAATTCTAGGGGAAGTGTTGCAGGCAGAGGGAACAGCCAGGGCAAAGTCTCCGAGGGAGGAACAGCAGGAGGCCAGTGCAGCTGGGGTACAGCAAGCAAGCAGCTGAGAGGTCACAGATGAGGTCACACAGGGAAAATGGGGGCCTGGGGTTGGGGAGGGGGGACTTGAGCACCGCTCAGTGCCCAGGCTTGAAGCAGTTTACATAGATGACTCATTGGGCACTGCTGCTAGTTCCCATTTCACAAGAAGAGGAAACTGAGGCCCAGAGAGGAAAGCGGACTCAGGCGAGACCACAGAGCTCATCTACACCAGGCTGGGATCGCCCCCAGCCCCGGCACAGAAGTCTGCATCCAGCAGGAGCTCAACTCACTAAAAGAGTCACCGATTCCTTCTCTTGGGAGAAATGTCCTCCATTTTTCTCAGTCCGTCAACACCCGGCCCACTCTTTCTTCACAGTTAGGAGCAGACAGGTAAACATTTCAGGGAGAAGAGGGGGGAAAAAAAGAGAAAACAAAAAAAGCTAACTGTCTAACTCCGGAGAGGAAGAAACATGATGAACTTTCTCTGCAAGTCACTGCCAAATTTAATGAATATCGCTCACCTGAAAGACTCCCCGAACACGGCTCTGATCACAAAGTGGGCAGGTGGCTGTCAGGGGAGCCCCAGGTGGACTCCTCCTGTCCCTGGTCCTCCCAGGGCGAGGCCACCTGCCTTGGCTCTCCAGGCCGACCTCAGTGGTGCCCGCCCCCAGCCCGCTGTGGGTGCCTGGAATGCGGAAACGGGAACCTGCCGTGCCAGCTCCTAACAGCGACTTATTCAACAGCCGCAGGAACACGCCAGCCAGCCACCGGAGTTCCCCAGGAGATGGCTGGTCGTCGTGAACAGGCGCGTTCCCAAAGAAAGCTGTTTTGCCAACATTCCCTTTGGGGGAGGGAAAGAAAAGGCCTCCTTACTCATCAGACACGTGGTCTGAGGAGTCTGAATGGGCTTGAAAGAAAGCTCAAAGGTAACAAAGGCGGCTCGCCTATTACCTCGGATTCAGGCACAGGCCACCTGTTCACTGACAGAGCCAGGGCTGGACTTGTGCCCACACCGTCCCCTGCCCTGAGCTTGCGCCTGGATGCTTCATTCAGAACCGTACAATCTAAAGGCGGGCTCCTTGGCCCGTGCAGAGGAGGCACTAGCTCACAGAGGCAATGCAGCTTAATGATTAAACACGGTCGCTGGACTCTTCCAGCCAGCTTTGGAAGCACAACTGAACGGCTTTGGCTGGCTAATAATAACAACCACAACCGGAATGCTCACTGCACAAGGCGCTGTTCTAAGTGCTACATATGAATTCTCTCTCCTAACCCTCACAGCGACCCTCTAAGGAGGAACTATCAGCATTCTTATTTTACAGATGAGAAGTTCAACGAATAAGTCATAGGCTGGAGGTCACACAGGAAGAAAGTGCTGGGGTGGGGATCTAACCCAAGCAGAGGAGCTCCAAGGTTCCAGTTTTTACCCACTACTTTATTTATTTATTTTATTTTATTTTGAGACAGAGTCTTGCTCTGTCACCCAGGCTGGATGGAGTGCAGTGATGCGATCTCAGCTCACTGCAACCTCCGCCTTCTGGATTCAAGGGATTCTCCTGCCTCAGCCTCCCAAGTAGCTGGGATTACAGGCGTGCACCATCACACCCAGCTACTTTTTTTTTTATTTTTATTAAAGACGGAGTTTCAACATGTTAGCCACGCTGGTCTTGAACTCTCAACCTCAGGAGGTCCACCTGACTTGGTCTCCCAAAGTGCTGGGATTACAGGCATGAGCCACCGCGGCCGGCCTTAACCACTACTTTAGATCTCCTCTTGTAAGAAGAAGCAGGTGCTCCCACTGGGCCTCAGTTTCCTCATCTATGAAATGGGATGAAGAGTCAGTGAGAGCTTTATTATTATTTTTGTAGAGACAAGGGTCTCACTGTGTTGTCCAGGCTGGTCTTAAACTCCTAGCTTCAAGCGATCCTCCCTCCTCAGCCTCCCAAAGCGCTGGGATTACAGGCATGAGCCACTGTGCCTGGCCAAGTGAGATCTTTATGGTGAGCACTATGCTTGTGGCTCACAAAAATGCTCAACAATCAGCTGCACTTATCACATGCTGCCCTCAGAGTCAGTCAGGTCCACTTTATTCCTTCAAAATACCGAGTAATCAGCTCAGGTCAGAGTTTAAATTCCAGGCAGCTGAAGGAAAAGAAATTAAGAAAGGCTCTTACCATCCTTCTTTTCATCCACACACACAAATGTAAACAATGTCTATTCTGAGTCAGGCACTGGGACACAGTAGTAAACAAAAACCACATAAATCCTGCCCACAGGGAGCTTATAGTCCCCTGTGAATGAACTGGCACAGAATATTCAAAGATTAGCTGATACATATTGTATGAGTGCTGCTTTGGGTCGGGTGCTGTTGGGGGTTGGGGGGGAGGGGTGTCTAAGCATGTCACGTGCTTTGATGCATTCGAATCCTCCCAACAACCTAGGAGGACAGTACCATTACCAGCTCCACCTTACAGATACGGAAACTAAGACATGCAAGGCTAAGTGGCTTGCCCAAAGTAAAACAGGGAGCCCAAGATGGATCAAGAACTTGCACTCAGCAGTCTGGCTCAGAGCCCACACTGCATTCCTCAGCCCTTTGCAATCTCAAAGGGCAATGGCTTTACAGTGTGGCCACGAGCAGTAGCAACAGGTATCCTCAGGAAATTTCAGTCTGCAAAAGGGATGGTCACTCTTCATAGATTTTTTTTGGTAAGGGGGTGCAGGATTATAAAATATTTATTATAAGTCACATTTATGCTGGGCACGGTGGCTCACACCTGTAATCTCAGCACTTTGGGAGGCTGAAGTGGGAGGATCGCTTGAGCCCCAGGAGTTCGAGACCAGCCTGGGCAACAAAGTGAGACCTCGTCTCTATGAATGATTAAAAAATTAGCCAGGCATGGGCTGGGCACGGTGGCTCACGCCTGTAATCCCAGCACTTTGGGAGGCCAAGGTGGGAGGATCATGAGGTCAGGAGATCGAGACTAACACAGTGAAACCCCGTCTCTACTAAAAATACAAAATAGCCGGGTGTGGTGGCGGGCGCCCGTAGTCCCAGCTACTCGGGAGGCTGAGGCAGGAGAATCGCTTGAACCAGGGAGTCAGAGGTTGCAGTGAGCCGAGATCGCGCCACTGCACTCCAGCCTGGGAAACAGAGTGAGACTCCAACTAAAAAAAAAAAAAAAAAATTTGCCAGGCACGGTGGCATGCACCTGTGGTCCCAGCCACATGGGAGGTTGAGGCGGGAGGATTGCTTGAGCCCAGGAGATCAAGGCTGCAGTGAGCCATGATTACACCACTGCACTCTAGCCTGGGTGACAGAACAAGACTGTCTCTAAAAACAACAAACACATACATACATACATAGATACAGACATACATACATAAAAAGTCACATTTAATATGTTAATAGCAGAGGCCACGTTCTTAAGTACTTACCATGCGCTGGCCCCTGGGGGTAAGCACTTGACTGGCATCCTCTCCTTTCATCCAAGAACAGCCCTCAGAGGGGGAAACAGCCTTTGCAAGGAAGGGTAGGAGGAGGGGGGAGGGAGTCAGGAGCAGAGAGATGGGTGAGACCCAGGTGTTTCTGGGCAGAGTGAGTGAGTGCTCTCAAAGACCTCGCACTCTAACCTTCAGACTGCTGCCTCATCACCCAACTCAAGTTTCCCTGAATTGCCAGACAGAATACTTGGTATTCCAACAAGATTCAGAGTTCTTGTGGTACTGGGACTTTGTGCACAGTTTCAAAGGTGGGCATGATTAGAGAACAAAAAGCTAAGTCCTGATTCAGGTAATTACAAAACAAAGCTGGTAAGCACGATGACAAAAATGCATGGGCATTATGCTTTCCCTGTGTTCCACTTATTTCTGCAGCAAAACCAATTGTCTGCCTACCCAATATCCCTCCCCCTTTCCCAGTCCTTTCCTAAATGGTACTCTGATTTCATTCCTGTAGCCACTCTCCTCCCTGTGCTACCTACTTCAGGTAAGGCTGGCCCCGGCTCCAGCCCCAGCCCCAGCCCCAGCCCCAGAGGGTCAATCCTAATTGGCCCTTGGCTGGTTTCTCTGGGCAGGGTCACATATCACCATGCTGGCCAATGAGATATGAGGGAAATCTGGGAGGCAGGGAATCAATGAAAGGTTTCCTCACTCTTAAAGAGATACACAGCAAGTGAGAGATGCCCTCTTTCTGCTGCTGGATGTGGCACTGTCAGTGTGTGCCAACTGGAGCCTTGGCAGTCATCTTGTGGCCATGCAGGGAGCCTAGGGACACAGGAGACACACCATGGATGGCAGAGTGGCTTGAAGGAGAGGGATGGGGTCCCTGCAGGCATTGTGGAACTGCTTAGTCAACTCCTGTGCTGCTGTGCTGCCTACCTACAGGCTTCTTTGTTATATGAGATCATAAATCTCGTTATTTCAGGCCAATTTCATTTGGGCTTCCTATTACAGTAGCTCATGGTTCTCAAAACGTGCTTCCTGGACCAGGGGCACCAGTGTCACCACAAAATGCAAATTCTCAAGCTAGACTTACAGAATCAGGAACTTACAGAATCAGATGGGGCCCAGCAATCTGTGTTTTACCTAGCCCTCTGGGGATTCTGATCCTTGCTAGGGTTTTTTGTTTTTTTTGAGACGGAGTCTCACTCATTCTGTTGCGCAGGCTGGAGTGCAGTGGCATGATCTTGGCTCACTGCAACCTCTCAGAGCCTCCCAGGTTCAAGCAATTCTCCTGCCTCAGCCTCTCGAATAGCTGGGACCACAGGTATGTGCCACCACACCCGGCTAATTTTTGCATTTTTAGTAGAGATGGGGTTTTACCATGTTGCCCAGGCTGGCCTCGAACTCCTGGCCTCAAATGATCCACCTGCCTCGGCCTCCCAGAGTGCTGGGATTACAGATGTGAGCCACCACACCTGGTCTTGCTCGGGTTTGAAAACCACTGCAGTAGCACACAGAGCTTTAGAGTTAAGATACAGCTCTGGAGTCAGACTGCCTGAATCCAAATCACGTCACCATGCTGATACACTGTTGGTGGGAATGTAAATTAGCTCAGCCACTGGGGAAAGCAGTTTGAAGATTCCTCAAAGAACTAAAAATAGAATTACCGTTCGACCCAGCAATCCCATTTCTGGGTATCTACCCAAAGGAAAAGGAACCATTCTACCAAACGACACCTGCACTCCTACGTTCATCGCAGCACTCTTCACGATAGCATGTGAATCAACCCACAAAGCCAGGGAATCAACCCGGATGCCCATCAACAGCGGACTGGACAAAGATAATGTGGTACATATATACCATGGAATACTACACAGCCATTAAACAAGAATGAAATCATGTCTATTGCAGCAACATGGATGTAGCTGGAGGCCATTATCCTAAGTGAATGAATGCACAAACAGAAAACCAAATATCCAATGTTCTTACTTCTAAGTGGGATGCTAAACATTGCGTACACGTACACACACACACACACACACCCCATGTTCTTACAAGTGAGAGCTAAACATTGCATACACACACACACACACACACACACACACACACACACACCCCATGTTCTTATTCTAAGTGGGAGCTAAACATTGCATATACACACACACCCCATGTTCTTACTTCTAAGTGGGAGCTAAACATTGGGTACGTACACACACACACACACACACACACACACACACACACACACGAACAACAGACACTGAGAATTCCAAAAACCAAGAAGGAATGGGGCAAGGGTTGAAAATCTACCTACTGGGGGCTAGGCGCAGTGGCTCACGCCTGTAATCCCAGCACTTTGGGAGACCAAGGTGGGTGGATCACCTGAGGTCAGGAGTTCAAGACCAGCCTGTCCAACAAGGCAAAATCCAATCTCTACTAAAAAATACAAAAAAGTTTAGCCGGGCATGGTTGGTGGAGGCACCTGTAATCCCAGCTACTCGGGAGGCTGAGGTAGGGAGAATTGCTTAAACCCGGGAGGCGGAGGTTGCACTGAGCTGAAATTGCGCCACTACACTCCACCCTGGGTGACAGAGCGAGACTCCATCTCAAAAAAAAAAAAAAAAGGAAAAGAAAATCTACCTATTGGGTACTCTGTTCACTATTTGAGTGACAGGATCTGTACCCCAAACCTCAGCATCACACAATATACTCATGTAACAAACCTTCACATGTACCCTCTGAATCTAAAAAAAAAAAAATCATGCCACCACCTTTTTTTAGCTGCCTGACCTTGAACAAGTTATTCAAATTTAGTTACCTCATCTGCAAAGGGAGAATAATATCTTCCAGGGTTGTCGGGAGGCTTAAAGGAGTGGCTTCATGTGAAGGGCCCGGCACAGTGTCTTGCATGCAGCAGACGCTACATACATTGCCTACTTGCTGCTGCAGTTGTTGCTGCTGATGCTGTTACTACTGTTTGCAGCCAAAGGCTTACCAACTGACACAACTTCCCGACTGAGCTCTTCCAAAGTTGGCGCCATATCTCCTTTAAGGTTATTTCACCCCCACCCGCTCCCACAGGACCGAGGCCAGTGCCCTGGTTCCACAACGACTTGCAAGTCTCCCATCGCTACAGGGAGGTGCACGGCTCCTCAGGCCCCCTCCCCAAGCCTGAGCCACCTGGTCCCCGCAGAGATTCCCACAGACACCTCAAGCTGGGTGCTCTGCCAGCTACTCTGATGGGTGACTGATGCAGAATGCCCACGGGTTCCAGAGAGCACCCCCACCATGTGAGTCACACCAAACACCCAGCAAGAGTCCGCGGGTGCCCCTCCCTCTGGGAGCTGTGATTTCAAAACTGGTGGCACCAAGACGCAGAAAGCCAAAGTGACGAACATCAGAAGCCAGGTGAGGTCCCCGTGGAAAAGGGGCAGCCTCTTGCTGGGCTTAATAGCAAGCCCTGGTTTGAGGCCACAAGTAGGGCAGGGGTTTTCACGCCCTGGTGTTACAGGCACTGTTGGGCCTGTCACTGAAAGAGGATGGTGAGATGCAGGAGGAATCGGGGGAGGACTACCAACCCTCACAGCAAGAAAGGATTGGCCAAATTCCTCATGTTCCTGAAAGGAAGCTGTTAGGCTGAACCTCATAAAATTGCCAATATTCAACCATTCTTGACCCACGAAAGCACAATGTCAGGCAGTCCAACCTAATACAAGACAGGAAACTCACTCAGATAATGTAGTGTCAAGGAACTGGTCACCATCAGGAAACTGGAATTGTGGTGGTCTCTTGGGAAGGGAACTGGGTGCCCTATTTTTGTTGCTTTGGTTCCTTGTACATGTGGTCACTAGTCAAACTTTTCAAAAGTGTAATAAATCGGCCGGGCGCAATGGCTCACGCCTGTAATCCCAGCACTTTGGGAGGCCAAGGAGGGTGGATCACGAGGTCAAGAGTTTGAGACCATCCTGGCCATCATGGTGAAACCCCATCTCTACTAAAAATACAAAAATTAGCTGGGCATGGTGGTGCGTGCCTGTAGTCCCAGCTACTCAGGAGGCTGAGGCAGGAGAATCGCTTGAACCTGGGAGGCGGAGCTTGCAGCGAGCCAAGATTGGGCCATTGCACTCCAGCCTGGCAACAGAGTGAGACTCCGTCTCAAAAAAAAAAAAAAAAAAAAAAGTAATAAATCAATCAACCCTGAAAAATCTTAACCTTCTCAATCAGAGAAAAGACAAACCTGTGCAGGACCCTAAGAGATCTGCAAATATCTCCTCTCTACCCTCATCCCTCCCACTCTCCTGGGCTCATTCCGCTCCAGCCATGTGGGCCTCAATCTTACCAGGCCCCTCACCTCAGGGCCTTTGCACTGGCTGTTCCCACTCCCTCACCTCCTTCAGGTCTGGCCACTTTCCCAAGGAGGCCATCCCTGGCCACCCTTCCCAAAATTTCAACACCCTCCACCTTAACGCAGTCATGTGTTGCATAACACTGTTTCAGTCAACAATGGACCACATTTACAAGGGTGGTCCCACAAGACGACCATGGAGCTGAAAAATTCCTATTGCCTAGTGACATGAGCCACGGGGAGGTCGGAGAGCCATGCATTATTCACCTGTTTGTCGTGGTGTTGGTGTAAATAAACCTACTGTGCTTCCAGTCACGTAAAAGACAATGTAACACATACAATCATGTACAGTACATAATCTTTTTTTTTTTTTTTTGAGACAGAGTCTCCCTCTATTCCCCAGGCTGGAGTGCAGTGGTGTGATCTCGGCTCACTGCAACCTCTGCCTCCTGGATTCAAGCAATTCTCCTACCTCAGCCTCCTGAGTAGCTCAGATTACAGGTGCACGCCACGTCGCCCAGCTAATTTTTGTATTTTTAGTAGAGAGAGGGTTTCACTATGTGGGCCAGGCTGGTCTAGAACTCCTGATCTCAGGTGATCCGCCCACTTCAGGCTCCGAAAGTGCTGGGATTACAGGCGTGAGCCACCACACCCAGCCCATGTACAGTACATAACACTTGATAAGGATAATAAATGACTATGTTACTGGTTTACATATTTAGTATATATACTTTTTTTTTTTTTTTTGAGATAGAGTCTAGCCCTGTCACCCAGGCTGGAGTGCAGTGGCGCAATCTCAGCTCACTGCAACCTCTGCCTCCCGGATTCAAGCTATTCTCCTGCCTCAGCCTCCCGAGCGGCTGGGATTACAGACGCCTGCCACTATGCCCAGCTAACTTTTGTATTTTTAGTAGAGATGGGGTTTCGCCATGTTGGCCAGTCTGTATATATACTTTTTATTGTTATTTTAGAGTGTGCTCCTTCTACTTATATACAAAAAAAAAAAAAAAGCTGTAAAACAGCCTCAGGCAGGTCCTTCAGGAGATATTCCAGAAGAAGGCACTGTTATCATAGGAAGTGACAGCTCCACGTGTGTTACTGCCCCCGAAGACCTTCCAGTGGGACAAGATGTGGAGGAGGAAGAGTGATACTAATGATCCTGTGGAGGCCTAGGCTCATGTGTTTGTGTCTTAGTTTTTACTAAAAGCAGCTCAGAAAGCAAAAAAATAAAAACGGAACATTTTAAATTTAAAAATAGAAAAAAAGCTTACAGAATAAAGATATAAAGAAAATATTTTTGTACAACTGAATAAGGTGTGTTTTAAGCTAAGTGGTATTACCAAAGAGTCAAGGCCAGGTGCAGCGGCTCATGCCTATAATCCCAGCACTTGGGAGGCCGAGGGAGGCAGATCACCAGAGGGTAGGAGTTCGAGACCAGCCTGGCCAACATGGTGAAACCCTGTCTCTACTAAAAATACAAAAACAACAACAACAAACAAACTAGATTACAGTTGGAAGGTGTCTGTAATCCCAGCTACTGGGGAGACTGAGGCAGAAGAATCGCTTGAACCCGAGAGGCAGAGGTTGCAGTGAGCTAAGATCGTGCCACTGCACTCCAGCCTGGGTAACAGAACGAGACTCTGTCTCAAAAAAAAGAAAAAAAAAAAACCCAAACAGTTAAGAAATTTAGAAGTTTACAAAGTAAACAAGTTGCAGTAAGCTACGGTTAATGTATTATTGAGGAAACATTTTTTAAAATAAATTTAGTGTAGCCTAAATGTACCGTGTCTGTTAAGTCTACAGTGGTGTACAGTACTGTCCTAGCTTTCCCATCCACTCACCACTCACTCACTGACTCACCTGGAGCAACTTCCAGTCCTGCAAGCTCCATCCACGGTAAGTGCCCTGTACAGGTGCACCTTTTAAAAAATCTTTTATATCATATTTTTACTGTACCTTTTCTATGTTTAGATACACAAATACTTGCCATTGTGTTACAACTGCCCACAGAATTCAGGGCAGTCACATGTGTGTAGGTTTGTGGCCTAGAAGCAATAGCCTACTCCATAGCGCCTAGGTGTGGAGGAGGCTGTGCCATCTAGCTTCGCAGCAAGTACACTCCATGAGGTTCACACAACAAAAGAGCCTAACAACACATTTCTCAGAACACAGCCCCACTGTGAAGCCATGCGTGACTGCTTCCTAGGCCCTTTGCCTGTTTAATTTCTGCTCCCTCGCACTTATCACCAACTGACACGGTGCGTGTTGTACTTCTTTTTTTTTTTTTTGAGATGGAGTCTCGCTCTGTCGCCCAGGCTGGAGTGCAGTGGCGCGATCTCGGCTCACTGTAAGCTCCACCTCCCGGGTTCACGCCATTCTCCTGTCTCAGCCTCCCGAGTAGGTGGGACTACAGGCGCCCGCCACCACGCCCAGCTAATTTTTTTTTTTTTTTGTATTTTTAGTAGAGACAGGGTTTCACCGTATTAGCCAGGATGGTCTCGATCTCCTGACCTCATGATCCTCCTGCCTTGGCCTCCCAAAGTGCTGGGATTACAGGCATGAGCCACCGTGCCCAGCCGTGTTTTACTTCTTTATCTTGTTTGTTGATTGACTCTTCCACTTGAAGGTGAGCCCCAGAAGGGTGAGAACCCTTGTCTGTTTTCCTCATGGCTGCACCCTGGTATCTAGAACAGTGCTCCCCTCACTGAGGACTTGATAAGTTTAAAAATCAAGGCCGGGCTCAGTGGCTCACGCCTGTAATCCCAGCACTCTGGGAGGCCGAGGCAGGCTGATCAAGAGGTCAGGAGATCGAGACCATCCTGGCTAACACAGTGAAACCCCGTCTCTACTACAAACACAAAAAATTAGCCGGGTGCGGTGGCGGGTACCTGTAGTCCCAGCTACTCGGGAGGCTGAGGCAGGAGAATCGCTGGAACCCGGGAGATGGAGATTGCAGTTAGCCAAGATCGCACCACTGCACTCTAGCCTGGGCGACAGAGCAAGACTCTGTCTCAAAATAAAATAAAATAAAAATCAAGGCAGGGCTCAGTGACTCACACCTGTAATCCTAGCACTTTGGAAGGCTGAGGTGGGTGGATCACCTGAGATCAGGAGTTCAAGACCAGCCTTGTTAACATGGCGAAACCCCGTCTGTACTAAAAAAACACAAAAATTAGCTGGGTGTGGTGGCAGGCAATTATAATCACAGCTAGTAGGGAGGCTGAGGCAGGAGAATTGCTTGAACCCGGTGGGGCCGAGGTTGCAGTGAGCTGAGATTGTACCAGTTCACTCCGGCCTGGGTGAAACAGCGAAACTCAATCTCAAAAAATAAAAAAAATCAGACACGCCATCAGCATTTGGGGTTTGCTGCCCTCAGATCCAACGTGCAGTCCACACTGGGAAATACACACAAATCAAGCCACCTATACTGAAGACAGAGCTCATGACATTCCCTCCACACTAGACTCACCTGAAAGCCTCTCTACTAAAAGAACTGCAAAAGGTGCCTTGGAAAGAAAAACAGGCCAGGCATGGTGGCTCACGCCTTTGATCCCAGCACTTTGGGAGGCTGAGGCAAGAGGATTACTTGAGGCCAGGAGTTCGAGACCAGCCACGACAACATAGCAAGAACCTGTTTCCACAAAAATAAAAAAAAAATTATCCAGGCGTGGTGGCGTATGCCTGTGGTCCCAGCTACTTGGGAGGCTGAGGTGGGAGGATCACTTGAGCCCAGGAGTTCGAGGTTGCGGTGAGTTGTGATCGTGCCACTGCACTCCAGGCTGGGTGAAAGAGCAAGACCTTGTCTCAAAAAAAAAAAAAAAGAAAGAAAAAGAAAGGACAGAGATGAAGATGGTGCTGGGGGTGGAAGTTTATGGAAGCTTGAGGGGGTGCAGGACTTCCCTGTCTTCCTCCCTGCAAACCAACAGCACAGCATAGAAAAACGGGGCACCAGAGGAAAGAGCTCACCATCAGATGCAACAAACGGCGCCAGCACTGGCAGGATCTGACCAACCAGCACTCCTGTTCCCATCAACCATCTCTACCCACCAGGCAGCACACCATCAGGAGAAGCCCCCAAACGTTTCCCTCTTTTCCTGCCACTTCCGCATAAGAATTTTACCACATACTCATGTGCTGTTGTTCCAGACCCCCAAAGCACAAATGCAGTGATGGGAGCGGGGAGCGCACGCCGGCCGGCCGTAAAGGCGTTGTAGCTGCTAGCTTGATTAGAAATACCATCAGGTCCCAGGCACTGTCACAAGCTGCATCTTGCCCTTTTTCTTCTTTTGTCCAGAGTCAGAACTGGAAAGGGGCACGTTTCCTGCCTCCTGCCGCGGTGCTGTGGGCACACCAAAGACTGGATTCCGGTTCGTGTGGGGCCTCAACAAAGACCCACCAGAGGAAGGCCGGGTGTCAGAAGATCTGTGTACGTCTGTCCTGAGGGGAGGGTCTGAGGCTTTTTGTTGAAACAAGTCCTTGGAAAAAATGTGGGAGGGGCCCCACAGGCAGGTGCTAGAGGGAAACAGATCTCAGGGAAAAGGGACCTCAGTAAACTGACTCGAAGGCCAGTGCCACGGTGTTCGCTGCTCAGAGAAGCCAGGGCTGCTGGGGCCTGGCCGGGTGTTCCCACTGCTGCCAGACACGGCTTTATCAAAGGGGCTTCCAAAGCCTTGGGCCAAGTATTGGCTCATATAATAGAGACAAAAAAAAGAAAAAAGCAAACATTTGTATTATATAAGTGGACTGAGCAGAGGCAGGGAATTCCCCTGTATGTACACTTGAGCTTGAAATACACAAATGCTGGGTGAAATTTGTTGTACTTGTTTTTAACTTCTCATGATGATACATTTCAAAACATCAAGGCAAAAAAAGAGTATAATAAGCCCTCATTGTCTGGCTTCAATAGTTCCACTCACAGACAATCTTATTTCATCTCTTATTCACCCATGCACACTTGAGCCCCTGCACTCTCTGCCTGTCTATATTATTTTGAAGGAAATCCGAGATATCTTAACAGTTTAATCATAGATATTTCAGCATGAGCATCTTATAGATAAGGACTTTTTAGGTTGGGCATGGTGGGCTCATGCCTGTAATCTCAACACTTTGGGAGGAAAAAGGGAAGATCGCTTGAGTCCAAGAGTTCAAGACCGGCCTGGGCAACATAGAGAGATCCCATCTCTACAAAAAAATTAAAAATTAGCTGGGCATGGTTGTGCATACCTGTAGTCCCAACTATTCAGAAGGCTGAGATGGGGGATCGCTTGAGCCCAGGAGGTAGAGGCTGCAGGGAGCTATGATCATGCCACTGTACTCCAGCCTGGGTGATAGAGTGAGACCCTATCTCAAAAAAAAAAAAAAAAAAATTACAAACCAAGAAGCACTGGCCAGAGGGGTATTAAAGCCTCAGGGCCCAGCCAGGCACAGTCGCTCATGCCTGTAATCCCAGCACTTTGGGAGGCCAAGGTGGGCAGATCACCTAAGGTCGGGAGTTCGAGACCAGCCTGACCAACATGGAGAATCCCCATCTCTACTAAAAATACAAAATTAGCCAGGCATGGTGGCGCATGCCTATAATCCCAGCTACTTGGGAGGCTGAGGCAGGAGAATTGCTTGAACCCGGGAGGCAGAGGTTGCGGTGAGCTGAGATCGCGCCACTGCACTCCAGCCTGGGCAACAAGAGTGAAACTCTGTCTCAAAAAAAAAAAAAAAAAAAAAAGCCTCAGGGCCCAAAGGGGCCTGGGATCTGTTGTGGGGCTCCCCCAAAACAGGGGGAGACCACGTGTGGAGTGAGGAGGCCGGAACAAGTGAGAATGGTCCTGCTTGTCTGCCCCATCTGTTCGTCTGTCTGTTCATCGAAAGACCACACAGTGAGTGTTTAAGAGCCTAGACTCTGGAGCCAGTGACTTGCATAGGAATCCTGAATTTGAGACTCACCAGCTCTGTGACTTGAACTTCTCTGTAACTCAGTTTCCTCTTACGAGACATGGTAATAACAACAGTACCTACCCCAAGGAGTGGTTCTAAGGATTCAATAAGATATTAGCTGAGAAGCAGTCAGAACAGTGCCTCCTACATAGTAAGAGCTCAGTGAATGCTGGCTCGTATCATTAATTCAACAGATACTTACTGAGCATCTCTCACATGCCAGGCACTGTCCAGCAGTTGGAGATAAGTGTGGTGAGCACCATCTGGGGACAGGAACAAGCTGAGAATCTCCAGCACCTGCCCTGTTTAGGTAGAAGGCCAGGATTCAACCTGCACCTGACACCTCCAAAAAGTCTAGAACCACGACTCTCATAGAGTTGACAGAGGAAACCACTGTGATGTCCCTTCCCCACACCCCATCCACTGGCAATGTCTTTGGAGCACAGCAAGGGTAAGACACATTCACAAGCTAAGCTCTGCTGTTGCTTCCACCAGAGCCCACAGCACCCACCAGAATACACAGCAATGAGGGCCAGAGTCAGCGACACAACAGGTTTCATGTCCAAAGCAGCAGTTTGTTTATTTATTTATTTATTTATTTATTTATTTATTTATTTATTTATTTTGAGACCGAGTCTCGCTCTGCCGCCCAGGCTGGAGTGCAGTGGTGTGATCTTGGCTCACTGCAACCTCTGCCTCCTGGGTTCGTTTGATTCTCCTGCCTCAGCCTCCCAAGTAGCTGGGATTACAGGTGCCCACCACCATGCCTGGCTAATTTTTTCTATTTTTAGTAGAGATGGGATTTCACCATGTTGACCAGTCTGGTCTTGAACTCCTGACCTCAGGTGATCCGCCCTCCTCATCCTCCCAAAGTGCTGGGATTACAGGCATAAGCCACCAGGCCTGGCCCCAAAGCAGCAATTTAGAAATGAGCTTTCAGGCTGGGCATGCTGGCTCATGCCTATAATCCCAGCACTTTGGGAGGCCGAGGCAGGCGGATCACAAGGTCAAGAGATTGAGACCATCCTGGCCAACATGGTGAAACCCCATCTCTACTAAAAATACAAAAATTAGCTAGGTGTGGTGGCGCGCACCTGTAGTCCCAGCTAATCGGGAGGCTGAGGCAGGAGAGTCACTTGAACACAGGAGGTGGAGGTTGTAGTGAGCCAAGATCGCGCCACTGCACTCCAGCCTGGTGACAGAGCAAGACCCTGTCTCAAAAACAAACAAACAATCAAACAAACAAAAAACAAAGAAATGAGCTTTCAAACACGCCAAGACCTTTCCTTGCCTTCCTTAGTCCCCCTGCTCACCCTCCTCCCAACTCCCCAAAGACCCCTCTCTTTCCTGGGAGGTAAGGTTCCAGGTTCCAGCAAACCTAGAGGTCAATTTAAGGAGTGGACCTCTCAATCATTCAGGTCTCAAACCAGCACACCGACACCAATGTAAACCCAGAGATTAATGCTGACAAACTGGGACTTCTTTTTTTTTTGAGACAGGGTCTTTCTCCGTCACCCAGGCTGGAGTGCAGTGGCACAATCACGGCTCACTGCAGCCTTGACCTCCTGGCCTAAAGCAATCCTCCCACCTCAGCCACCCATGTAGCTGGGACCACAGGCACAAGCCACCATACCCAGCTAATTTTTTAAATTTTTGTAGAGGTGGAGTCTTGCTTTGTTGTCCAGGCTGGTCTCAAACTCCTGGGCTTAAGCAATCCTCCTGCCTGGGCCTCCCAAAATGTTAGGATTACAGGTATGATCTTCTACGACCGGCCTCAGAATCGATTTTGTGCAACAAGTCCCTCCTATGGTTTTCATTGCTCAAAACTCAGACCCTATCCCCCTTAAACACCCTCCAATACAGCATATAAAACAGGTTTAAAAGTATACACTCTGCACCTGAGCTCAAATGCTGCCTCTGCCACTTCCCAACTTTGAGCAAGTGACCTCTCATTGCCTTATCTCAGCTTCCTCATCTGTGAAATGGGAATAACTGTAGTCCCTGGCACCTCCGAACACAGGCAACACCCACCAACACTAAGCACAGTGCCAGGCACATACAGCAAGTTTGATGGACAGTAGCTCTTTGGTTAGCTATAACTGCTTGTGATAAACCTGCTTTTCATCATACATCTGCCCTTCTCCGCCAAGATAAAACAGGAGTGGCATGTCAGATCTATCACTGAACTACCACCTTTGATTTACACGTGAATCTCATACCCTCGGCCAGTGCTGTCCGATGTGGTAGCCATTAGCCACATGTAGCCACCGAGCACTTGAAACATGGCTGGTACCAACTGAGATACGCTGAAAGTGTAAAATACATATTGTATGTCAAACGCTTAATGTGGAAAAAAGGAAGTAAAATAGCTCACTAATAATTTCTATATTGATTACATGTTGAAATGATGTTTTAGATGAAATAAAATATATCATTAAAATTACTTTCCTGCTTCCTTTTACTTTTCAAAATATGGCTACTAGAAAATTTTTAATTACCTATATGAGCCTCATCAGTGACCCACATTTTTTTTTTTTTGAGAAGGAGTCTCACTCTGTTGCCCAGGCTGGAGTGCAGTGGTGCAATCTTGGCTCACTGCAACTGTCACCTCCAGGGTTCAAGTGATTCTCTGCCTCCGTCTCCCGAGTAGTTGGGATTACAGGCACATGCCACCAGACTCAGCTAATTTTTGTATTTTAAGTAGAGATGGGATTTCACCATGTTGGCTAGGCTGGTCTCGAACTCCTGAACTCAAGTGATCCACCCGCGTCAGCCTCCCAA
This sequence comes from Homo sapiens, assembly GCF_000001405.40. Classification (NCBI taxonomy): domain Eukaryota; kingdom Metazoa; phylum Chordata; class Mammalia; order Primates; family Hominidae; genus Homo; species Homo sapiens. The sequence continues at coordinate 37,916,715 of NC_000019.10, read as the reverse complement.
AGTGCTGGGATTACAGGCATGAGTCACCGCGCTCGGCCCCACGTTATATTTCTAACAGACAGCACTGTTGTGGGCTTTTGAGAACCAGTGTCTTATTCAACTTTATACTGTCAGTGTCAAGCATGGACCCTGACACACAGGGTAGGTGAAGAAATGTTTCACAGATGGACAGATGAAAGATGCTCTCCATACTTTCAGTCTTTTTTTTTTTTTTTTTTTTTTAGACACAGAGTGGTGTGATCATAGCTCACTGTATCCTTGATCTCCTGGGCTCAAGGTGTGGTAGTGCCTGGGCTCAAGTGATCCTCTCACCTCAGCCTCCTGAGTAGCTGGGATTATAGGTGCACATCACCAAGCCTGGCTAATTTAAAAATTTTTTGCAGAGATGAGGTCAGATGCGGTGGCTCACGTCTGTAATCCCAGCACTTTGGGAGGCTGAGGCGGGAAGACCACCTGAGGTCAGGAGTTTGAGACCAGCCTGGCCAACATGGTAAAACCCCATCTCTACTAAAAATATAAAAATTAGCCGGGTGTGGTGGTGGGCGCCTGTAATCCCAGCTACTGTGGAGGCTAAGGCAGGACAGTCATTTGAACCCAGGAGGCAGAGGTTGCAGTGAGCTGTGATCATACCACTATACTCCAGCCTGGGCAACAGAGTGAGAACTGTCTCAAAAACAAAAACTTTTTTTTTTTTTGCAGAGTTGGGGTCTATGTTGCCCAGACTGGTCTTGAACTTCTGGTCTGAAGTAATCCTCCCACCTCGGCCTCCCAAAGTGCTGGGATTACAAGCCTGAGCCACCATGCCCACCCAATATTTTTAGTCTTAAAAGCACCCACTACTGTCCTCACATCTAACCAGGGCTACCCTTCATTCAAAATACGCCCACGCTACAGCAAATCAAAGTGCACACAGGTCATGATGCCGGAGCAGGGACCTGGGGCCCTTACAGGTCCAAGAATCATTGTCTTAGTTGATGGGCTATAGTATGATACTTTAACAGCCCACATGGCTAGTGTGCTTAAAACACCATTTCCAGCTGGGTGCATGGCTCACATCTGTAATCTCAACACTTTGGGAGGCTGAGGCCGTCGGATCACTTGAGGTGAGGAGTTGGAGACCAGCCTGGCCAAGATGGTGAAACCCCATCTCTACTAAAAATACAAAAATTAGCTGGGAGTGGCGGTGGGCGCCTGTAACTCCAGGTACTCAGGAGGCTGAGGCAGGAGAATCGCTTGAACCCAGGAAGCGGAGGTTGCAGTGAGCCCAGATCACACCACTGCACTCCAGCGTGGGCAACAGAGCGAGCCTCTGACTCAAAAAAAACAAAAACAAACAAACAAAAAAAAACACCTTTTCCAGCCAAGTCCCAAGTCCCCTTGCAAAGCTCACCCAAAGGAGACACCCTGCTCCCTCTCCTTGGACACTACACTTTGTTTCATGCTAACCTGTGCCTGGTATGGCAACCAAGCAGTCAACCTTGTTTTACTTGACAGGCTCTGCTGGAGGGTCTTTAGTTTTGAAACCACCACCAAACCATCCCTATCGTGTCTCATTGAGAGCAAAAATGATGCCACAACATCCCAGGCGGCCCCTGCTGCCACATCAATTAGGTACTAAATATAGTCTAAAGTGCTTTGCATGTCAAACAACAAGGAAAGGAAATGCTGTGTCCACTTCCTCAATTTGCCTCTGCCTGGTAAGGAGGGCCCTGGAAGAGTTTAGAATGCAGGTGAAGAGCATGGAGGGTGGAATCAGTTTCCTCATCTGTAAAATGAGTTTGATCAAGTTAATTACTTCACTGGACTACTGTCAGGATTAACTGAGGAATGTGTGAAATGCTTAGAAAAGCATCTAGCACAGAGTAAGCACCAGGTAAGCTGCTATCATTATTATTATTTTATAAAAAAGTAGGCCAGGTATGGTGGCTCGTGCCTGTAATCTTAGCACTTTGGAAGACTGAGGGTGGAGGATCACCTGAGCCCAGAAGTTCAAGATCAGCCTGGGCAAAACAGGTCTCTACAAAAAATAGAAAAAATGTGGCCGGCTGCAGTGGCTCACACCTGTAATCCCAGCACTTTGGGAGGCTGAAGCAGGCAGATCACCTGAGGTCAGGCGTTTGAGACCACCCTGGCCAACATGGTGTAACCTGTCTCCTCTATTAAAAGTACCAAAAAAAAATTAGCCAGGTGTGGTGGCACATTCCTGTAATCCCAGCTCCTTGGGAGGCTGAGGCAGGAGGATCACTTGAGCCCAGGAAGCAGAGGTTGCAATGAGCTGAGATCATGCCACTGCACTCCAGCCTGGGCGACAGAGCAGACCCTGCCACAAAAAAAAAAAAAATTAAAGTAGTATCAACTTGAAAACTAGGAATTAACTCTTCTCCAGTCAAACTGATACTCTTTGTAGCAAACTCACTCCCACCTCCGGGCCTTAACACTTGCTGTTCCCTCTACCTGGAATGTTCTTTCTTCAACTTTCGGCATAGCCAGTGCCACTGCTCATTAAGGTATCAGTTCACATGACTCCTCAAAGAGGCCTGGGAGGCCTTCCCTGACCATCAAAGCTAAGGTAACCACCGCCATCTTGCCCCATCAGCCATTTGCTCTCCACTTACCCTGTTAAATTTTCTCCATCACAGTTAAAACTATCTGAAGAGGCAGGATCAGGATTTTTTTTTTTTTTTTTTTTTTGAGACGGCCTCTCACTCTGCCGCCCAGGCTGGAGTGCAGTGGTGCAATCTAGGCTCACTGTAAACTCCGCCTCCTCCTGCCTCCTAGGTTCACGTGATTCTCCTGCCTCAGCCTCCCGAGTAACTGGGACTACAGGCGCCTGTCACCACACCTGGCTAATTTTTGTATTTTTAGTAGAGACGGGGTTTCACCTTGTTAGCCAGGATGGTCTCGATCTCCTGACCTCGTGATCTGCCCGCCTCAGCCTCCCAAAGTGCTGTGATCACAGGCGTGAGCCGCTGTGCCCAGCCAGGATTTTTTTTAATTAAAAAAAAAAAAAAGAAAGAAAAGGCTGGGCACAGTGGCTCACGCCTGTAATCCCAGCACTGTACAAGGCCAAGGTAGGCAGATCACCTGAGGTCAGGAGTTCAAGACCAGCCTGGCTAACATGGCAAAACCCCTCCTCTACTAAAAATACAAAAATCAGCAGGGCATAGTGGCGCATGCCTGTAATCCCAGTTACTCAGGAGCCTGAGGCAGGAGATGGGCTTGAACTTGGGAGGCAGTGGTTGCAGTGAGCTGAGATTGTGCCAGCCTGGGTGACAGCGAGACTCCATCTCAAAAACACAAAGTGAAATGATCCTGTTTATTGTGTGTCTTCCCGGGCTAGAATGGCTAGAATGTAAACCCTAGGACAGCAAGGATCTTGTCTGTCTTGTTGACTGCTGAATCCTCAGTGCCTAGGATAGGACCCTGGCTCACAGCAGGGTCTCAACACATCTGTCAACTCAATAAAATAAGAATAGTAGCTAACTGCACAGGGCTAATGACAGCCTAATGTGCTGAAAGTCTTGCAGACATTTCATTCAGTCTCCAGCGACCCCCGAGGTAAAGACTACTATCATACCCATTTTGCCAATGAAGAAAAAAGCTCAGTGCACATCTTACAAGTTAGTGGCTATACTGTGATTTGAACTTGGTCTGCCCGCCACCTAAGCCACCTTCCAACCATGGCACACTTCTCGCAAATATGAGGAGTGATATTTCCCACTGATGCTCCACCACCAGCCCCTCACCCCCACCACCCACTGTGGTCAGGGCACTTTACTGGCTCCTGTCTTCCTGGGCAAATCTCCTCCCTTCTTTCAGCGGCAGCTGGATCCCTCACCTTAGGCCCCCAACATCTCCAAGCGGGATCCCTGCAATATAACTTTTTCTTATTTCTACCTGGTGTTTCAAGTGATTGAGTTGGCTCTTCCTGTGAATTTCTCTGGGTTTGAAAGAACACATGTAGGCTGAGGCGGGAGGATCATTTGAGGCCAGGACTTCGAGACCAGTCTAGGCAACATAGTGTGAGACCCTATCTCTACAAAAATTTAAAAATTAGCTGGGTGTGGTGGTGCACACCTGTAGCCCCAGCTACTAGGGAGTCTGAGGTGGGAGGATCACTTGAGCCCAGGAGTTCAAGGTTACAGTGAGCTATGATGACGCCACTGCACTCCAGCGTGGGCAACAGAGTGACCCTGTCTCTAAAAAAAAGATCACAGCTGGCCCTGCCCTGAAGGCTTGACATAGATAATCTTATGAAACCTCTCAACAACCACCCTATAAGGAAGACACTGGTATCATCCCCATTTTCAGATCAGGACACTAAGGCTCAGAAGGACACATGATTTGCCCAAGGTATCACAACTAATATAGGATAGAGTCACAGTGTGAACCCAGACCATGTGGCCCCAGAGTTTGTGCTTCAGCCACTGGGCCATGCTGCCTATGTGAAAGGATACTTTTTATACTTTTTTTTTTTTGAGACAGAGTGTCACTCTTGTCACTCAGGCTAGAGTGCAGTGGTACAATCTCGGCTCACTGCACCCTCCACCTCCCTGGTTCAAGCAATTCTCCTGCCTCAGCCTCCCAAGTAGCTGGGATTACAGGCTCTCATCATCACACCCTGCTAATTTTTTCTTTTTTTTATAGATGGAGTCTCGCTCTGTCGCCCAGGCTGGAGTGCAGTGGCACAATCTTGGCTCACTGCAAGCTCTGCCTCCCAGGTTCACGCCATTCTCCTGCCTCAGCCTCCTGAGCAGCTGGGACTACAGGCACCGGCCACCACGCCTGGCTAATTTTTTTGTATTTTTTAGTAGAGACGGGGTTTCACTGTGTTAGCCAGGATGGTCTCGATCTCCTGAGCCACCACCAAGGATACTTATTAGATGTGTGTTTGCTGAGGTAAAGAAATCTCAGAGGGGCCAGGCGCGGTGGCTCACGCTTGTAATCCCAGCACTTTGGGAGGCTGAGGTGGGCGGATCACGAGGTCAGGAGATCGAGACCACGGTGAAACCCCATCTCTACTAAAAATACAAAAAATTAGCCGGGCGTGGTGGCGGGCGCCTGTAGTCCCAGCTACTCGGAGAGGCTGAGGCAGAGGAGAACGGCGTGAACCCAGGAGGCGGAGCTTGCAGTGAGCTGAGATTGCGCCACTGCACTCCAGCCTGGGCGATAGAGCAAGACTCCGTCTCAAAAAAAAAAAAAAGACATCTCAGAGGAACAACCTAAAGGACCAGCAGTGGGGGAATGCTGGAATAAAGCGTGGTCTCTCTGCACTGAAGAATGTGGGTACAGCTGTTGAAAAGGATAAGCCAGATCTATATGTAATGACTTGGAAGGACATGCCCAGCCATTAATTGAAAAAACTGGGTTACAAATAGGTGTAGCTTGATCCCTACCCCCTCCTTTTTTGGGGAATGGTATGGGAGGAGGAAGAAAACAGTCGATACACACACACACACACACACGCACATACATACAAACATAATCAATATAAACACAGAAAAAGATAACTGAAGCATCTGTCCAAATCACAAGGGCAGAGAGCACATCCATTTTGTTCATTATGCTATCTCCAAAGCCTAGCAATAGATACTTAATAGATACTCACTGTCTGAATAAATGGTTATCTCTGGCGACATGGGGTTTTGGAGTGGAGGGTGGCACTAGGTATTTTCCCTACACCTCTGTATTGTTTGACACGTTACAACAAGCATGAATTTCTTGCATAACTTTTTTTAAGCTAAATTCAACCCAATCACATACATACACACACGCACAAAAGGTCATGACCAAAATAGTCCTTAAAAAAAGGAAGCAATAGGCCAGGCACGGTGGCTCACGCCTGTAATCTCAACACTTTGGGAGGCCAAGGTGGGTGGATCACCTGAGGTCAAGAGTTCGAGGCCAACATGGCGAAACCCCATCTCTACTAAAAATACAAAAATTAGCCAGGCATGGTGGCATATGCCTGTAATCCCAGATACTCAGGAGGCTGAGGCAGGAGAATCGCTTGAACCTAGGAGGTGGAAGTTGCAGTGAGCTGAGATCGTGCCACTGCACTCCAGCCTGGGCCACAGAGCAAGACTCTGTCTAAAAACAACAAAAAGGAAGCAATATCAGTCTTGAAGAATACACAAATGCACAAACTGGTACAACAGCCTCTCATTCTTTTTTTTTTTTTTTTTCTGAGACAGGGTCTCACTCTGTCACACAGGCTGGAGTGCAATGCTGCAATCACAGCTCACTACAGCCTCAACATCCCGGGTAGCTGGGACTAGAGATGTGTGCCACCACACCTGACTAATTTTTTGTAGAGATGGGGTTTCGCCATGTTGCCCAGGCTGCTCTCAAACTCCTGGGCTCAAGTGATCCACCCACCTCAGCCTCCAAAGTGCTGGGATTACAGGCATGAGCCACTGCACCCTGCCAAATAGCCTCTCATTCTAATAGCTAAAAACAAACACTTTATTTTAAAGGAAATGATTATTGAATTCTTTTATTAAAATGTAAATACATTTAATTTACATTTTACAAGTTACTAAGACTATGTTTGAAATATATCAGTAAAATATATTTTACAGCAAAAAAATGAGGCACCAATCACTGCACATTCTAAATTCCACTTTTGATTTACCACCTAACAACTGCAATGTCTGAAACACAGACTCACATTTAACTCTTAGATCATTCATTCTACACTGACTGCTAAAAAGCCACGTGCTGCTTTTTTTTTTTTTTTTTTAAGCCACTGCTTTACTTCTTCAGGTTAGCAAAATGCTTAGGTAAATTTGTTGGCCATCACAAATGTGATTGAGGCCACCGGTTTCTATCATCAAATGAAATCACAATGACAGGTTTCTGACAATAAACTCAACCTAAGGGGAGCGCTAATAAATTCCCTTCCCAGCCTCTTCTTGGGTGTGTGGTATGTGTGCTGCCTCCTGAAATGCCCAGGATGGCCACCCTCCCACACGGGATATTCTAAGCCGCTGACACCATCTAACTTTTCTGAAAGAAATTAACAACTCAGCCGATCTTTACCAGGCTAAAATCACAGAACTGGGTCCCCTGAAAGCCAGGCTTTCATGCCACATCCACAGCCACTGCTGTCTAGCCAAGTCTATAACATCTTCTTGCCCTTATTAATACATATGTTACATAGGTTTACGTATGTTAATCCCTAATGACTTGACTTAACCTTGTCACAGCCAGGCGCGGTGGTTCATGCCCTACAATCCCAGCACTTTGGGAGGCCAAAATGGGTAGATCACCTGAGGTCAGGAGTTCAAGACCAGCCTGGCCAACATGGTGAAAACCCCATCTCTACTAAAAAAAAAAAAACTAACCACGTGTGGTGGCGGGCACCTGTAATCCCAGCTACTCAGGAGGCTGAGGCAGGAGAATTGCTTGAACCCGGGAGACGGAGGCTTCAGTGAGCTGAGATTGTGCCACTGCACTCCAGCCTGGGCTATGGAGCAAGACTCCGTCTCAAGCTGAGGGGAACTTTCAGTGCCCATCAGATGGGAGACCAATATGGGCCAATGAAATGGTGTTTCTATGAAATGGCAGCTTCGTCCTTCTTGCTAGTTGACTGGATATGGGAAGGCTGGGGAAGAAGAGCAACTCCCAGGTTTCTGGCTTAGGCAACCAGGTCAATGCTGGCACATTTGCCAAGATGGTGACTACTGGTTCCAGGAGGAGAAGGAGTTCAGGTTGGACATGCTGAGTTTATGGTGCCCAAGAAACAGCCACTTCTTTGAGCCACAGCATCAAAGAAGCACAGGCTCCACATCTGGAGCTGGAGTGCAGGGGACTCAGTGGCTTTGGGACACAAAGGCAAAAGCTGGCAGCACCAGGACAATAATTAAAGCACTGGAGTGAACATACTGGCTCTGTGGGGAGGGGTGTGTGAGCAGGGGACTGCTGATGGCAGGTCAGACCCATTTCTTCTTAGGCCTTTCTACTATAGTGTGTTCCATAATTTAATCTTTGGTAAGTAAAATTTGGGAGGGAGGGGGAAGATAAAAAAACACTAACTTTGTGCTCACTCTGCCATGTAGGTACAAACAGAAGCAAAAAGGGCCTATTAAAAAAAAAAACAGCAAGATACATTTAATCATTTAATAAGCACTTACTGTGTGCCGGGCCTTGTGCAAAGCACTAAACATGAATTATCTCCTGGAACCATCCAAACAATCCTGGCACAAAAGTCCTATGACTACCATTCCACAGATGGGACACTGAGGATGGGAGCAAATGTGTGGGGGAGCTCAGGGCTGTCATGTCACAGCCCACAGTCAGGCAGTCTCTGGGCCAGATGGAGAATATTGAAGAACAATTATAATACATAAGAGCTGCTACTTAGTGAGAGATGGCGCTGGACTAGAAATACAATCTCAGCAAATCCTTACAACCCTTTGAGAGTGATCTTGTTATTATCCCATTTTGTAAATGAGGAACCTGAGGTAGTAGGAAGGGAAGTCAACTGGACCAGTTCTGAATCTGGCCCTCGGGGGTGACCAATACTACGGCCAGAGCCCCACCCTCAGAGGGTCTCTGGGCCACTAGGAAAACGCTGAATAAATGGTACCATTTACTGAGCGTTATATGCCAGCTGCTGTGCTAAGCACTTTACACATGGTATTCTCACTGCATCCTGAAAACAACTCGACGAAGTGGTTGCTATTTAAATCCCCATTTTATAGATAGGGAAACCAAGGCACAGAGAGGTGAAGCCAGTTGCCCAAAGTCACACAGCTGGTAAATGTTCAAATTTGAACCTGGGGTCTCTCTGCCTTCCAAACCAACGCTCTTAACAAAATAATCTCGGTTAACAGCAGCTAGCCTGCATTGGGTGCTAACTAAGGACTCACCTCTTTACATGCACACGCTCAACTAATCCTCACCCTATGCAATCGATAACATCTTCACCTCATTTTTCGGAGAGCTAACAATAACCCAAATACGTAGTAAGTGCCTCCTATGTGCCAAATGTTTTATTATATTATCTCAACAGAGTCTCCGCCAAGATGCTCTCCTACTCCGTTTTACTGCAGGGGAAATTGAGGTTCGGCGCGGTTTTCCCAGATCGCGGCTCCCGAGTGGCACAGCCGGGACGCGAATCCACCGCTCCCCGCCTCCAAGCTCTTCACCACAGCGCCGGGGTGCACGCCTGGAAAGTTGAGCCATGCGGGCACGAGTCCGGCTGGGTCCGGAGGGCGCGAGTCCCGGCGCCGCCGCCCCCCACGGCCAGTACCCACACCCGGCCGTCCGCCCGCGCTGACCCTCGGGGTCCGGGCAGCCACCGATTCCCCGCCACCCTTGCGCGAGGCCGATCCTGCACCCGGAGCCACGTACCTGGACGCCCCGGCTGCCCGCCTCGCGGGCCCCACGATCGCGGCGTCCAGCTCCGCGCCGCTCGCTGGAGACGCCGCCAGCTCCGGTGGCCCGAGTGACTTCCAGGCTGCCCACTTCCAAGCCGCTTCGCGCGAGTCCTCCTGGGAACTGTAGTTTCGCCCTAGCCGGCCGCGAACTCAAAAAGAGAATGGCGCGCGGGGGCTGCCGGGAGCCGTAGGCGCACCGCCGCGCTGCCTCCTAGGAACGGTAGTCCGCTGGTCGCCTTCGTGCAGCTCCAGTCTGTAGAGCACTTCCGCAGCCCCGAGGGGCGTGAGGGAGGGAGGTGTGTCTCCTGCAGACTACAGCTCGAGAGCCGCGCTCTTCGCCCCGCCGGGGCGGTTTCTCCTTTCTCCTGGCCCCGTCTACCTCCTCCCTTCATTCGGCGGAACCTCTCCCTCACTCTCTGCCAGGCTCGAGTCACTTACCCCTAGGACGCTAGCCCGGGGGAAACGGGGGAAGCGGAGCAGTGCGCTAGACCCCCAGCGGAGGGGGCGGTGGAGGAGGGCGTAGATGCACGCCCGCGCACGCGCGGTCGTCGGCAGACCCCGGCCTAAATTGCCGCGGGACCCCGCGGAGAGGATTTTTTTTTTTTTTCTTTCGAGAGCGCGCGCGCGTTCTCGCGCCGGGCGCGCGCCCATGCGCACGCGCGTTCAGACCCCTGGCCTCGGGAAGTCCGCCGGCTGCGGGGTTGGGGGCCAACCGTTCTGTGGGCGGAGTCCTCTCGCAACATCCGCCAGGTAGCTTCTTAGTTGCTGCCCCTAGCTCTAGGAGCTCCTGAGTGCACACGCCGTACCCGTCCCTTGTCGGGAATCCTGTCGCAGGTAACAGGCGCAGCCAATGCTTTGAGATAGAGACGCCCTGCCTTCCCTGCCACGTGCAGGAGGCCCGAGGGTGAGGGGCCCCAGGTGTAGTCGCCTGTCCCCGGCGTAGGCGGCTCCAGAGCTCTGCCTTCGACGGGAGCCACAAGACCCAGGGGCTGCCTAGGGGCCTTGTTATCTTGCATTCTTTTGTTGATCGCACATTCCTGAGGGTAACTAGTGTTTGTAGAGTACCTACACCTTGGGAAATTTTGTCCAAATTTAATCCACCTGGTGACATAACCAAGCAGCGGAATACCCCGCAACACACACTCCTTTTTTAAGGTATATTGCCACTCCTCCATAAGAGTTACCGAGGGAATTGACTGGAATTGCAAGGTCCTCTGGTGGAGAAGCCGGAGTCAATACCCTTTCCGCCTCAGCCTGCCTTCTAGGAAGATGTTCACTAACACTTGAAGCTGGGAAGCATATGTTTCTTCCTGGGAGAGCACATTTTTCCACTCATTCAACAAAAATGGATTAACCACCTATTCCATGTCAGGTTGGGTGATTATGGAGACACAAGAGAAATCCAGACAGACTGGACTCCTACCTTCAGGGAGTTTTCAGTCCAGTAGGGATATCAGGCCACCACCAGACTACAACAATGTAGAGCAATACTAGCTAAGAGAAATATACCCTGCACTTTGAGCCACCGAGGCAGGAGGATCACTTAAGGCCAGGAGTTGGAGACTGGCCGGGTAACATAGCAAGACCCTATCTCTACTAAAACTAAAAAACTAGCTAGGCGTGGTGGCATGTGGCCATAGTCCCAGCTATTTAAGAGGCTGAGTATCGCTTAAGCCCAGGAGTTTGAGACTGCAGTGAACCATGATTGCACCACTGCCCTCCAGCTTGGGCGACAAAGCAGAACCCTGTCTCTTTAAAAAAAAAAAAAATTATATATGTGTGTGTTTTTATGTGTAATGCAAGCCACATATGCAATTTTAATTTTGACATAAACAGGTAAAATTCATTTTATTTATCATTATTATTTACTTTTTTTTTTCTTGCTATGTTGCCCAGGCTGGTATTGAACTCCTGGCCTCAAGACATGTTCCTACCTCAGCCTCGCAAAGTGCTGGGATTATAGGCGTGAGCCATCTCACCCAGCTATGAAATTAATTTTAATATTTTATTTAACCCAAATATATCCAAAATATTATTCCAAGTTAGGTTAATGGAAAAATGTTTTCATTGCTTCAGTTCTACTTTTTTTTTTTTTTTTTTTGGAGACGGAGTCCCACTCTGTCGCCAGGCTGGAGTGCAGTGGCGCCACCTCGGCTCCCTGCAACCTCTGACTCCCTGGTTCAAGTGACTCTCCTGCCTCAGCCTCCCAAGTAGCTGGGATTACAGGCAGGCGCCATCACACCCAGCTAATTTTTGTATTTTTAGTAGAGACTGGGTTTCACCATGTTAGCCAGGATGGTCTCGATCTCCTGACGTGATCTGCCAGCCTCGGCCTCCCAAAATGCTGGGATTACAGGCGTGAGCCACCATGCCTGGCCTCAGTTCTACAATTTAAGTTAATTAAAATCAAATAAAATTAAAATGTTATGAGGCACTAACAAAGATACTCATTTGCGGCATTAGCTGCAGTAGCAAAAGGTTGGAAACTACCGAATGTCCATTAATAGAAATTTGAATAAATAAATGATAGTTCAGCCACACGGTGGAATACCCTGCAGCTAGTAACTGTTGGGAAATGAGTTATATGTATTAATATGAATTAGTCTTAAAGGTATATTAAGAGAAAAGTGAATAACAGTGTATATAGTATACTATCACTTGCATAAGAAAAATATTTTTGGCCAGGCACAGTGGCTCACGCCTGTAATCCCAGCACTTTGGGAGGTGGGCGGATCACTTGAGGTCAGGAGTTTGAGACCAGCCTGGCCAAAATGGCGAAACCACATCTCTGCTAAAAATACAAAAAATTCGCTGGGTGTGGTGGCGCACGCCTGTAATCCCAGCTACTAGGGAGGCTGAGGCTCAAGAATCACTTGAACTCAGGAGGCAGAAGTTGCAGTGAGCCAAGATCGCGCCACTGCACTCCAGCCTGGGCGACAGACAGAGACTCCATCTCAAAAAAAAAAAAAAAGCACACACACACACAAAAGAAAGACACAACCAGAGTTACTTCTGGGAAGGGGAAACAGAAGGACAGCTGGTCAGGTGTGAAAAGGTGACTTTTTTTCCCTTACCTGCTCCTTAGTACATTTTCAATATTTTACCATGTCCGTTTTTAAAAGTTGTTTAATGGCCGGGCGCAGTGGCTCATGCCTGTAATCCCACCACTTTGGGAGGCCGAGGCGGGTGGATCACGAGGTCACGAGATTGAGACCATCGAGGCTAACATGGTGAAACCCCGTCTCTATTAAAAATACAAAAAATTAGCCAGGCATGGTGGCGGGCGCCTGTAGCTACTCGGGAGGCTGAGGCAGGAAAACGGCGTGAACCTGGGAGGCGGAGCTTGTAGTGAGCGGAGATGGCGCCACTGCACTCTAGCCTGGGCGACAGAGTGAGACTCCGACTCAAAACAAAACAAAACAAAAAACAAAAAAGGTTGTTTAATTACAGGGAGGATAATAGCTAAGTCGTTAGAATAATTGTAAGAATTAAACCAAATTGGCTGGGTGTGGTGGCTGACACCTGTAGTAATCCCAACACTTTGGGAGGCTGAGGCAAGTGGATTCTTTGAGGCCAGGAGTTTGAGACCAGCCTGGGCAACATGGTGAAACCCCATCTCTACAAAAAGTACAAAAATTAGCCAGGTGTGGTAGCACTAGCCTGTAGTCCCAACTACTCAGGAGGCTAAGGCAGAAGGATCACTTGAGCCGGAGTGGTTGAGGCTGCAGTGAGCCATGATCATGCCACTGCACTCCAGCCTGGGTGAGAGTGAGGCCCTGTCTCAAAATAAATAAGAATTAAAAGATATGTAAAACTCCTGGTTACTACTTTACAACCTAATTAATCCTGGATACTGTCGTTACTTCTCAGGGATCCAGGGTAACTCTTCCATCCAACAGAAACTAGCCCACCCTGTTAATGTATGTTTGTCAGCCTGGAAAACTATTTATTCCCATTAAGAAAGTTAAATGCATTCCACCCCCAGCCCTAGCTATGCAGCCACCTGAAGGCCAGAGTAGCACTCCCAGGCCCTGGGGACAAACTTGGGCTCCTTATCAGTAATGTCATTCAAAGAACCAAGTAAGCCTAGGTTGCCCCTCTGACTTTACAGTCAACTAATTAGGCCCTTCTGATATCAGCTGGACTTTCTGCACCCCTGTGCCCAAATGTGAGACCACCTGCAAGGTTATATAATCCATGCAGGGCCCTGTCTCACAGTGTGGCGCACTCATCACCTTCCTTTTGGGTGGCCAGGTCTCCTCGTTATATGTACTCAAAGCACTTCATACTTTTCCTTCTTAAAACTGAATTTAATTTGCAATTTAATTTGAGGAAATTAAAAGTTGCAGAAAAGTTCTAAAGGATAATATAACCCATCACCTAGAATTTCCCACTGTAATCCATTTTATATCTCTTCTTTGATGACTATAAGCTCTAGGGAGCAAGAAACCTGCCTGGATCCCCTCACACTCACCTGTAACAGAGCACATTGGAGCCAACAAGTGAGCCAAAGGGAGCCCAGGGGCCTGACCGTGTCGTGGAGTGCAGCGCCCCCTAGAGTCAACTCTCTTTAACAAGGCAAAGCTCGTGGGAGGTTTGCCTTTCCTCAGGCCACCAACTAATGCTGTACCTTACAGTGGACTGGTGCTAAGAAAAGGAATATAGTTCCAGTGTCAACACCCAGTCATGGACCTGGTTTGTCTCCACAGTCAGCAGGAATAACATGCGTTGGTCCCAAATACCCTTCACGCTAAATTGGCCACAGAGCTTGAATTCTCCCATTAGATTATCTTTGTGTTAAGATATTAAACAATCAGCCGGGCATGGTGGCTCACGCCTGTAATCCCAGCACTTTGGGAGGCTGAGGCGGGCAGATGACCTGAGGTCAGAAGTTCGAGACCAGCCTGGCCAACATGGTAAAACCCCATCTCTACTAAAAAAAAATACAAAATTAGCTGGGCATGGTGGTGCATGCCTGTAATCCCAGCTACTCAGGAGGCTGAGGCAGGAGAATCACTTGAACTCCAGAGGCAGGGGTTGCAGTGAGCCAAGATAGTGCCACGGCACTCCAGCCTGGGTGACAGAGTGAGACTCTGTCTCAAAAAAAATAAAAAAGGAAAAAGAAATAAAAGATATTAAACAAGACTGTTGGGATTAAAGCATCTGGAGCTCACTACAAACTTGCTTTTAAGGACAGGTACTGGGATTAGGGAGTCAAATGTCATCCTCTGAGGCTAACCCAAGGAAACTGGTCTATGGTGTGGGAAAGAGTGGCAAATAAATAAATAAATAAATAAATAAATAAATAAACATAGAGGGCCAGGTGCAGTGTCTCATACCTGTAATCCCAGCACTTTGGGAGGCTGAGGCAGGTGGATCGCTTGAGCCCAGGAGTTCGAGACCACCTAAGCAACATAGGGAGACCCTGTATCTACAAAAAGTTTTTAAAAAATTAGCCAGGCATGGGGGTGTGTGCCTGTGGTCCCAGTTACTCGGTAGGCTGAGGCAGGAGGATTGCTTGAGCCCAGGGGTTTGAGGCTGCAGTGAACTGTGACTCTACTACTGCACTCCAGCCCGGGCAACAGAGCGAGACCCTGTCTCAAAAAAAAAAACCACATAAAATTAAATAAACATAGAGATTTGGGGTTTGAAAGTCCTCCTTCTCACTCATCACCTAGAAATATTCCCCCAAATAGTCCCAACCATTTGCTCTCTGTAGGCCGGTCAAGAGAAGTGGGACCCAGTGGAGCTATTTGGAATATGGGAAGTGATGGCAGTGACTGCAAATTTGTTACAAACGACTACTCTCTCAGCAGCTCCAGGGCCACAAGAAGGGGCCAGTGGGGTAACTCTGAGTTGTGGTTGTTGTTTGGGTTTTTTGGTGTTGTTTTGTTTTGTTTTTGAGATGGAGTCTCGCCCTATCACCCAGGCTGGAATGCAGTGCTGCAATCTCGGCTCACTGCAACTTCCGCCTCCTGGGTTCAAAGCAATTCTCTGCCTCAGGCTCCTGAGTAGCTGGGATTACAGGCGCCCGCCACCATGCCTGGCTAATTTTTGTATTTTTAGTAGAGACAGGGTTTTACCATGTTGGCCAAGCTGGTTTTGAACTCCTGACCTCATGATCCACCCACCTCAGCCTCCCAAAGTGCTGGGATTACAGGCGTGAGCCACCGCACCTGGCCTTTTTTTTTTTTAAGACAGGATTTTGCTCTGTCACCCAGGCTGGCATGCAGTGGGGCCATCATAGCTGACTGCAGCCTCAACCTCCTGAGCTCAAGTGATCCTCCCATCTCAGCCTCCCAAATAGCTAGGACCACAGGCACATGCCACCACGCCTGGCTAATTTTTTTTTTTTTTTTTTTTTTTTTTTGTAGAGACAGGGTCCCACTATGTTGCCCAGGCTGGCCTTGAACTTCTGGCTGAAAGCGAGTGAGCCTCCCACTTTGGCCTGGGGTAACTCCCACAGGGGCCTCCACTGCTGTGCAGGATCTGAAGCAGATCAACTAGAGCCTGAAAGGCATTCAGAATGAGCAGCAAGTGCAGGGTTGAGTGGAACAGAATGGAGACAGCTATCGCAGGAGGGCAGCATGCAGTCTGGGGAGCGTGGAAAGAGACAGGATGGTGTGTGCTGCCAGCCAGTCCCAAGTTCCCATTGTGAGTGGATTTGTGGATCGGAGAGCCTTCTGAGCATCAGCCAGCAAAACCTCTTCCTCCTCTGATATAGTAGAAGAATCCTGAACTGTGGATTGGGTCTTTTTTTTTTTTTTTTTTTGAGACGGAGTCTTGCTCTGTCACTGAGGCTAGAGTGCAGTGGCGTGATCTCGGCTTGCTGCAACCTCTGTCTCCCATGTTGAAGCGATTCTCCTGCCTCAGCCTCCCGAGTAGCTGGAGTTACAGGCGCCCATCACCGTGCCCGGCTAATTTTTGTATTTTTAGTAGAGACAGGGTTTCACCATGTTGGCCAGGCTGGTTCTTGAACTCCTGACCTCGTGATCCACCCACCTCGGCCTCTTAAAGTGCTGGGATTACAGGCATGAGCCACTGCACCTGGTGGATCTTAGTCTTGATCTGCCCTTTGTAGACTCAAACACATCCCTTTTCCTCTTTGAGTTAATGTTCCTCTTTTGTACAATGGAGATGATGATATCTGCCTCTCAGGATTCTTTCAAGAACTAATGAAATGATTGATGTTGAAAGCTTTTCTGTGGGCTCTCACCCACTGTATGCATGTGAGATGATGATGGTAAGTTTTGCCTGCTGCTTTCCCCCATCCCAAATCCAGTGAGCAAGTCTCTGTGGCATACCAGAAGGTGTGTTTTGCTGACCTTGCTTCAGGAAGCCCAGGCCAAATGAATTGGGACTCCAACAGTTCTCTAAACCAGTGTTTTTCACATTTTGGTTATTGTTGAAGCAAGGTGCAACGGTTCATGCCTGTAATGCCAGCACTTTGGGAAGCCAAGTCTTTGGGAAGCCAAAGCTTGAGGCCAGGAGTTAGAGACCAGCCTGGACAGCATAGTGACACCCCCTCATCCCTACCCCACCCCCACTCCCATCTCTACAAAAATTGAAACAAAAAAACAAAATAGGCCAGGTGTGGTGGCTCATGCCCGAAATCCCAGCATTTGGGGAGGCCAAGGTAGGAGGATCACTTGTGACCAGGAGCTCAAGGCCAGCCTGGGCAACATAGTGAGACCCTGTCTCTACAAAAACAAAACAAAGAAACAAAAATTAGCCAGGTGTGGTGGCATATGCCTGTAGTCCTAGCATGTGGGAGGCTGAAGTGGGAGGATCACTTGAGCTCTGGAGTTCAAAGCTGCAGTGAGCTATGATGGTACCACTGCACTACAGCCTGGGAAACAGAGCAAAGCCTTGTCTCTTTTTTTTCTTTTTTTTTCCTTTTTTTTTTTTTTTTTTTTGAGACTGAGTCTCACTCTTTCCCAGGCTGGAGTGTAGTGGTATAATCTCGGTTTACTGCAGCCTCTGCCTCCTGGGTTCAAGTGATTCTCCTGCCTCAGCCTCCAGAGTAGCTGGGATTACAGGGGCGTGCCACAACGCCCAGCTAATTTTTGTATTTTTAGTAGAGACGGGGTTTCACCATATTAGCCAGGCTAGTCTCGAACTCTTGACCTCAGGTGATCTATCCTCCTCCGCCTCCCAAAGGGCTGGGATTGCAGGCGTGAGCCACGGTGCCCAGCCAAAACCCTATCTCTTAAAAACAAAACAAAACAAAACAAAACAAAACAACACAACAACAACTCATTGATGGGCCTTAATCTCAGATTGATGGGCCTTAATCTCAGATTGATGGGCAGCAACAACAATTATTCATTGATGGGCCTTAATCTCAGAATTTCCAATTGAGTAGGTCTGGGGTGGGGCCCAATAATTTGCATTTTTAACAACTTCCCACCATTTCTCTAAACGGATGAAGTTCTTCTACATCTGGCAGGAAAGGTTGGCCTCCGTTGCCCTCTGCTGGCCAGACTATAAATTTAACTGTCATGTTTCCAGAGCAGCTGAAAAGCATGAAGTATGAGTTGGAAGGAAATAGAGTGGTCACCTGTCTGAGAACTAGGCCAGCCTACAAACAGCAGTCGTAAGTGTCTGTCACTTACAGTCGTTAAGTGTCTGTCCTGGTTCATGAGGTCCAGGGACCATACTTTGAGAACCCACAGTCTTCACAAAATGCTCTCCGGACACACCACAAAATGTGAAGGACTATTATTTGCCTGTGAGGGTATTCTTTCCCAGCCCCTCTCTCGGTTTCTCTGGTTCTCTCACCCATATATGTTACTGGGTTACGACAGGAACACGCTAAGATTCACTCCCAATTTGCTCTCTCCAAGCCTCAGTTTTCTCATCTATAAAATGAGATAATGCCTACCTTACTGGGCTGTAGAGTGGATGAAATGAGAAGGTATGTCTTGTGCACAGTTCCTGACTTTCAGAAGGTGTTCAATAAACATGAGTTCATTGTTGTTGCTTTCTGATTCCTAGCTTCTCGGAAAATGGCAGTGACTAAGCTGGGCTCTTTTGGATTCCCACAGGTTTTTAAGCAACAGTCCTCAGGAGGGCCAAGGGAGTCTGACGGTGATGTCTTCCCCCAGGCTCATTCCCCTGTGGAAAGATTTAAAACTCCTCCTAAATGACACCATAAATAAAAGCAAGGTAATGTATATGTAGGACATAAACATATTATAGGTTGGCTGCTACCTGTCTTACAGTCATGAGCATTTCAGAAGAGCCACAGATTGTCCTTGAGAACAGGAAGCAAACAGGGTATACTATAGTCACCACCTTAGCAGGAGGTAGGCCATCAATTTCCATG
Source organism: Homo sapiens (assembly GCF_000001405.40). NCBI lineage: Eukaryota > Metazoa > Chordata > Mammalia > Primates > Hominidae > Homo > Homo sapiens. Next base: position 37,898,004 of record NC_000019.10, on the reverse strand, counting down.
AGTCACAGACTTCTCGCAAGGACATTTTGATAGTGGAAAGTGGACACTCTGGAGGATTGTAAGAGGAACTGACCTTCTGGAAAGAGAGTTTTTCTATTATTTTATTTTATTTATTTTGAGACACAGTCTCGTTCTGTCGCCCAGGCTGGAGTGCAGTGGCATGATCTCGGCCCACTGCAACCTCAGCCTCCCAGGTTCAAGCAATTCTCCTGCCTCAGCTGCCTCCCAAGTAGCTGAAACTACAGGCGCACGCCACCACGCCCAGCTAATTTTTTGTATTTTTAGTAGAGATGGGGTTTCACCATGTTGCCCAAGCTGGTCGTGAACTCCTGAGCTCAAGTAATCTGCCCACCTCGGCCTCCCAAAGTGCTGGGATCACAGGCATGAGCCACTGTGCCTGGCTGAGAGATTTTTTAAAACAGGGGAGGAGGCACCAGAGAAAACAGTTGCCAAGCTCAGTTTTGCTATGGTTGGCTCTGCATACAAGGATCCCAGGGCCAGGCGTGGTGGCTTATGCCTGTAATGTCAGCACTTTGCCAGGGCGAGGTAGGCAGATCACCTGAGCTCGGGAGTTCAAGACCACACTGGGCAACATGGTGAAATCCCGTCTCTACTAAAAATACAAAGTATTAGCCGGGTGTGGTAGCCCGTGCCTGTAGTTTCAGCTACTCGGGAGGCTGAGGCAGGAGAATCACTTGGAACCCAGGAGGCAAAGGTTGCAATGAGCCGAAATCAGGCCACTGCACTGCAGCATGGGGCCACAGAGTGAGATCTTGTCTCAAAAAAAAAAAAAAAAAAAACAGGATCCCAGATGCATGTTTCATAGCACATGGTCTATCACCATGGGATAATATATATATTGTATAAATGCTTGTCCTCTGTCAAATTTAAAGGCCAGATAGGGTGTCCCAAGAGTCTCACTTAGTGCAGCTTTAAGCTTCAGTAACTTAGAGCTGCACTGACTTTGGGAGATTCCGCTATATTCCATGTGTGCGTAAGGTGATGTACTTGCCTGACTATTCTGTTAAATATTGTGTCTTTTATGGTACATGTACCTTCTACACACAAGCGAGAATGTTAGAGGGGGCTGGACTCAGTAGCTCATGCCTGTAATCCCAGCACTTTGGGAGGCCGAGGCGGGCGGATTACCTGAGGTCTGGAGTTCAAGACCAGCGTGGCCAACATGGTGAAACTCCATCTCCACTAAAAATACAAAAAATTAGCAGGGCCTGGTGGCATGTGCCTGTAGTCCCAGCTACTTGAGAGGCTGAAGCAGGAGAATCGCTTGAACCTGGGAGGTAGAGGTTGCAGTGAGCTGAGATCACGCTACTGCATTCCAGCCTGGGCAACAGAAAGAGACTCCATCTAAAAAACAAAACAAAAAAAAGAATGTTAGAGGGCAGGCATGGCTAACTTCATGTTGAAAAGAACATCATTTTTCCCTGTGTTCACACTATGAAATTTGCACACAGAGACTCTGCAGGGTTGTGTTCCCTCATGCATTGGGGGATTTGTTACATGCTTGTGAAGTATAGCTGTGCCACAGGTGATAAGTTATGCACGTGTGAGTGTAACAGGAGTAGGTCCTTCGGGTGGGAAGCATGACTTTGGGAACTGCTCCAACTGTGACTTGTGCGAGAATATATTTAGTGCCTCTGTGCCCTGGCCTCTTAGTTTATGCCACGCCTCTCTCCAGCAACCTTCGGAAGACCCAAAGAACTGCCTGATTGTGCTGAGTGACCGGTCCCAGGTACTGTTCAAAGAGTCTCGCTATCCTCAAAATATGCCGTGTGTATGCTATTACTTCAGTGATGCCCACTTCTTCGCCTCCCTCTCTTGGGTGACATCAAACACAAAAGAAATACAAGTAAGACTGCCTTTCTTACCCTTCTTGGCCCATTCTCCAAGAGCCATGCCCATATAACTGTTAGCCCAGATTGACAAAGGAGGATATTCCCCATGGATGAATGTGGTCTGGAACCAGAAATCTCTCCTCATCCTTTCTCCAATTATAGTCCCCATGTTGAGTAGGTTGTATGGTTCCCCCGAAGTAAACCAAGGTTAGGAAAAGGGTCCTAGGATTCCTGCCTCTACCGTATTTCCAATTCCCATCACCAAGGGATAAAATCACTTGAGTCCTCCAATTCCTCCTTAACATAAAACATGGGGAAATAAGGGAATATTCTGCCCTACCATCAGCTCTAGGCAGTTTCATCTTTTTTTTTTTTTTTTTTTTTTGAGACAGAGTCTCGCTCTGTCACGCAGGCTGGAGTGCAGTGGCGCAATCTTGGCTCACTGCAGCCTTTGCCTCCCAAATTCAAGCGATTCTCCTGCCTCAGCCTCTCGAGTAGCTGGGATTACAGGCACCGACACCACACCCAGCTAATTTTTGTATTTTTAGTAGAGATGGGGTTTCACCATGTTGGCCAGGCTGCTCTCGAACTCCTGACCTCAGGTGATCCACCCGCCTCGGCCTCCCAAAGTGCTGGGATTACAGGCATGAACCACCTCACCCGGCCTAGGCAGTTTCCTTCTTATTCTCTTCTAGGCTGTAGCATGGATGAAGAGCAAAACTGAGGACATGGTTGAGAAAAGAACATTCTCCATGACTGAACGATTGCCACCCATCCAGTCCATGGTCCATGCAGGCTCCTTTCATATCCTCGTGGTCTACTGTGGTGACCTGATCCTGCGACTCTTTGGGGACCACTTTCGGGCATTCAAACCCCTGGGTAAAGTGCCCTGCCGCTTCAACATCAGCTGCCTCTGCTATGACCCGGAAATGAAGATGCTTCTGTCTGGCATCCTGGGGGCAGTGGTGACCTGGGTCATTGAGCTAGGTGGCACGGGCCTCCAAATAGCCCACATGGTCTCCATGCCAGGTGATGAGCTTGTCCAGGACATCGTGCTGAATGGTCCCAGTGGCTCCCTCCTGGCCCTGTGTGAGACGGTGGTGAGGGTCCTTATGCACCAGGGCAAGGGCCAGCTGGGAGAGGTAAAGAGGTTCACGTCCACCAGCAGCGGCTCCTCCATCACCTGCTGCTTCACCTGTTTTGATCAGGGCTTTCTCTATGCTGGAAACCAAGCTGGGGAAATCCAAGTTTGGAGCCTCCAGCAGGGCCATCCACTCCACAGTTTCCAGGCCCATCAATCAGGAGTGATCTGTATCCGCAGCCGACCAGAGGCCCACACCCTGCTAACAGCTGGTAGTGACAGCCTAATCAAGGAGTGGAACCTGACTTCAGGGAGCCTGCTTCGGCGGCTAGAGCTTGGTGAGGAGCTATACCGGCTCCAGTTTATTGACAGCATTACTTTCTTCTGCCAAACTGCCCATAGTTTTTCCTTGCACCGCCTGCCCTGCTTCTACAGCCTCTTCAATGTCTGTGGCTCTGCTCCCCAGCAGTTGCGTCGGGTCTGCTGTGGAAATAACTGGTTCCGGATCCTGTGTACCACTGAGGATGGCTTGTTGCGCTTTGTGTCCCCAGTAACAGGGGACCTTCTGGTTATCACCTGGCCCTTCTCAATCCTGGACCAGGCTGTGGATTGGGCCTACGACCCAGGTAAAGAGGAGCTCTTTGTAGCAACAGGCAGCTCAGAGGTTCTGGTATTTGACACAACCCGCTGCCCTTGCCCAGCCAAGTATCTCTTAGGCACCTCACCAAATTCTCAGGACTTTGTACAATGCCTGGCTTATGGGCATTTCAACTTGGGGCGGGGTCTAGAGGGACTGATATTCTCTGGGCACCAGAGTGGTGTGATAAGAGTGCTCTCCCAGCACAGCTGTGCTCGATTAGAAAAATTCATGCACTTTGGCGCTGTACTGGCACTCTCCACGCTGTCTGGAGGGATTTTTGGTGGCCAAGGAAACTCTCTGCTCTGTTCCTATGGAATGGATGACTATGTGCACCTGTCAGAAGCTGTGCTTGATGGGGTCAAAGTACAACTGCGGCCTCTCGCCAGCATTCTCAGCAGCTGTCACCTAACACATCTGATACTCTTGCCCAAGTCTGTGGGTGCCATCACAGAGACAAACTGCCTGCGTCTCTGGAAGTTCCATGATTTTCTGTCCTCTGGGTCACAGAATGGCTTGAAATTCATAGAAACACTGCCTCTGCACCTGTGTGCCATCACATCCTTTGATGTCTGCCTCTCCTTGAGTCTTTTTGTCACAGGTTCTGCCGATGGCTCTGTTCGGATCTGGGACTTCCATGGCAGACTCATAGGCATTCTGGACTCATCACTGCACTTTGGCCCAGTCTGTTTTGCAAATGACCGGGGTGACCTGCTTGTGACTTTTAACCAGAGTCTTTACCTAGTGTCCTGTTTAAAATTGCTTCCCCCAGCCCTGCTGACTCGCCTTTCCTTTATGAGCATATCAGATGAAGTACTGGAAGTCCCTAAGCCTTTCATACCAAGCTTCTTCTTCTCCTTTGAGACCATGTTTGTGCCCAAGTACATCTACCCTGGACAAGCGCAACAGAAATTAGTGGGTCTGGAGAAACTTGTCAACAACCGGGCCATTGCCTTTGACCATTCTGTGCCACATGTGATAGAAGAAGATGAGGAAGGGAGCCCAGTGTTACTGCGTTCCTCCATGCATTATTCTTTGCAGGACATGGAAGATTGGATGCAGGTGAGCAAACGTTACCAATGCCATTATGTGCTTCCTCCCCAGCTACAACTGACTAGCTGGGATGGACTCAACCCCTATCAGATATTGCGATACTACTTTGGTCATGGGCGGGAATGGCTTTTTGCCCCTGACTGCTATATCCCCAATTCAGTGATTCGTGCCCGTCTTTGGCCAGAGGGCACCCCAATATACCTACAGTGCAACCTGCATGCACCCCAGCGGGAGCTGGAATGGGACAGGTCTCAAGAATTCTTTTTCTGGCACAGCAGGGTAAGAGCTATAAGTAATACAGAATATCCAAAGAATAAGGAGGAGGATGAACACTTCCTAGAAATGAGACTTTCCAAGGATGTAACCTACAGTGTCCTTACAGATGGAGCAAACCGAAGTTGGCTGGGAAGAAAGATGAGTGAAATAACCATTAATAGCATGATTGAGACAATGCTCAATATTATGGTCCATGCTTCCTTGCTGAAGTACCAGTGCTGTGTTGGTGCACTAGGGCAAATCTTTGCCTCTTACCAGGTGTCCCCAGCCCTACGCTCTGAGACAGCCCGTCGGCTACTGAATGATACAACCAATTCCAACCCGCTGATCCGAGAACTAGCTTGGGAAGGGCTGAAGCGTCTAGGAATGATTACTCATCTTTTTGCCATGCCTCTGGCTCAAGGATTAATGGACAAGGATGAAAGAGTGAGGATCAAGACCCTAAGCCTCATGGCTGAGATTGGAATCCACTCTAGGACCTCACTCTTACAGCTGACCCAAAAACAAGAGACTTTTCGGGAGATGCAGTAAGTTTGTGCTTCCTTCAATTCTTCACCCCATTCGCCATTTTCCCCCTCCTTTCCTTTGCTATTTCTTCATCCCTGTTCATTAATTCTCCCTGATGTTTCTTCTTTCTCATAGCCTTTGCTCACGCCTAGATGACTATCCTTGACAATCCCGACTGTTCACTCCTCTTCCTCCTCCTCTTCCTTCTTTTTTTGAGACAGGGTCTTACTCTGTTGCCCAGGCTGGAGTGTAGTGGCGCGATCTTGGCTCACTACAACCTCTGCTTCCCAGGCTCAAGCAATCCTCCTGCCGTAGCCTTCTGAGTAGCTGGGGCTACAAGCATGCACCACCACACTGGCTAATTGTTTGTAGAGACAGAGTCTCACTATATTGCCCAGGCTGGTCTCGAACTCCTGGGCTCAAGAAATCTTCCTGCCACCTTGGCTTCCCAAAGTGCTAGGAGTACAGGCATGAGCCACCATACCTGGCCTGCTCACTCCTTTCTCCATTGCTTTTCCTATGTGTCCGCTACTTCTTCAAGTTCCATTTTCATCCTTTTCTCCTGCTTCTACAGCCTCCAATACAGATCACTCCATTCATTGCCACCTTGGCTTCCTAGATAGTTTCTTTTGTCTCAGCCATTATTTTCCTCTGCATATGCCATCTCTCTTGGCCACTTTGCCAAGCCTCCTGCCTGTTCCACAACCGTTTTTTGCTTCCCATTCTCCCTTTTGTTCCTGACTCAGCATAGTCCTTCTTCTCCTTTGACTTTCATAGGCAGCAGATGATCGGGGAGGAACCCCTGGACCATCTACTGGGGATGCGGGCCACAGATCTCCAAATCCTTTCCACTCAAGTGGAGCAGAGATTGAATGAAAACCTGACCCTGTCACATAGAGATGAAAAGCCGGCTTTTTCTTTAGATGTCTCAATGCCTTCTGAACTTAAATCCTCCCTGAAACCTCCTACAGTTTCTGAAGAATCTGAAGTGGCCATCAAGCCCAGCAAAGGCCAAAGACGAGGCCAAGCAGGGGTCAAAAAGCATAGTATGTAAGGGGTAATCTGGTCTGTGCCTCAGGGTCCCCAAGAGGCAGGGTAGTTAGGGTTAAAGTGGATCAAGAGATACTAGGTGGGCTGGCGGGACATGATGGCTCATGCCTGTAATTCCAGCACTGGGACGCTGAGGTGGGCAGATCACTTGAGGTCAGGAGCTCGAGACCAGCCCGGCCAACATGGTGAAACCCCGTCTCTACTAAAAATACAAAAATTAGCCAGGCATGATGGTGGGTGCCTGTAATCCCAGCTATTTGGGAGGCTGAGGTGGGAGAATCACTTGAACCCAGGAGGTGGAGGTTGCAATGAGCAGAGATGGTGCCACTGCACTCCAGCCTGGGTGACAGAGCGAAACTCCATCTCAAAAAAAAAAAAAAAGAGAGATACCAGGTGGGAAGAGAGATAAGTGGAAAGATCTCATCATAGAAAAGACACTCTCGGGTGAGGGACTAAGGGAGGGCTAGCATTAGGAGAAATACCTAATGTAGATGATGCTGGGTTGATGGGTGCAGCAAACCACCATGGCACCTGTATACCTATGTAACAAACCTGCACGTTTTGCACATGTATCCCAGAACTTAAAGTATAATTTTTTAAAAAAATGTATAGATAAGGAAATTATAGTGTATTCATAAACTGAAATACTACTGTGATAAAAAAGAGTGATACATGCAACAACATGGAAGAATCTCAAAAACTATTGAAAGAAAGCAAACACAAAAGAGCACATTTTTTAATGATTCTATTTATTTGGAATCCTAAAAAAGGCAAATGAATCTACAGTCACAGAAAGCAGATCAGTGGTTGCCTAGGGCCAGAGGTTAAGGGTAGATAGATGTTGACTGGGACACTATATAGGAGGGAATTTAGGGGGATAATAGAAATGCCTTATATCCTGATTGTGATTGCAGTAATTACAAAAGTGTATACATTTTTCAAACTCATCAAACTGTTTGCTTAAAATGGGTATATCCTGTTTAAATTATACCTCAGTAAAATTGATTTTTATGAAAGCAATGAAAAAAAAAGACTTTCTAAGGAAGGATCCACTCAAACTCAGGAAGACTCTAAGGCCTAGCTCTCTAGGATTTGGCAGGAGTAGGGGGCTAGGAATAAAGCAAAGAGAATGCTTTTTTTTTTTAAGGCCTCAGTTCTCTCTGTTGTTACTTCTTATATGACAGTTCTTCTTAGCTCACACCTAATATTGGGAAGGGTTTCATGTCGCTTCCCATACTTTGCTTACCTCCATCTCTCGATTTTTACTGCAGGCCAAAAATGGTTGCGGGGTCTCAAGAAGACGAAAGAGAGAGACTCTAAACAGATGAGCACAGAGCCAGGCCTCTTAGAGGATGAAAGTGGGACTGAGGCCGCACCAATTGAGATGGAGGAAGCATCCGTCTATTCCCAATGGTCTTCAAGCACCAGTGTAATAAAGCTCTCAAAAGATGTTGATTCTCAAGAGAAAGATATCTCGAAGGATCACATTGCATTGACCCTGAAGAGGCTGCAGAAAATACGTGACAAAAGAGACAAGAAAGCAACAGCTCAGAAACTCAAAAAGAAGCACAAAAAGAAGGGAAAAGAAGCCAAAGTTATAAATGAGGAAACTACACCTCCTGTAATGGAACAGCCAGTTACTAAAAAGGTTAAAATCCAAGGGCGGGGAGCCTCTGGAATATCTGGCCGCAGGTCAACCGCTGGAGATGGCTCATCATGGAGGGACGATCTATGTCGTCTTATGGCCCTGAGGATATCTGGTTCCCAAACAAAAATGTCAGAAAACCTAAACGCTGAGCTAGTGACATTTGCTCAGGAGATGCTGGTAGATAGGCACCCCAGCTGGGAACTCTTTCAGGAGATCTGCCCCCTATTGAAGAAAGAAAGTAAGGTTCTGCTTGAGGACCTTGATTGGGATGTAGTCCCGCCAGAGAAGAAACCAATTTTTATCCAGGAAGGAGCAATTAGAGAGGACATGATACAAGGTGTGACCCAAGAGGTGATCAGACACAAGGAAGTGATGCCAAGGGAAGAAGAACAAGCACAAAAGAAAGCAAGAGACATGCTGGGCTTGGAGGAAACCCAAGTGATTTTGAAAAAGGGCAAGAAAGTTATTTTTTTAGAACCAGGTAATGTAACCATGGGAAAAGAAATATCAAAGAAAGAAGAGAAGAAAACCTTTCAGAAGTCACCTAAGCAAGGGAGGAAAGCTGTCCAGAAGGAAAGAAAAGTAGGAAAAATAAAGAGGGAAATGACCAAAGAAGAGAGGGATATGAGTGAGGAAGTGGAGGAAATGGCCACACTAGAGGAGAAAGTGGTCAAACAAGAAGGAAAACTGGTTATGATTGAGAGGACACCATCTTGGCAGGACTGGAAAAAGGCCTGGGATGAGTGGAAACAGGTCCATGGTGAGACAAGGAAATCCTGGAAGGCATGGAAGGAAGAATGGGAGAAGAGGCTTCTTCAGGAAGAGGAGAAACTACATCAGGCTGGAGAGAAGCTATCCCCGGAGGAGGAAATGCTTCAGGAGGACAAGAAGCTGAAATGGGAGGAGTGGAAACAAGTCTGGGAAAATATGTTATCATCTAAGTCCAAGGAGCAACAGTACAAGGATGAGGAAGAAGTGACTTTGGAGGAAGAAGTGTCTCGGGAGGGGGAAGAAAAAGAACAGCAGGTCACAGAAGAGCAGAGACACATCCAAGAAGAACACAAATGGGCCAGAATACACAGGAAACGAGCCCGAGCTGAAAAAAAACGAGCCCAAGAAGAGAGGAAATTAGCACAAGAAGAAGAGAAACTTGCACAAGAAGAGAGACAGTTGGCCCAGGAAGAGAGAAAACTGGCCCAGGCATACGTGAAAATAACCCAGGATGACAGGGAAATGGCCCAGGCAGAGGGTAAGTTTGCCCAGAAAGAGGAAACACTGGCCCAAAGAGGGGAGAAGCTAAGCCAGGAGGCGGAGAAATTGGCCCAGAAAAGGAAGAAACTGGCCAAGAAATGGGAGAAAGTGGCTAGAGAAGAAGAGAAACTAGCAAAGAAAGGAGGGAAACTGGCTGAGGTGAAAAACATATTGGCCCAGAAAGTGGAAGAACTGCCCCAGAGGGAACAAAATCTGGACTGGCAAGAAAAGGAGCTGGCCCAGGAATTGGAGGAACTGGAATGGGACATGGAAGAACTGTCTTGGAAAGAAGAGGAACTGAATCAGGAAGAGGGGAAACTGGTTGAGGAAAAGAAGAAACTGGCTGAGGAAGAGGAGGCATTGGCCTGGCAAAGGGAGAAACTGTCTGAAGAAGAGACAAAACTGGCCCAGGAAGAAGAGTTGCTGATCCAGGAAAAGGAGAAACTGGCCCAGCACAAGGAAAAAATGCCTGAGGAAGAGGAAAGACTGGGACGGAAAAGGGAGCAATTGATTGAGAAGAAGATGAAACTGGCCCAAAAAAGGGAAAGATGGATCAACAGCATGGAAGAACTCACAAAGAACAAGATGATACTGTACCAGAAGAAGAATCTGGCTCAGGAAAAGAAGAATCTGGCCCAGGAGAAGGAAAAATTGGCTCAGAGGAAAGAGAACCTACTCTATAATAAAGAAAGACTCACCCACAGCAAAAAGCAATTAGTGCAAGTAAAGAACAAATTGGGAATGTTCAACAAGATACTGGCTCAGGTAGAGGAGAAGCTGACACAGGAAAAGGAGACTGTGATCAAGAAGAAGGAGAAACTGGCTGAAACAGAGAAAAAATTGGTCCAAGTAGAGGATAGTTTGGCCAAAAAACAGGAGAAATTGGCCCAGGAAAAAATGAAATTAGCTCTGGAGAAGGCAATGGTCCAAGGAAAGAAACGGCTCAGAGGAGAGTTGGATATTGCTAAGGAAGAAAAGGCATTGAACCTGGAAATGAAAAGACTGGCTGAGGAGAAGATGAGACTGGTTGAGGGAAAAGAAACACTGTCTAAGGGAGAGACTCCAGAAACTTCTAGACAAAGGAAAATGACTCAAGTTGAACAAGAACTATTTGAGAGAAAATTGTCACTAGAGGAGAAGATACTGCTACATGAAGACAGGATATTGGCCATGGAGGAAAGCGAAATTGCCAAAGGAAAACTGGAATTTACTAGAGGACAGAGAATATTTGTCCAGGGGCAAAGAAAGTTAGCCAAGGCTTCAAGGAAGTTGATTAAAAAAAGGGAGAGCCTTTCCAAGGAACCAGCAAAACTGAACAAAATCTTAAAGGCACTTCAAAAACTAACCAGGGATGAAAGGAAACTAACACAGGAAGAAATAAAAATGACAAAGATGAAGAGGGCACTCTTTGTTAAGGAGCGCAGGTTGAGTATAGAACAGAGTAAGCTGGATATCAAAGAGTGGGATTTTTCTGAAAAACGATCAGAACTGACTAAAGATGAGAAGAAACTGGCTCGGAAGCAGAGAAAACTGGCCAACAAAATGAGAAGAATGATAAACAAAGAAGAAAAAATGACTGAGGAAGAGAGCAAATTGGCCAGAAAGCATTCAGAAGTCATACTGGATGATGAAGAGGAAGGAGGAATAGAAGAAGAAGAGGTAATCCCATTCCTTAAACGAAGGTGGAGAAAGAGGAAAGAGGCCAAGAGAGGTGACAAACCAAAAGAAAAGTTTTCCAGTCAAGTGGATGAAGTGGAAAGTGAAGAGCATTTTTCTGAAGAAATGGAAAGCCTGTTAGATGAACTAGAAAAGCAAGAGAGTTTGTCTTCTGAGGAGGAGGAGGAAAGGGAGGAAGAAGAGGAAAGGGAGGAGGAGGAGGAAAGGGAGGAGGAGGAGGAAAGGAAGGAGGAGGAGGAAGGGGAGGAGAAGCAAGTGGAGAAAGAAGAGGAGGAGAAGAAGAAGAAGAAAAAGGAAAAGAAGAAGGAGGAGGTTCAGGAGAAGGAAGAAGTGTTTGAGGAGAAAGAAGAAATTATGAGTGAGGAAGAGACAGAAAGTTTGAGTGACGAGGAAGAGGAAGAGGAGAGCTGCTCATTGGAAGAAGAGGTGGACAGGGAAAAAGAGATCTTAAAAAAAGAAAAACAATTTAAGTTACAAGAACAAAGAAGAAAGAGCCTAAGAGGAAGGGAAAGAGTCCTTTCCATTTTAAGAGGAGTTCCTCATGGCAAAGGCAGGGCTATAAGACTAGGAGTTCTAAAAAGCCCTTTGAAGAAACTGATGTCAACAGCTCTGGAGATGAAAGAGAAAACACCAGTGCCAGTGCCGGAGAAACAAATATCCTGGGAAGATAAAAAGGCCACAGTAGTTGAAATACCCAGGAAATTCTTAGGGACAATGGATAAAGAAAGAGAAGTGATGGGAAAATATGAACCCATACCTCCACATGTTTTGGGTACAGTTTTGGAGTCCCAAGCACAGGACTTAAAGACCCCATTTATGTCCCACATATTAAGGAGGACCGTGGAAGCTGAGGAACTCCAACACAAACCACTAGGTGCCTGGTGGAAGTGGTTTTTGCAGCATCCACCTCTGATGGGACAGACTGAGGTACAGTTACCTCTCTCCCAAATCCCAGCTAAGGAACAACATGCAGACGTAAGCCTCTCAGATGTAGAGTGGATCCGCCATGTCCTAGAACGAATGGAAGCGGGAGAACAGCTTTCCAGGGATGGTTTCCATAGACTGTGCCAGCTGCTCAAAGACCTTGCCTCAAAGGGAAACTTAGAATGGCTGCATCTGGCCAAACATGAAGCCATTGTGTACCGTCACAGACAGGCCCTGGAGTCACAAGACACAAGGATCTCAAGTAGACAGTCCATGAGTCCAAAATACCTGAAAGTGATTCCTCCTATAAAAGCAAAGGAAAAGGAGAGCTGGCCAAAACCTTTGGCTGTCCCCACACAAAAGTCCCCATTAGCTACCAAGAGGATTCCAGACCCAAGGGCTAAAAATTGGCATCTTCTAGGAGAACCTTACAGAAGTGAGAGGGCACAGCAGATATCCATTGCTCACAAGGAGATGGAAATGCAATACTTTTATCCTGCCACCAGAGACATTTTTCCAAGTGCCCATGCCTCTGTGGAAAAACAAACCCTGGCACTGATGTTTCAAAAGGACTTCTGGGATTTTAAGGATAAACGCAGGTTTCCTAAACTGCCCAAGTTAGAGAAGAAGACACAGCCCATTTCTAAAAAAAAGGAAGAGTTGCCTTTGTGGGAGACATTTGTGGCACTGTACCATGTTTTGCGGATGCTGCAGCAGCGATATCCAAAAGACAGCACTGCTTGGATGGAACAGTTCTACCAGCTCATGGACCTGTACCAACTTAAGTCCCCCAGAATCCAGAAGCTGCTTCAGGAGCTGCTAATGAGAGAGGAACCTCAACCCCAAGAGATCATCTACGAAGAGGCCCTAAAAGCCACAGAGCTAGTTCCCGGGGAACGGCTGTTCTGCTGCCTGTTTTGTGGCAGTTCTCATACTCCTAGAAGTCCTCAGGAGTTCCAGGGTGCGGTACCCCTCCCATGGCAGAACTGTGTGCGCACCATCCTTCCCGTGGGCATTGCCCGGTATGGGATCTTAGAACTTGCCTGGAAGAGCCTGCCTGAAGCTGATCTTCATCTCACCAAGGCACTGACACACACCGTTGCTCCCACTCTCTAATTTGGGACTGACTGGAGGCTGGGACTTTTCATTGCCAACTGGAGAAAGGCCTAATTACCAGGATCTAGACCTTCATCTCTCTCTCTCTCTTTTTTTTTTTTTTGAGACGGTGTTTCACTCTTATTGCCCAGGCTGGAGTGCAATGACACGATCTCAGCTCACCGCAACCTCCGCCTCCCGGGTTCAAGCAAATCTCATGCCTCAGCCTCCCAAGTAGCTGGGATTACAGGTGTGAGCCACCACGCCCGGCCCTAGACCTTCATCTCTAGGCCCACACAGAGGTAGGGCCAGGTCGAAGCCCTTTCCCAGCTCTGGAAACACAGCTTCTATATGTGGAATAAAGAGGAGGTTCTTCTTTGCAACAAGCACTTTGATGTGTTCTTTCCCCGCAAACTTTGGTTCCCCAGGAAGGTAGCCAGGGAAACAACTTACTCACGTACTCCTGAGAGAGGGGGAAGCTTCCCAAAAGACAGTGGTGTCCACTATGTGGATGTATTGAGGCAGACGAGTCTGTCCTTGTCCTCTTCATTCCTTCCCACCATCCTCCCCAAGCACTCTAAGAAGGAAAGTACCAGACACAAAAACTAATGTACATTTGGCATGAATTTGAGGGTTATTGATATAGTGGAAAGAGAATGGGCTTTAGAATCAGAAGATGCAACATTTTGTCCCTTAGTATTTGGGGGCCTACAGTGGGGCTGACTCTTTTTCTGATTGTAGTTCTGTATGCTGATGACTTGAGTTCCAGATAGCAGGAATGGTGGATGTTGAGGAGATTCTCAGAGTAAAGGAATAATCTTCGAGTTTTAGCCAGCACCACCTCCACCTGGTGACTTCATCACTGGATGGCACTAAGGGGTGAGGCCATCTGAAGTTAAAGCAAAAAAAAAAAAAAGTTTAGGCTAGGCATGGTGACTGACGCCTGTAATCGCAGCACTTTGGGAGGCCAAGGTGGGAGGATTGTTTGAGCCCAGGAGTTTGAGACCAGCCTGGGCAACATGGTGAAACCCCATCTCTACAAATTTTTTTTTTTTTTGGGTTGGAGTCTCACTCTGTCACCCAGGCTGGAGTGCAGGGGAGCACAATCTTGGCTCACTGCAACCTCCGTCTCTCAGTTCAAGCAATTCTCCTGCCTCAGCCTCCTGAGTAGCTGGGATTACAGGCGCGTGCCACCATGCCCGGCTAATTTTTGTGTTTTTAGTAGAGACAGGGGTTTCACCATGTTGGTCAGGCTGGTCTCTAACTCCTGACTTTGTGATCTACCCGCCTCAGCCTCCCAAGGTGCCAGGATTACAGGCATGAGCCACTGTGCCCGGCCTGTTTTTTAATTAGCTAGGTGCAGTGATGTGTGCCTGCTGTAGTCTCAGCTACTCAGGAGGCTGAAGTGGGAAGATCACTTGAGCCTGGGAGGTTGAAACTGCAGTGAGCCATGGTTGTGCCACTGCACTCCAGCCTGGGCAAGAACAAGGCCCTGTCTCAAACAAACAAACAAACAAACAAACAAAAAGGAGCTAAGCTGATGTCCCTATGTCTTTCATTCCCTTTACTACCATCTAGACATGGAATTTGGGTAGGGTGATAGAATAAGAATTTGGAAAACTAGGTGTAGGCTCAATTAGGCCCCCCCAGTTACTTAGGGACTTAATGAACCTTCCTTCTAGCAATTAAGGAGACAAGAGTTAAAGCAAAAGGAGTAGGCTGGGTGTGGTGGCTCACGCCTGTAATCCCAGCACTTTGGGACGTTGAAGTGGATCACTTGAGGCCAGGAGTTCAGGACCAGCCTGACCATCATGGTGAAAACCTGTCTCTTACAAAAATACAAAAAACTTAGTTGGGCATGGTGGTGTGTCTGTAATCCCAGCTACTCAGGAGGCTGAGGCAGAGGAATTGCTTGAACCCAGGAGGCAGAGGTTGCGGTGAGCCAAGATCATGCCACTGCACTCCAGCCTGGGTGACAGAGCGGAGACTTCATCTTAAAAAAAAAAAAGGGGGCAGTAAAGTTGTCACTGTTTTTCCCTGATCTCCTCTCCCTGCCACGGCAGAACTGCCTCTTTCCAGGCACGCTGAGGCTTACTGCTGCTTCTAAAAAGTAGTCCATCTTTACCATTTGCCACTCCCCACCCCAATCTCTCTTTTATTATCTTACCTCCTCTACCTCTTTTTTCTTTTGAGGGGAAGCAGAGGATAGAGGGCAAGAGAACATTCTGAGAAGTTAGATTCACCTCAGAGGCCAAGGGCAATGAGTGTCCTTGCTCTACAGTTGGGCTCTTCCATGGCAGACTACACGTCAGGCCACGCAGAATAGGTGAGAGCTGACCAGGCATGGTGGCTCACGCCTGTAATCCTAGCACTTTGGGAGGCCAAGGCAGGCGGAATGCCTAAGCTCAGGGGTTCAAGACCAGCCTGAGCAACATGGTGAAACTCCATCTCTACTAAAATACAGAAAAAAAAAATAGCCAGGTGTGGTGGCATGTGCCTATAGTCTCAGCTACTTGGGAGGCTGAGGCAGGAGAATTGCTTGAACCTAGGAGGCAGAGGTTGCAGTGAGCCAAGATCATGCCACTGCACTCCATCCAGCCTGGGCGACAGAGCGAGACTCCATCTCAAAAAAATAATAATAATAAAATAAAAATTAAAAAAAGGATATGTGAGAGCTGTGGGCTGGGAGCAGGAAGACTCAAAAAGGATGATTCACCTGACAGCCAGGCAAGGCAGCAGGAGTTAAGGATAGCCCAGCTGGCTCTGCAGTCTTGACCTGAGTCATTTCTCCTTTTGGCCTCTGTTTGTCTGTGTCAAAAAAAGGATAGTGCACAAATCACAAATATGAGGCATGAAAGAGGAGCCATCACTACAGATCCTACAGATATTTACAAAGATAAGAGACTGCTATGAACAACTCTATGTCCATACATTTGACAACGCAGATGAAATGGATAAATTCCTTGAAAGATCCAGAAAGAGAATAACAATACCTATCTGATTCATTTATAAATCTACCATCCATATTCCAATTTTGTCAGTTGACTTAATAATGTCCTTTATAGTAGATCTTTCTCTTTCATTGTAGGAGCTAGTCTAGAGTCAGGATATTAGTGAGTCCTCTGGTAAAAAGAAACAAAACCCAGCAGATAGTCTGTGGTGGTAGAGTCAGAAAGTCTATGAATGACTCTTCAGGGACACTCAGAATTTGGGTACTGACTGTGACAACCCAGATATCTTCCTGTCTTTGCCAGAATGTCAAAGAACAGTTGTTTGTGTTTTTATGAAAAATTTCAATCACAAAAGTAGAAGAGTATTATAATGAACTCCCAGCTCCCTATCGCCTATAATTAATTGTTAACATTTTGCCAAAATTGCTTCATCTATTTTTTTCTTTGTTGAAGTATTTTAAAGTAAATCCTAGACATCATATTTCAACCCTAAATACTTTGATATTTCAGCTCTAAAAAATAACATTTTTCTATATAATGATTTTCAAATGTAACAAAATAATTCCTTAATATCATCCAATACTCAGTCTATGCAAATTTCCGTGGTTGTTCCCCTCCCCAAAATGTTTTTTTTTTTTTTTTTTTTTTTTTCATTTTTTAGAGATGGGTTCTTGCTATATTTCTCAGGCTGACCTTGAACTCCTGGACTCAAGGGATCCTCCCACCTCAGCCTCCAGAGTAGCTGGGATCATTGGTGCATGCCGCCATGCGTGGCTCCCTAAATGTCCTTTTATACTTAGTTTGTTTGAATCAGAATTCAAATAAGAGTGTGACCCTATCTCTCTCTCTCTCTCTCTCTCTCTATATATATATATATATATAATATATATATAATATATATATAATATATATTATATATATAATATATATATATTATATATATATTATATATATTATATATATTATATATATATATTATATATATTATATAATATATATAATATATATATATTATATAGCCAGGCACATGCCTGTAATACCAGCACTTTGGGATGTGGAGATGGGCAGATCACTTGAGCTCAGGAGTTTGAGACCAGCCTGGCCAACATAGTGAAACCTCCTCTCTACTAAAAAATACAAAAATCAGCCAGGAGTGGTGGTGCATACCTATAATCCCAACTACTTGGGAAAGTGAGGCAGGAGAATCTCTTTAACCTGAGAGGCAGAGGTTGCAGTGAGCCAAGAGTGCACCACTGCACTCCAGCCTGGGAGATAGAATGAGCAAGACTCCACCTCAAAACAAACAAACAAACAAACAAAAAATTAGCCATGTGTGGTGGTGTGCGCCTGTAGTCCCAGCTACTCAGGTGGCTGTGGTGGGAGGATTACTTGAGCCCAGGAGTTCAAGGCTATAGTGAGCTATGATTGTGTCACTGCACTCCAGCCTAAGTGATAGCAAGACTTTGTCTCTAAAAAACAAAAAATTGAGTCTGGGAGTGGTGGCTCACACCTGTAATCCCAGCACTTTGGGAGGCGGAGGTGGGTGGATCACGAGGTCAGGAGTTCAAGATCAGCCTGACCAATATGGTGAAGCCCTGACTCTAGAAAAAATACAAAAATTAGCCAGGCGTGGTGGCACGTGCCTGTAGTTCCAGCTACTTGGGAGGCTGAGGCAGGAAAATCACTTGAACCTGGGAGGTGGAGGTTGTAATGAGCCGAGATTGTGCCACTGCACTCCATCCTGGGTGACAGAGCGAGACTCCATCTCAAAAAAAAAGAAAAAAAATTAAATAAGGCCTATATACTGCATTTGATTGTTATGCTTCCTAAGACTCTTTTAATCTTGAACATTTACAGTCCTGTCCCCAGCTTTTTCACACCATTGATTTGTGGAGGGTACTAAATCAGTAGTGCTGTAGACTTCTCCATGCTTTGGATTGTTCTGATAGAGCAGGGTTTCTATAATCTGAGGTCTAGATGTACTTTGAGAGTCCATGAAACTCTTCAAATTAAATGAAAAAAAAAAGTTGTTGGCATGTGTTAAGTGCTTTTTTCTGCTGAGAAAAAGTCTGCAGCTTTTATCAGATTCTTAAGGAGGCTCCTGACACAAATACATGAAATCAACACTTAAGGAGACAGCACAGGGCTTTAGCTCAGACATTGCCAATAAGCAGCTGAATGACCTTCAACAAGTAATGGCCTTACTGGGCCCTAGTTTTCTGATTTTTGAAGGGAGAATTGCATTTCAGATCTCTCCAGCATATTAGAAGGGGCTTCCAGCCTCCCATCTTTCTCCCAGCATGCGTGCTCAGGATAGTATGAGAAACTTTTCCTACCATGTACAGCCGCCAACTGCTTTGAACCAGGATTTAGGTGACAGGGAGTTTGGCCTTGAGTAAGACCTCAATGGGAGGAGGATCTTACATTTCTGGAAGAATATGATTTGCACAGACTAAGGTGAGTGAATAAAGACACTAGATTGAGGCCAGGCACAGTGGCTCACACCTGTAATCCCAGCAATTTGGGAGGCAAAGGCGGGTGGATCATGAGGTCAGGAGATTGAGACCATCCTGGCTAACATGGTGAAACCCCGTCTCTACAAAAAATACAAAAAATTAGCCGGGCGTCGTGGCGGGCGCCTGTAGTCCCAGCTACTTGGGAGGCTGAGGCACGAGAATGGCGTGAACCCAGGAGGCGGAGCTTGCAGTGAGCCAAGATCACGCCACTGCACTCCAGCCTGGGTGACAGAGCAAGACTCCATCTCAAAAAAAAAAAAAAAAAAAAAAAAAAAAAAGACACTAGATTGAGATTGGGAAATGACCCTGAGGGTGTACAGAAACTCCTAGATAGGTTGGCTCTGAGGACTGAGCCCTGGGCACTCCAGTGTTTGGAAGGGGAACTGTCAAGGATATTTAGAAGGAGCGGCCAGGAATGTAAGAGAAAAACCAAAAAAGTGGTGTTCAGAAGTGAAAAGATGCACACATTTCAAGAAGGAGGGAGTGATAAACTATGTCAAATACTGATGGGTCAAGTAAGAGAAAGAGTGAGAGAAGTCACCATTGGAGTTGGCAAATGGGTATATTTGGTAACCTTGACAAATGCATTTCAGTGGAGTTGTGGGATAGGTGGTTTGATTAGAGTGGGTTTAAGAGAGAATGGGGCCGGGCGTGGTGGCTCATGCCTGTAATCCCAGCACTTTGGGAGGCCGAGGCGGGCGGATCATGAGGTCAGGAGATCGAGACTATCCTGGCCAACATGGTGAAACCCCATCTGTACTAAAAATACAAAAATTATCTGGGCATGGTGGTACGTGCCTGCAATCCCAGCTACTTGGGAGGCTGAGGCAGGAGAATCACTTGAACCAGGGAGTTGGAGGTTGCAGTGAGTGGAGATCATGCCACAGCACTCTAGTCTGATGACAGAGCAAGACTCCGTCTCAAAAGAAAAAAAGAGAATGGAACAAAAGGAACAGGCTCACTGGGGTTTTTGTTTGTTTTTGAACTTATTTTATTTTGAGACAGAGTCTCTCTCTCTCCCTGGCTGAAGTGCAGTGGCATGATCATGGCCCACTGCAGCCTCAACCTCCTCTGCTCAGGTGATCCTCCCATTTCAGCCTCCTGAGTAGCTGGGGCTACAGGTGTGTGCCACCATGCCCAGCTTGAACTTTAGAACATTATTTAGAAATTATTTCAAATTCCCAAAAAATCGAAAAAATAAAACAATGCAATAAAACTCTATGCCCTTTATTCAGATTATTGTTAAAATATTACCTCATTTGCTTATTCTGTCTCTCCACACACATACACATAAACAATTTAATATTTATCTGGAATATTTGAGGGCAAGTTACATAGAACACTTCAGTATGTACTTCCTAAGGATAGGGATATTCTCTTATATAATTGTTGTACAGTTATCAACTTCATACATTTGCAATACTTTACATCCATAATCCCATTCTGTCAGTTGTCCTAATAATGTCCTTTAAATCATTCTTTTTTTTTTTTGAGATGGAGTTTCGCTCTTGTCGTCCAGGCTGGAGTGCAGTGATGCGATCTCAACTCACTGTAACCTCTGCCTCCCGGGTTCAAGCGATTTTCCTGCCTCAGCCTCCCAAGTAGCTGGGATTACAGGTGCCCACCACCACACCCAGCTAATTTTTGTATTTTTAATAGAGACGGGGTTTCACCATGTTGGCCAGGCTGGTCTCGAACTCCTGACCTCAGGTGATCCACCCACTTTGGCCTCCCAAAGTGCTGGGATTACAGGCGTGAGCCACCATGCCCAGTCTAAAGCATTCCTTCCCTTCCATTGTAAGAGCAAACCTAGGCTGGGCACAGTGGCTCATGCCTGTAATCCTAGCACTTTGTGATACTGAGACAAGAGGATTGCTTGAGGCCAGGAGTTCAAAACCAGCCTGGTCAACATAATGAGACCCCATCTCTAAGCAAACAAAGAACCAATCTAGAGTCAGATATTGATTGCATTTAGTTATCATGTCTATTTTATGTCCTTTAATCTGGAACATTTCTACAACCTTTATTTGCCTTGTATAATATTGCCATTTTAAATTGTGGTAAATATATAAAACATAAAATTGACAACAGTAACTTTTTTTTTTTTTTTTGAGAGGGAGTCTCACTCTGTCGTCCAGGCTGGATGCAATGACGTAATCTCAGCTTACTGCCACCTCCGCCTCCCAGGTTCAATCAATTCTCCTGTCTCAGCCTCCCAAGTAGCTGGGACTACAGGCACAGGCCTTCACACCTGGCTAAGCTTTAAACATTTTTTTAGAGACAGGGTCTCTCTATGTAGCTCAGGCTGGTCTCAAATTCTTGCACTCAAGTGATCATCCCACCTTGGCCTCCCAAAGTTCTAGGATTACATGCGTGGGCCACTGTGTCCAGTAACATCCTAATTTCATCTTTCCACAACTGTTACTCCTCCAGTTCTTCCCATTCTCAACAAATGGCAATTTATGTTCTTCCATTTACTCAAGCCACTTGAAATCATTCTTGATTCCTTCCTTTCACTTATACCCCACAGGAGGTCCTATCTGGCTTTACTGGCCAAGCTACCATCTCTTATTTGGATTATTATAATGAACTCATTCATCTCACTGCTCCTGCCCTAGACCTCTCATATTCTATTCTCCATGCAACAACCAGAAGGATCCTTTGAAAACAAACATCAGGCTGGGCGCAGTGGCTCACACCTGTAATCCCAGCACTTTCCCTGCTCACAGCTGTAATCCCAGACTTTGAGAGGCTGAGGTGGGAAGATTGCTTGAGGCCAGGAGTTTGAGACCAGCCTGGGCAACATAGTGAGACCCTGTCTCTACAAAAAAAGAAAAAGATTAGTTGGGTATGATGGCACCGCCTGTGGTCCCAGCTACTTGGGAGGCTGAGATAGGAGGATCGCTTGAGCCCAGGAGGTCAACACTGCAGTGACCTATGATTAAACCACTGCACTCCAGTCTGGGCAACAGACTGAGACCCTGTTTGTAAAAAATGAAAATTAAAAAAATAAAAAACAAACTTTGGATCATGCCATTCCCTTTGTTCAAAATCCTCCAGTGGCTCTTCACTAAGAGGACAGGCCAAAGTCCTTACAATGGCCTAAAAGGCTGACATGATTTGCAGCCGAGCCCCTCCCCTCACCTCTCTGAGTACATGTCTTATCACTTTTCCTCTCACCCAGCTCCAGCAACCATGCTCAAATATGTCAAGTGCAATCCCCCCTCAGGGCCTTGGCACTTGCTGTTCCTTTTCCTGGAATGTTCTTCCCCAAAATAAACATATGGTTCACTCTTCACTTCCTCCAGATCGCTACTGAAATACTGCTTTATCAGAGAGGCCTTCCCTTCCCCCCCTGGCATTCTCCATTCTCCTTACTTGGCTCTATTTTTCTCTGTAGTACTTAGCAATTGACATATATTTATTTAATGCTCTTCTCTCCCCACCAGAATGTCAACTCTATGAAGAAAATCATTTTTTTTTTTTTTGGGAGGGGGGTTGTTTGTTTGTTTTTTGTTTTTTTTGAGACAAGAGTCTCGCTCTGTCACCCAGGCTGGAGTGCAGTGGTGCTGTCTGGGCTCACCACAACCTCCACCTCCTGGGTTCAGGTGATTCTCTTGCCTCAGCCTCCAAGTAGCTGGGATTACAGGCACACACCACCACGCCCCGCTAATTTTTGTATTTTTAGTAGAGACCAGGTTTCACATGTTAGCCAGACTGGTCTCAAACTCCTGACCTCAGGTGATCCACCTGCCTCGGCCTCCCAAAGTGTTGGGATTACAGGCGTGAGCCACTGCACCTGGCCAGGACCATTTAAAATATATAAAAGAAATATATTTTGGGGTAAAATATTTTTATTTCCTTCAGGGTCGGCTGTCATGTGATGCTATATCAGAGTTAGGTTGAAATTTTGTATCTTATTGTCACAAAGTCTGTATTTTTCAGTCTTAGGATCTCTATTTTAACCTCAATTCTGGTCAATTGTGCCTAAACTCCAAAAAAGTGGGGGCAGGGCATAGGATCAGGCGTGTCCAATCTCCCTTCCTGTCATGGCCAGGAATTCAGGTTTTCAGGTTTCTCTGGGGTCTCCTTGGCCTGGAGGAGTTCCTTTCAGTTGGTTGGTGGGGGAGCTTAGGTTTTAATTTTTGGTTTACAGTTAGCAGTTTCTGACTGGTTAAGTCTCTAGTTTTGTTTTACTGTTTACATTGGGCTTCAGGTTGCTTATGTAGGAACCCAAATCACTGGATCTGTCTCAGCCCAATGACCTCCCAATTAAATTTTTTCCTGTTAAAAAACAAACATGGGGTTTCTAGCTCAGAAATCAGACAATATTATTACACACAGCAAGAACTGCATCAGTTTCCCATGTCCAGTACCCTACAGGTGACATGGCAGGAGCCAGATGGACCATGACCATACAACAGAGTTTCTTGCCTCACAGGGGACAAACCCTGAAAGTGTAAACCTGACAGTTTATGTAGACTACGTGCTGCCCACGTGCTTCACAGCCCTCCTGAGAGAGGGAGAGAAAACTGATCTCCCTAGTGTAAACAAGTGCTTTGGAATGTGAATAAATTCTCTCAGGAAGAGAACGGAGAGTCCCTACCTTGGAATGCAAGCATTTCTCCCTGAAATAAGTTTTTGTTTGTTTGTTGTTGTTGTTTTTTAAGAGGGAGTCTCACTCTGTTGCTAGGCTGGAGTGCAGTGGCATGATCTCGGCTCACTGAAACCTCCACCTCCTGAGTTGAAGCGATTCTCCTGCCTCAGCCTCCCGAGTAGCTAGGACTACAGGCACGTGCCACCACGCCTGGCTAATTTTTGTATTTTTAGTAGAGACGGGGTTTCACCATGTTGACCAGGATGGTCTCAATCTCTTGACCTTGTGATCCACCCACTTCGGCCTCCCAAAGTGCTGGGATTACAGGTGTGAGCCACCACGCCCGGCCTGTTGTTGTTGTCTTTTGAGACAGGGTCTCACTCTGTCACCTAGGCTGGATTTCAGTGGTGCACTCACAGCTCACTGCAACCTCAACCTCCCTGGGCTCAAAGGATCCACCTGTTATAGTAGGTAGCTAGTCCGTGTCCCCTGTGCCCTGCCCCAAAAATCTCTCTAAAATAATAATTGGTCACAGTCGGCACCAGGGAAAGGCAGTATCCCAATAGATAGAAAACTCCTGGAACTGCTGATCAGCAGCTTCCCTATAAGATCTTAGGACTTGGGCAAGTGGGCTCAAGCATGTGCACTAAGAGGCAAAATGGCTGTGTTTAACTGGTATATGACCTTCTTCTAAGAACACTTGACTAGTAAGGGAAGAATGCTTCAAGTGGGCATGTGTACATCTTCGGTAAACACACTGCGCATGCACCCCCTCCCAAGTGCTGGCCACAAGTGGACAGCCCACCCCAAGGAAAGAATCAGGGAAGGAATGCCACCCCCCAGAAGCATATCAATGGATAAACCTCCAAGTCCGTATAAAATCCCAAGTCCAGGGTTAAACCACACACCTGATCTCCACCTGCTTGGACCTCCTCCAAGTGTATTTTATTTCCTTTCTTTCCAGCTCTAAAGCCTTTTTTTTTTTTTTTTTTTTGAGACGGAGTCTCACTCTGTTGCCCAGGCTGGAGTGCAGTGGCACGATTTCGGCTCACTGCAACCTCCGCCTCCCGAGTTCAGGTGATTCTGCTGCCTCAGCCTCCTGAGTAGCTGGGACTACAGGCACGTGCCACCACGCCCGGCTAATTTTTTTATTTTTAGTAGAGACAGGGTTTCACCATGTTGGCCAGGCTGGTCTCAATCTCTTGATCTCATGATCTGCCCTCCTTGGCCTCCCAAAGTGCTGGGATTACAGGTGTGAGCCACTGCACCCAGCCTTTAAAGCTTTTTAATTAATTTTCACTTCTCCTTTACAATGTGCCTCAGTCTCTCACCCTGCCTTATGCCCCTCGGTCGAATTCTTCTGAGGAGGCAAGAATTGAGGTTGCTACAGACCCTATGGATTCACCACCACTAACATATTTTGTTGCTGTGTGTCTCAGATACATTCCCTAAAGTGCTAACACACCTACTTCAGCCTCCCAAGTAGCTGGGACTACAGGCATGCACCATCATGCCTGGCTAATTTTTGCATTTTTTTGTAGAGATGGGTTTTCAGCATGTTGCCCAGTCTGCTCTTGAACTCCTGGACTCAAGCAGTCTGACTGCCTTGGCCTCCCAAAGTGCCGAGATTACAGGCAAGAGCTACCACACTCAGCCAAGATAAGTTTTATTATCCTTGCTCTGTCGCCCAGGCTGGAGTGCAGTAGCACAATCGGCTCACTGCAAGCTCCACCTCCCAGGTTCACGCCATTCTCCTGCCTCAGCCTCCCAAGTAGCTGGGACTACAGGCACCCGCCACCGCACCTGGCTAATTTTTTTGTATTTTTTTAGTAGAGATGGGGTTTCACCGTGTTAGCCAGGATGGTCTCAATCTCCTGACCCAATGATCCACCTGCCTCGGCCTCCCAAAGTGTTGGAATTACAGACGTGAGCCACTGCGCCTGGCCAGTTTTATTATCCTTTGAATGGGAGCAGACGGCTCCAAGTTTAACACCATTGGCATGTGACGATCAAACGGGTCTGGAGAAAAGGAAACATTTTCTAGCACATCTAAGCAAGTTCTCCTGTGCTCAGGAAACCAAACCAGCAGAAACACAAAAATAATCACGGAGCATTGACAGAGACTTTGAGGGAAAGGCTAGAGAGGCTGAAGAACAATCAGAAAGTGTAGGACTAGAGAAGCCAAAGGAAGAGGAGTGCTTCAAGGAGAGAGTGGCCAGTAGGGTCAGCTACTGCAGAGAAAAGGACTGATGGGGCTTCACTGGATTTAGCAACAAGGAGATTGTGACGACCTTGACCAAAGCCAATTCAGTGAGTAATGAGGGTTGAAGCTAGACTGTAATGGGTGGAAGAGTGCCCCATGACTCAGATACATTCCCCAAGTCCTAACGATACCGGAGGTAGAAAGAAATTATTTAGGGAGGTAGTGAAGGCAAAAGAGTCCTCGGCAGAATTTCTTTTCTAACAAAAAGCAGCCCCCAAATCATTTCTTTTCTAAACAAAGAGCAGCTTGAAAAATCGAGCTGCAAACATAAATAAGGAAGCTAGAAGCTTGCATGGGGGAATGCCAGCAGCAGGGCCAACAGAAAAGGGCTATATGGGGCCAGGCATGTCCAACATGGAGGCTCCATCTTCCCTTTTTTTGTTACCACCTGTACAGCAATAAAGAAATGGGCAACATAGCACAGTCTAGGCAGAGAACCCACCTGCATGATAAAAGATCAGGCTGGGGTTACCGAAGATTCACGCCTATGCCAATGGCACACCTGATCCAATCAGTTTTTCATGCCCTATGTAAATCAGACACCATCTTCTCACCAGATCACCTATAAAACCCCTGCGTTTCACTATGGATTGGGCAACCCATTTTTCCAGGACCCCTCTCTGCAGCAGAGAGCTATTTTCTTTCTTTCGCTTAGTAAACTTCCACTCTCAACCTCACTCTTTGTGTGTCTGCATTCTTGTTCCTGTGGCTGTGAGACAAGGAACCTTGGGTGTTACTCCAGACTACAAGGCTGCTTCACTAACACACCTTCTCACCATGGATGGTAAGAAGAAAAGACAATTTAAACTCGATTGACCAGGAAGTGGGAGGAGGAGAGAAAGCAGCAGCCCATAAGGTCAGGTGGGGAGAATTTTTTTTTTTTTTTTTTTGAGATGGACTCTCACTCTGTCACCCAGGCTGGAGTCCAGTGGTGTGATCTTGGCTCACTGCAACCTCCACCTCCCAGGTTCAAGCAATTCTCCTGCCTCAGCCTACCAAGTAACTGGGATTACAGGCATGCACCACCATGCCAGGCTAATTTTTGTATTTTTAGTAGAGACGGGATTTTACCATGTTGGTCAGACTAGTCTCAAACTCCTGACCTCAGGTGATCTGCCCACCTCAGCCTCCCAAAGTGTTGGAATTATAGGTGTGAGGCACCATGCCCGGCCAGGTGAGAAGATTTCAATATGGGAGTGGAAACCAAAAATAAAACTCTAAGCACCCCAAACAACTGAATGGACCCCTCCTCTTGGCCAAGGGCATTCTAAGGTAAACCTGAAACACTAGTTCCGGCAATGATGGGAATGGGTGGTTGGACATGTCTCATTATACCTTCTTCCCTTTGGAATTCAGGCACAGCCGACCAGCATGAACAGTGAAACAGAGACCTTAAGACTGAGAAAACATACTTTTTGTAGCAATAAGATACCAACATGACAGATAGGAGGCCCTGAAAGAAATGGAAGTATTTTGTTCCAAAATATATTTCTTTGACACATTTTGAAATGGCCCTGCAAAGCTGACTCTTGTGGGGAAAATCAACATTTGTAGAGAATCCCCTTCCCTTTTCAGGTCTTTTTCCTGATCCAGGAGAGAATGAGAGAATTAACTAAGAGTCTGGCACCTTTCTAAGTCTCATAATAAACATGTATAATCTATTACCTCTGAAACCTGCTACCTGGACACTTCATCTGCATAGTAAGAACCTTGGTCTCCACAACCCCTTATCTTAACCCAGACACTCCTTCTATTGATTCCAGGTCTTTTTTTTTTTTTTTTTTTTTTTTTTTTTTGAGATAGAGTCTCCCTCTATCACCCAGGCTGGAGTGCAGTGGTGCAATCTCGGCTCACTACAACCTCCACCTCCCAGGTTCAAGCAATTCTCTAGCCTCAGCCTCCCAAGTAGCTGGGGTTATAGGTGCTTACCACCACACCCAGCTAATGTTTGTATTTTTAGTAGAGACTGGGTTTCACCATACTGGTCAGGCTGGTCTCGAACTCCTGACCTCAGGTGATTCACCCACCTCGGCCTTCCAAAGTGCTGGGATTACAGGCGTGAGCCACCATGCCCAGCCTAGATAAAGTCAACCAACTGCCATTTAGAAAATTTTGAATCCACCTATGACCTGGACACACCCCACTTCCAGTTGTCCAGTCTTCCCAAATCAAACCAATCTACATCTTGTATGTATTGATTGATGCCTTATGTCTCCCTAAAATGTATAAAATCAAGCTGCAGCCCGGGCACCTTGGGTGCATGTTGTCAGGACCTCCTGAGGCTGTAACACTGGCCATGGTCACTGTATCTGGCTCAGAATAAATCTCTGCAAATATTTTACAGAGTTTGACTCTTTTTGTCAACAGGAGATACTTAAGCACTTAAGCAAAGAAAGTTAAAGCACTTTCCTTAACTCTACAAAGAGTTAAATAAAGAGAGAGGGAAGAAACATGAAAAGCACTCAACAGTCAAGACAGGTTTATTTTGGAGCAATAAACCTGAGAGGGGCTTCTGGCTGATTTCAGTCAGGAGCGTGCTCTATTACAGACTAAGTGTTTATTGGTGAGAGAGCTTGGAATGTTTCTGTGTCGGGGAGAAGTTTATGGTGGGGTTGGAATGTCTCTAGTTGGAGGGAAGGTTATCTTGGGGCTGACATCTCTCCAGCTGGCAGGGAGGTTATCTTGGGGCTGGCATGTCTCTGGTCAGGGAGGAGTCTGGAATGTGTCTGGTCGGAGATGTTATTTGTGGTTTATGGTCATGCTGACCTTAGCCATTAGGCTGATGCCCTTTGGATTTAGGCAGTTTTTAATCAAGGTAAACTTAAAACGACAGTGCTTGGCCAAGGTGGTGATACTCCTGCTCTGTCATGTTTGTCATGCTGACGTGGCCAAATCATGGAGATGGTAAGCTTGAAGGCGTAGGATGAACAGGGGAATACTGGGATAAGCCAGGTCCCTGATAAAGCAAGAGAGAATGGGGTCCAGACTCCAGGTGGAAGAATTAGCTTTAGACAAGGGGACAGGGATGTACCTTTCCAGCGTAGTGAGGGGTGTGAAAGGAAAAAATCTTGGGCCCCCAAAATCACTAAGCTAAAGGGAAAATTCAAGCTGGGAACTCCTCAGGGCAAACCTGCCTCCCATTCTATTCAAAGTCATCCCTTTGCTTACTGAGATAGATGCATATTCTGATTGCCTCCTTTAAAAAGGCGTATCAGAAACTCAAAAGAATGCCATTTGTCTCTCACCTACCTGTGACCTGGAAGTCCCCTCCCTGCTTGAGTTGTTCCCGTCTTTCTGGAGGGAACCAATGTACTTTTTTTTTTTTTTTTTTTGAGACAGAGTCTCACTCTGTCACCCAGGCTGGAGTGCCGTGGTGCCATCTTGGCTCACTGCAACCTCCACCTCCCAGGTTCAAGCGATTCTCCTGCCTTAGCCTCCCGAGTAGATTACAGACGCCCGCCACCGCACCTGGCTAATTTTTGTATTTTTAGTAGAGACGGGGTTTCACCATCTTGGCCAGGCTGGTCTTGAACTCCTGACCTCAGGTGATACACCCGCCTTAGCCTCCCAAAGTGCTGGGATTACAGGCATGAGCCACCGCGCCCAGCCAGAACCAGTGTACTTCTTACATATATTAATTGATGTTTCATCTCCCTAAAATGTATAAAACCAATCTGTGCCTCAACACCTTGGGCGCATGTCGTCAGAACTTCCTGAGGCTGTGTCACGGGCGCGTGTCCTCAACCTTGGCAACATAAACTTTCTAAATTGACACCTGTCCCAAATTTTCAGGGTTCATGGGGGAATAAGAAAAGATAGGAAAGTTTGTAGCTGTGACAAATGAGAAATAAAAATAAAATTCTAGTCTCCAATGGACTGAATGGACCCCATCTTGGCCAAGGGAACCCCACAGAAACCTTGGAAGCTGAGTTCATGGCCATAATAAGATGGGAGATCAGAGAGGCCTTGTTATACCCCCTCCTTCGCTACCAGTCATTAGCCTTTCTTCCCTAAGGGCTAAACAGAACTCCCTGCTTCCCCCCATTTTTTGAGACAGGGTCTCCCTCTGTTGCTCAGGTTGAAGGGCAGTGGCACAATCATGGATCACTGTGGCCTTGACCTCCCTGGCTCAGGTGATCTTCCCACCTCAGCCTCCTGGCTAGTTTCTTTGTATCTTTAGTAGAGACAGGGTTTTGCCATGTTGCCCAGGCTGGTCTTGGACTCTTGGGCTCAAGTGATCTGCCCACGTTGCCCTCCCAAATTTTTGGGATTACAGGCATGAGCCACCGCACCTGGCCCTAAACCAGCCCTTTCAAAAGACTACTGGCTTATCTTACCTGGTACAGAACAAAGACAAGAGTAATCCTTTTTGATTCCTTCACCCCTTCCTGAGACATGCTTCCTATTCCCTTTTTCTTCAAATGTACACCTTGTCTTATGTAAAAGGTAGATTTACTGGGCACTAACTAAAGTCTCACAATTATGTAATCATTTGTCTTACTGTGGGCCTCCCCCACCTCCGCCTTTAAGGAAAACGTATAAACACTAAACCTCCTGAGAACCTCTTTGTAGGCTCTTTGGAGATTCTCCAAACAGCCACAGATGTTTCTGTGACTCATGTTTACTGATTCTCAAGATGGCTCAATAAACCTCCATGATTTGAGACTTATGCCTCAATCACTCATTTTAGTTGTCACAAGTTAAGCAAGTTCCCAACTAATACATTCTATTTTTTCCCAAGCCACTCCTTCTTTTTCTTTCCTTTTTCTTTCTTTTTTCTTTTTCTTTCTTTCTTTCTGTCTCTCTCTCTTTGCTTCCTTCCTTCTTTCCTTCCTTCCTTCCTCCCTTCTCCCTTCGCCCTTTCCCTCCCTCCCTCCCTTCCTTCCTTCTTTCTTTTCTTTTCTTTTGTTTCTTGTCAGGGTCTTGCTCTATCACCCAGACTGGAGTGCAGTGCCGTGATCATAGCTCATTACAGCCTTGAACTCCTGTGATCCTTCCACGTCAGCTTCCCGAGTAGCTGGGACTACAAGCGTGCACCACCATGCTCGGCTATGTTTTTCTATTTTTATAGAGACAGGGTCTCGCCATGTTTACCAGGCTGGTCTCAAACCCCTGGCCTCAAGCAATCCTCCTGCCTCAGCCACCCAAAGTGCTAGTGATTACAGGTGTGAGCCACTGGATCTGACCCACATTCTATTTTTAGAGTGAAGTAAAAAGTTACTATCTGGGAGTGTGAAGGGAGTAAGAAGAAACTTGATTTTTGTAGGGCAATGATCTCCAAGGAGTACAATATTCTCCAGGAGTGTAGGAAGCCTGCAAAGTGCAAGAGCAGTGAATGTTGTCAATTCAAAACAAGTTTAGACTTGGATAAGGAGAGACCTTAGTTAGAAAGGTGTGGTAGCATGTGCCTGTAGTCTCATCTACTTGGGAGGCTGTGACAGAAGGGTCGCTTGTGGTTATGGTCAAAAAGTTGGAAGCTTGTGTAGGGGTGGGTTGCCC
This sequence comes from Homo sapiens, assembly GCF_000001405.40. NCBI lineage: Eukaryota > Metazoa > Chordata > Mammalia > Primates > Hominidae > Homo > Homo sapiens. The sequence continues at coordinate 37,867,126 of NC_000019.10, read as the reverse complement.
CTACACACCTGTGGGTGTTTCTCGTAAGGTGGGACGAGAGATTTGGAAAAGAAAAAGACACAGAGACAAAGTATAGAGAAAGAAATAAGGGGACCCGGGGAACCAGCGTTCAGCATATGGAGGATCCCGCCAGCCTCTGAGTTCCCTTAGTATTTATTGATCATCTGTGGGTGTTTCTCAAAGAGGGGGATGTGTCAGGGTCACAAGACAATTGTGGGGAGAGGGTCAGCAGACAAACACGTGAACAAAGGTCTTGGCATCATAGACAATGTAAAGGATTAAGTGCTGTGCTTTTAGATATGCATACACATAAACATCTCAGTGCTTTACAAAGCAGTATTGCTGCCCGCAGGTCCCACCTCCAGCCCTAAGGCGGTTTTTCCCTATCTCAGTAGATGGAGCATACAATCGGGTTTTATACCGAGACATTCCATTGCCCAGGGACAGGCAGGAGACAGATGCCTTCCTCTTGTCTCAACTGCAAGAGGCATTCCTTCCTCTTTTACTAATCCTCCTCAGCACAGACCCTTTACGGGTGTCGGGCTGGGGGATGGTCAGGTCTTTCCCTTCCCACGAGGCCATATTTCAGACTATCACATGGGGAGAAACCTTGGACAATACCTGGCTTTCCTAGGCAGAGGTCCCTGCGGCCTTCCGCAGTTTTTGTGTCCCTGGGTACTTGAGATTAGGGAGTGGTGATGACTCTTAAGGAGCATGCTGCCTTCAAGCATCTGTTTAACAAAGCACATCCTGCACCGCCCTTAATCCATTCAACTCTGAGTTGACACAGCACATGTTTCAGAGAGCACGGGGTTGGGGGTAAGGTCATAGATTAACAGAATCTCAAGGCAGAAGAATTTTTCTTAGTACATAACAAAATGGAGTCTCCTATGTCTACTTCTTTCTACACAGACACAGTAACAATCTGATCTCTCTTGCTTTTCCCCACAAGCTTGCAGCACTTTGGGAGGCCGGGGCAGGCAGATTGCTTGAGCCCAGGCGTTCAGTATCAGCTTGGGCCACAGCAAAGCTCCATCTCTACCAAAAATACAAACATTAGCGGGGCGTGGTGGCACGTGCCTGTAGTCCCAGCTATTTGGGAAGCTGAGGCAAGACTGCCTGAGCCCGGAGGTCCAGGCCGCAGTGAGCAGTGATTGTGCCACCGTACTCCAGCCTGGGAAACAAACTGTTTCAAAAAAATTTTTTGAAGTGGGAAGCTTGAATTTAAAATTTCAGAGGGGCCTGGGTGCAGTGGTTCACACCTCTAATCCCAGCACTTTGGGAGGCTGAGGCAGGTGGATTGCTTGAGTCCAAGAGTTCAAGACTAGCCTGGGCAACATGGCAAAACCCATCTCTACAAAAAAAAAAAAAATACAAAACTAGCTTGGCGTGGTGGTACATGTTTGTGGTCCCAGCTACTCAGGAGGCTGGGGTGGGAGGATCACCTGAGCCCAGGAGTTGGAGGCTGCAGTGAACTGTGATCATGCCACTGCACTCCAGCCTGAGTGACAGAGTGAGACCTTGCCTCAATAAATAAATAAATAAATAAATAAATAAATAAATAAATAAATAAGTAAATACATACATACATACATACACTTTCAGAGGGAAATCATTCTGAGTAATACATTCCAGGGTGTGGGTGGCTGATGTGGAGTAAAAGTGAAAGTTGTGAGAGTTAGTGAGTCCAGGGAACAGAAACCCATGTTCAGAGGAGCCATCACTCAGTACAACTGCATACCAGTAGCTGGACAGGAAGCACAGGAGCCAGGTATAAATCTGGCCTCTGAACAAGGGACAGAATCATCAATACCACACCATTCTCTCTTCTATAAGATTTGTCCCTTCCCCCAGAGGAGTGAGCCTAGCAGCCATGACCCTCCTTTTGGTCATGGTTAATTAGACCCAGAGTGTATACCAGATCCAAGCTAAGCCAATCAGCTTCTCCTTTCAAGGAATTTGGAACTAAAACTGAGAGCATCTGGTCAAACCCTGCTGGCTGCTTGAACTGAGGAAGTGTAATATTGGGCTGGAATAGCCATATTTGGCCCACGTGCATGCAAATAGGCTGAGAAAGCTGATACATGGATATATAGATATATAGAAAGGGAAGGAGAGGGAATGAAAGAGAGAGGCTTCTAGAGAGAAAGATCAGATTATCTGCAAAGGAACAAGGTTCAAACTGACATCAAATTTCTTTGTAGCAACCCTGGATGCAAACAGACCAGGAAGTAAAATATTGAAGGGGAAGAATTGTGAACCAAGAAATTTACAACTGAATTGTCAATCAATGAAGACTTTACAAAAAATAACTTCATTTAAATTGAGCGTTAAGGGAATGCAGTATTTTAATCGAACTCTGCCAATGCTTTCATCTACAGGCTTGTTGCCATTTTTGTCTTCTATGAAATTTTTGTCCCAAGAAAGACAGGATTACATTTTTTCTAACAGATTGAGCTGGTGTAGTGTATTCTTGGTTATCAAAATACTCAAATGGCTTGGGGATTTTGAATTGATAAATATTCATGATGTGTGAAAAAGCATGATACACACTGAATGATCTCAATCCCATAAAATTAAATGTGTCTATACACACATAGGGCCTAGAAGGACACGTCAAACTGTAAAGTGCTTGCCATTGTGGATGATTTTGTTCTTTGCTTCTTGTGTTTTTCGGTTTCCTATAATGCACACATTAACTTTAAAAAAATAAAAGTTTTATTTATTTATTTATTTATTTTGAGACAAAGTCTAGCTAGATCTGTCGCCCAGGCTGGAGTACAGTGGCATGATCTTGGCTCACTGCAACCTCCGCCTCCCGGGTTCAAGTGATTCTTTTGCCTCAGCCTCCTGAGTAGCTCGGACTACAGGCGCCAGTCACCACATCCAGCTAATTTTTTGTATATTTAGTAGAGACGGGGTTTCACCATGTTGACCAGGCTGGTCTCGAACTCCTGACCTCGTGATCCACCTGCCTCAGCCCTCCCAAAGTGCTGGAATTACAGGCATGAGCCACCGTGCCCAGCCAATGAAAGTTATTTTTAAAACCTGAAAAAAAATAACTTCAAGCTCACGAGGCCTCACAAAGATTGCCACATAGAGGCCCATTTGGAAAAAGTTTTGGAGGAAGGGCCAAAAAAAAAAAAAAAGAGAGAGAGAGACAGAGAGAAAGAGAAATCCTACAGATGCTGCAAGAAAAATGGGAAGAGGCCAGACGCGGTGACTCATGCCTGTAATCCCAGCACTTTGGGAGGCCAAGGCAGGCTGATTTCTTGAGGTCAGGAGTTCGAGACCAGCTTGGCTAACATGGTGAAACCCTGTCTCTACTAAAAAGACAAAAATTAGATGGGCGTGGTGATGAGCACATGTAATCCCAGCTACTTGGGAGGCTGAGGCATGAGAATCGCTTGAACCTGGGAGGCTGAGGTTGCAGTGGGCCTAGATCACACCACTGCACTCCAGCCTGGGTGACAGAGTGAGACTCCGTGTCAACAACAGTAACAACAAAAAAACAAAAAATGGAAAGAAAGGGTGATTTATTTTGGTAATTATTTTGGTAACTGTTCCTTGTTATTGCTATACTAATAAGGCTAGGATCTAATGAAATAAAGAGAATATTCATAACTCTAAAATAAAATTCTGGACAACATCAATATGAATGGAGGGGACAAGGATGGGAGATCAGAGGGACATGAGGATCATGGTAAAGTACTTGTCCTGTTAGAGATGATGTTGTCAATTTACTGCCTCTCAGACCCGGCGCGGTGGCTCACACCTGTAATCCCAGCACTTTTGGAGGTTGAGGTGGGTGGATCACTTGAGGTCAGGAGTTTGAGACCAGCCTGGCCAACATGGTGAAACCCCATCTCTACTAAAAATACAAAAGTTAGCCAGGTGGGTGGTGGGCACGTGTAATCCCAGCTACTCAGGAGGCTGAGGCAGGAGAATCACTTGGACCTGGGAAGCAGAGGTTGCAGTGAGCTGAGATCACACCATTGCACTCCAGCCTGGGTAACAATGTAAAACTCTTGTCTCCAAAAAATAAAAATAAAGAAATACATAAAATTAAAAAAAATTATTGTCTCTCAGCTCCAAATTCACCCTTTAACATATGCTCTGCCATAATGGACAGAATTCCTTTAAGCATCTCTACAGTGAGCACAATGTGAGATCCTTGTGAGAGTAACTGGGGGCTCTGGAAGGACGCTACAGAGGAAGGGGCTCTCCTGCTGTTCCTGGCTGCTGCATGGTGGGTGTTGGGGAGAGAACATCCAATAGAGCTCTGCCACAGCCATGTTCTCAGAATGTCTGGTGTCTCGGTGACCTTGCAGCTTTGGTGTGGCCTTACAATTACCTTCCTGCATTAATATGGAAAACCAGTGCCCCAGACGTCTCTGCTTCTTCCGCACACCCATGCCACAGGTCGCTGATTGTCTGTGCTTTGCCTGCACTCTGGATGGTTGCTTTCTGTTTGTTCAGAAACTGCAGACCAGCTCCAGCCTGGGAAAACTGGCAAACTTTTCCTGCTTCCTTCTGCTTCCCTCTTCCTCCTCCCCCCACCCCTCCTCCTCTTCCTCCTTCTTCTCCTTCTCCTCCTCCTCCTTCTTCTTCTTTCTTCTTTCCTCCTCCTTCTCCTCCTCCTTTTCTTTTCTCCTCCTTCTTCTCCTTCTTTTCTTCTTCTTTTCTCCTCCTTCTTCTCCTCCTTCCTCCCTCCCCCCTCCTCCTTCCTCCTCCTCCTCCTTCTTCTTTTTCTTCTTCTTCCTTATTATTTTTTTTGGAGGGGGAGACATGGTCTTGCTCTGTTGTCCAGGCTGGAGTACAGTGGCATGATCATGGCTCACTGCAGCCTCAGCCTCCTAAGTACCTGGAACTGCAGGCATGAGCCACGGTGCTTGGCTAATGGGCTTTGTCTTCTCCAGTTACGTCTGAACTCCAGCTTTGGGGAGGGAGCCCTTTTCCAAGTTTGTCCTTCTTTGAGTATTCTCTCTTAGTCCTAGGTTGCCATATGGAGTTTCCTTATAGCTTGTAATATATATATATATTTTTTTGAGACTTGCTCTGTCACCCGGGCTGGAGTGCAATGGCACCATCTCGGCTCACTGCAACCTCCGCCTCCCGGGTTCAAGTGATTCTCCTGCCTCAGTCTCCCAAGAAACTGGGATTACAGGTGTCTGCCACCACGCCCAACTAATTTTTGTATTTTTAGTAGAGACGGGGTTTCACCATGTTGGCCAGGCTGGTCTCGAACTCCTGACCTCAGGTGATCTGCCCGCCTCAGCCTCCCAAAGTGCTGGGATTACGCCGTAAGCCACCGCGCCCGGCCTGTAATCATTATTTGATCAGAATTTAAAAACTTTTTATATTAAATTTCTTTTGTTTAGCCCACTGTGTGTTTTATATTTCTTAAGTGGATCGAGACTGACACAGAAGGTACAAATAGTGATAAATTTAAGATATAAATAGGGGGCTGGGCATCACCCAGCCTGGAGTGCAGTGGCATGATCTTAGCTCACCGCAACTTCTGCCTTCCAGGTTCAAGGGAGTCTCCCACCTCAGTCTCCCGAGTAGCTGGGACTGCAGGCATGCACCACCACACCTGGCTAATTTTTGTATATTGTTGGTAGAGACGGGGTTTCACCATGTTGGCTAGCCACTATGAGCCACCACGTCCAGCCAAACTTACCCTTTAAAAGGCAGAGACTTTCAGACTGGATTAAAAAAACCAAGGTCCAATAATATGTTGTCAAGGAATAATACATTTAAAATAAAAAGAAAGCTTGAAAATAAAAGGAAGTAAAATTATATGCTACATAAATATGAATTAAAAGACACCTAAAGTAGCAGTCCTACTAGCTCACAAAACAAAATTTAAAGTCAAGATAAAACAGAGTAAAATGGTGGTTACCAAAGACTGGGAAGGGAAGGGGAGAGAGGGTACATAAAGAGAAGTTGGTTGGTTAATGTGTACAAAACTACAGTTATATAGAATCTAATATTCGATAGTACAGTAGGGAAATTATAGTGAACAATTATTATATATTTCAAAATAGAAGAGAAGAACTGTAATGTTTTCAACACAAAGAAAAGACAAATCGGCCTGGCAAGGTGGCTCACGCCTGTAATCCCAGCACTTTGGGAGGCTGAGGTGGGTGGATCACCTGAGGTCAGGAGTTCAAGACCAGCCTGGCCAACATGGTGAAACCCCCTCTCTACTAAAAATACAAAAATAAGCCAGGCATGGTGGCGCATGTGCCTGTAATCCCAGGTACTAGGTGGAGGTGGATGCAGAATTGCTTGAACCCTGGAGGCAGAGGTTGCAGTGAGCCGAGATTGCACCACTGCACTCCAGCGTGGGCAACAGAGTGAGACTGTCTCAAAAAGAAAGAAAAGAAAAAGAAAGAAAAGAAAAGAAATGACAGATGTTTGAGGTGATGGGTATCCCAATTACCCTGACTTGATAGTTCCACATTGTTTACAGGTATCGAAATAGCACATGTACCCCCCCAAATATGTACAACTATGATATATGTATAAAAACATAAAAAATAATAAAGGACAAAGAAAAATCTAATAAAAAGTACAACAGAAGGAAAAATGTTAATCTTAAACAGGCAGCTAACAATCCTGCCTAAAATATAGCAAAGTGACAAAACCATAAGGAGAAACAGATTGTTGGAAATTTGAATACTCAATAAGAAATTGTAACACCTTTTTTTTTTTTTTTCCTAAGATGGAGTCTTTCTCTGTCATCCAGGCTGGAGTGGTGCAGTGGCGTGATCTTAGCTGACGGCAATCTCTGCCTCGCAGGTTCAAGTGATTCTCCTGCCTCAGCCTCCCAAGTAGCTGGGATTACAGGCACCTGCCATCCTGCCTGGCTAATTTTTGTATTTTTAGTAGAGATGGGGTTTCACTATGTTGGCCAGGCTGGTCTCGAACTCCTAACCTCATAATCCACCCACCTAGGCCTCCCAAAGAGCTGGGATTACAGGCGTGAGCCACCATGCCCAGCCACACCCATCTAATTTTTGTATTTTCCGTAGAGACAGGGTTTCACCATGTTGGCCAGGCTGGTCTCATACTCCTGACCTCAAATGATCCACTTGCCTCAGCCTCTCAAAGTGCTGGGATTACAGGTGTGAGCCACCACACCTGGCCTGCTTTTGGATATTTTAACAGAAAGGCAGAGAGAAATAAATGGTTGAGAGATTTAATCAGAGAAAGAAAAGATCCCAAGGATCTAAACAATACTATCAACCTTTAGCTAATTATAGAACCTTAATTCCAATAAATGGCATATACAATAAATAGATAGCATATAAAGCCACTGAACCTTTAATATCAATAGCTTCAACCTTCAGCTAATTATAAAACTTTAATACCAATAAATATATACCACATACTTTTAAAAAATTCTATTTCTCAGCTGGGCGCAGTGGCTCACACCTGTAATCCCAGCACTTTGGGAGGCTGAGGCGGGTGGATCACGAGGTCAGGAGTTCGAGACCAGCCTGGCCAACCCAGCCTGGCCAACATGGTGAAACCCCGTCTCTACTAAAGATACAAAAAATTAGCCGGGTGTGGTGGGGTGCACCTGTAATCCCAGCTACTCAGGAGGCTGAGGCAGGAGAATCGCTTGAACTCGGGAGGTAGAGGTTGCAGTGAGCCGAGGTCACGCCATTGCACTACAACCTGGGCAACAGGGCGAGACTCTGTCTCAAAAAAAAAACATCCTATTTCTCCTGCTCCTTACAGATTAGACTTTTTTGTTTGTTTGTTTTGAGACAGGGTTTTGGTCTGTCATCCGTGCTGAAGTGCAGTGGCACAGTCAATCATGCTCACTGCCACCTCAACCTCCTGGGTTCAATGCTGGGATTACAGGTGTACGCCATTGTGCCTGGCTGATTTTTTTAAAAACATTTTTTATTGGTTACAAGCAAATCAAAAGCTTATCTATGGCTGGGCGCCGTGGCTCATGCCTGTAATCCCAGCACTTTGGGAGGCCGAGGCGGGCAGATCACATGAGGTTGGGAGTTCGAGACCAGCTTGACCAACATGGAGAAACCCCGTCTCTACTAAAAATACAAAATTAGCCGGGCGTGGTGGCGCATGCCTGGAATCCCAGCTACTTGGGAGGCTGAGGCAGGAGAATCGCTTGAACCCCGGAGGCAGAGGTTGCAGTGAACTGAGACTGCACCATTACACGCCAGCCTGGGCAACAAGAACGAAACTCTGTCTCAAAAAATATATATATAAAATAAATAAATAAATACGCTTATCTACAATGGCAAAACAATGGCAATAAGGTACCTGGCAGGTTTGGAAAACAGCAAAAAGGCCAGTGTTCCTGGAGTAACGGGGCCAGATTATGTTGGGACTTTGGAACCATTTTAAGGTCTTGGCTTTTACTCTGCAAGAGATGGAAACCATGGGAGAGTTTGAGCCGAGGAGTGTTGCAGTCTTACATTTTTAAAAAGCACTTTGATTGCTATGTAGAGACTAGATTGCAGTGAGGTAGGCAGAAATCCAGGGAAGGGGAGTGGAAGCAGCGGAATGAATGAAGAGTCTGCTACAGTAATCTAGGGGAAAGAGGACTATTGGGCAGATCTGGATCTATTTGGAGGATGAGCCATAAGGATTTACTGATAAGACTGGGTGTGGGTATGAGCGAAAAGGAAGAGTTAATGATGACTTCAGGGTTTTTTGGCTTGAACAGTTGGAAGGCTGGAGGTACAATCGTGTTGGGGCAGATTAACAAGGAAGTGGATACCGGAAGGAAGATTAGGAACTCATAAATTCAGTTTTGGACAAATTGAGATTAAGAGGCCTATTAGATGTTTACTTTGTCTAATAGGCAATTGGATATATGACTCTGGAGTTGAGGGGAAAGGTATGAGCTGGAGTTATAAATGTGGCAAACATTGATACCAATGAGGTGCCTGGCAGGTTGGAAGAACAGCAAAAACGCCAGTATACCTGCAGCAAATTGAGTGAAGAGGAGAGTAACAGAAAATGAGATCAGAAAGTAGGCTGGGCGCGATGGCTAACACCGGTAATCCCAGCACTTTGGGAAGCCGAGGCGGGCGGATCACTGAAGGTCAGGGGTTCGAGACCCATGTGGCCAACATGGTGAAACCCCGTCTCTACTGAAAATACAAAAATTAGCCAGGCGTGGTGGCGGGCGCTTGTAATCTCAGCTACTTGGGAGGCTGAGGCAGAATTGCTTGAACCTGGGAGGAGGAGGTTGCGTTGAGCTGAGATTGCACCACTGCACTCCAGCCTGGGTGACAGAGTGAAGACTGTGTCTCAAAAAAAAAAAAAAGTAACAAGGGGCCATATTATGAACCCCAGATGAGAAGATACCTAAAGCCATGAGACTGGATGAGATGACCAAGGGAGTGTGGATAAGGAAGAGGAACAAAGATTGAGTTCGGAGGAGCATCAATATTAACAGGTTAAAGAAAAGTGGAAGAATCAGTACAGAAGATGGAGAAGGAGAGGCTAATGAGGTAGAAAGAAAACCAAGAATGCGTGATGTCAAGGAAACTAAGTGAAGAAAGTGTATTAAGGAGGAGGGGGTGATTATTTGTGTTAAGTGCTGCCAACAGGTCAGGTAGAATAACAATCGAAAGTCAACCATTAAATTTAGCAAGATGATTGTTGGTAACCTTGACAAGGACAGTTCTGGTAGTGACAGATGCTGAAGTGTAATTGGAATGGGTTCAATAGAGGACAAGAAAAGAGAAATTAGAGGCAGGAAATATAGATAATACTTTCTATGAGTTCTGCCTGGAATGGAGCAGTGGTTGATGGGAGTAGGGGAATTTTTTAACGTGTGTGTGTGTGTGTGTGTGTGCGCGCGAGCGTGTGTGCGTTGTTTGTTTTCAAGGTGAGGGAATTGCTGGAGTCAAGAACTGGACAGAGCTCCTGCTTTTGGCTGGGCACGCTGGCTCACACCTGTAATCCTAGCACTTTGGGAGGCCGAGGCAGGTGGACCACTTGAGGTCAGGAGTTTGAGACCAGCCTGGCCAACATGGTGAAACCACGTTTCTACTAAAAATACAAAAGTTAGCTGGGTGTGGTGGCACATGCCTGTAGTCCCAGCTACTCAGGAGGCTGAGGTGGAAGGATCACCTGAACCCGGGAAGCAGAGGTTGCAGTGAGCCGAGATCGCACCACTGCACTCCAGCCTGGGCTACAGAGCAAGACTCCGTCTAAACAAACAAACAAAAACTGGACAGATAAAAGGGGGTGGAATCTAGTGCCTAATTGCTGAATGGACTTTAGATAAGAACATGGTTAGTTCATTTGCGGCAAGAGAGGAGAGGCAGTGTATATGAGCAGAGATGCAGATAGGTAGGCATGGTGCTGGGAGTCTGTAGAGAATCTCATCTGATAGCTTTGGTTTTCTCAGTGAAGAAGCACTTATTAGCCTAGAGGGAGGCAATGGGAGTGTGCGGTCGGTTTGAAAAGTTGTGTTTGGCAGTGAGTGGACTAAAAACACAACAAAACCCTAAACAGTGTGTCTGCGGGGGAGCACTAAGAACTACTTGAGGTTCGTGGTTATAACTTGAAAGCGGGAGCAGGGTGGCAGTGCACTTTTCTCCAGCCACATGCGGGCCAGGGTGCAGCTTGGCTACTTAGGGAGCGGAAGCCACCGCCTGGCGCCTGCTGGGAAGGCTCCCTCTTCCCACAGGATCTCCTGAGAGCTGCAATCCACCTGTCGCCTCCACCTTTTCTCTTTGGGAACTTTGAGGGGGAGGGAGAGACGAAATACAGGGAGCTACAGACGGGGCAAACTGAGAGTTGTATGTTAGGAGCCGTAGTTCCCAACGCCCTGTATGTTAGGAGCCATAGTTCCGGTCACCTCCCCAAGTACCATCTCTGCTCCTATCTACTTGCAGGCAACATTGGGGAGGTGAACACCATGGAGACTTCCAACACGAGGCAGATGGGGAACTTTAGTATTCCTGTCACCACCCTCATCTGCTATCACCAGAGGACGCTGGGGAACAGGTTAAAGGGAAAGGCGAAATCCATGGAACTTGGAAGGGATCTTACCTGAAAAGTCAGTTTCCCCAACGTGGGGCACAGCTGCACGGGGAAAACCCAGTCTTCTGGCCGCCACTCCCCGTAGAGATGGACGAAGGCAGCGCCTGGGGGGCGCTACGCCCTGGACGCTGGCGGATGCAGTCCGGTGTCGCGGTCCCCGATAGGACTTGCAGTCCGCACCCGCACCCGGAAGGACGACGTCTCCCGCCCCAAGGGGAATCCCGCACTAAGGCCGTAATAGGGGCTTGTCACCACCACCACCCCGCCTTTATTTTTTTTTTATTTTTATTTTGAGACGGAGTCTCGCTCTGTCGCCCAGGCTGGAGTGTAGTGGCGCTATCTCGCCTCACTGCAACCTCCGCCTCCCGGGTTCAAGCGATTCTCCTGCCTCAGCCGCCCGAGTAGGTGGGATTACAGGCGTCCGCCATCATGCCTGGCTAATTTTTGTATTTTTGGTAGAGACGGGGTTTCGTCATGTTGGCCAGGCTGGTCTTGAACTCCTGAGTCACCACCCTTTAATGCCGCTCTCCCCATCCTGTCCCTCCTGTGTGGGTCTCCGAACGCCCGGCTCAAGGCACTACTCGTAATTGTAGAGGGGGAGAGCCGCGAGACCCACAGAAAAAGAGAGCTGAAGAGCGCGTGAGGCGTCAAAGTAGGAAGCCTGCTGTGGAGCAGGAGCTGCCGGGCGAGCCTCGCGGAAGCTCCTGGGCGGGGAGGTGGGATGTGACGGAGGGCGTGGCTCCGCGGATGGTAGAGCCCCTCCTTTGCGCGCGCGCCCTAGCCCCGCCCTGGCTTGCACGCATGCGCGTTCGGTGGGTTCCGCGTGCTTTCTCGCCAAAGTGCGGCGGCTGCTTTTCCCAGCTTCAGCTAGGCGGCAACAAGGTTCTCATAGCACACCGGGCTGGCGCGGAAGGGAGCCAATGGTCCGGCTTAGACACCTGCCTCTGCTCCTGCCCAACGCCCTGAGACACCAGGTTCTATACACGGAGTCCAGGGCCGTGTTTTCCGTGTGTGTGTGTGTGTGTGTGTGTGTGTGTGTTATTTTTGAGACAGAGTCGCCTCTGTTGCCCAGGCTGGAGTGCAGTGGCGCGATCTCGGCTCACTGCAGCCTCCGCCTCCCGGGTTCAAGCGATTCTCCTGCCTCAGCCTACTTTGTAGCTTGGATGACAGGCACGCGCCACCATGCCGGGCTAATTTTTGTAGTAGAGAAGGGGTTTCGCCATGTTGGCCAGGCTGGTCTTGAACTCCTGACCTCAGGTGATCCGCCCGCCTCGGCCTCCCAAAGTGCTGGGATTACAGGCGTGAGCCACCGCGCCCGGCCTTCTCATAGCTTTTGTTTCATGGCTTCTTCCGGCCTGGTGGAACTCAAGCGTTGCCTTTATGAAGGGCTGCATGGGGACCCCGTAGAACCGTAAAGAGCCGGCCATGCTTGCAAACCGCTGATGCAAGGCCTCTGTCACAAAGGCCAGAGCGTCCCATGCACATCCCAGCACGGCCAGGCGGGACAATGGCATAATGGCTCAGCACATGTCTGGAGTCTGACTCTTCGCCCTGCCACATTCTGGCTGTGTGGTGGGGCATTTCCTCACCTGGAGGAAGGGGAATGATAGTAGCTTTAAGTAGTATTGCCACATTTTATTTAGCAAATTAAAATGGAGGACACCCAATTAAGTTTGGATGTCAGTTAAAAAAGAAAACAAGGGCCGGGCGCTGTGGCTCCTGCCTGTAATCCCAGCACTTTGGGAGGCCGAGGCGGGCGGATCACCTGAGATCAGGAGTTCGGGACCAGCCTGACCAACATGGAGAAACCCCGTCTTTACTGAAAATACAAAAATTAGCTGGGCGTAGTGGCCGGCGCCTGTAATCCCAGATACTCGGGAAGCTGAGGCAGGAGAATCGTTTGAACCCGGAAGGCAGAGGTTGCGGTGAGCTGCCATTGCGCCATTGCACTCCAGCCTGGGCAACAAAAGCAAAACTCCATCTCAAAAAACAAAACAAAACAAAACAAAGAAAAAGAAAACAGAATTTTTTAGCATGTATCTCCCAAATATTTTTCACTGAAATTCAAATGTAACCGGGCATCAAGTTCAAATGTAACTGTATTTTATCTGGCAGCCCTGCTTTAAGGCAGTGTTTGGAGACAAGGCATGAACAGTTCCTAGAGCAGTGTCTGGCACATGTAAGCACACAATAAAGTTTATTTAGATAAAAGGGTCACACTCCCTGCCCTCCCTCACAATATATTAGTGTCTCTACTCATCCGGCTGTAGGATCTCAAATGGCCAGCCCTCAGAAAGTCATTCTGTCATAAAAGGACAGTTTAAATCTCGCCATCCCACCGCAATGTAGTGACCCCTTTCCACTATCACAAACTACCAGATTTCCCCTGCCTCCCAGCGCTTGGCATATTCATGTGGGGATTTTCATGCTCTTCATGTTGCTGCTTTCACTGGACATATGGGGGAGGGGCTGGGGGAGTCCGAGGCATTATGATGTTGAAGCCAGTGACACTCTTTCTAGGGGAAATTGTAGCTGGAGTCTGTCTCTTCTAGAACTAGGGGCATGTAATCCTCTGTGTGTGAGCCAGGAGGCAATGGAGATTCAGAGGGGAAGCCTATGATGTTTGTATGATGTTAGTAACAGGTTTTCCCCATGGGGCGAATGTATATTGAGTGGCATTGGTCCCACTGACCTCATTAAGACGTCTGCCATAGATGAGATAAAACTTTGTTCAATCTGAAAAGTCCAAAGGAAAAAAAGTTGAAGGGGAAAATCTAGCTTTTTAAATGTAAGTCTATTTGACTCTAAAGTTTCTGTTCCATCTCATTCTCCCTTGATTTCAGTGTGCCCCTCACTTCTCTCATACTTAATAGCACCCTGCATTAATACTGCATTTTAAAATTATAATGCATTTTTATTTCATTATCTCACTGTCTTTTTCTTTTCTTTTTTTTAGACAAAGTCTCACTGTCGCCCAGGCTGGAGTGCAGTGGGGCGATCTCAGCTCACAGCAACCTCCGCCTCCAAGGTTCAAGTGATTCTCCTGCCTTAGCCTCTCAAATAGCTGGGATTACAGGTGCATGCTAATTTTTGTACTTTTAGAAGAGATGGGGTTTTGCCGTGTTGGCCAGGCTGGTCATGAACTCCTGACCTCAGGTGATCCATCCGCCTTGGCCTCCAAAAGTGCTGGGATTACAGGCATGAGCCACTGCACCCAGCCTCTCTTTTTCTAAATGCTTTAGTAGGGAAAAAGAACAGGGAATTTCTCTGAGGTCAAGAAGGGTTAAAGTGAAATATCTGACTCTCACCAAAAACTTAATGGAATGAAGTCTTAGTCTAAGATTTAGAAGCGTCAGGAAACCCCCATTTTCCCAGTTAGAGCTCCTAGTCGTAAATCACCAGAGGAAACTTTGGGAAGGCTCTGAGATTGTGGGATCGAACTCTTATTTCTCTTCACACATCAGCTTGCTGTAGCAGCCCACTCTCTCTTTCCTGTACTTTCACTCTCCCTTCTTAGTGGCTTCTTCCCCTTGACTTTTAAATATGTTTAATTTTCTCATTTTAAAAAATCCTTCTTTGCAGGGGCCACTTGGTCTTCCCTTGCATGTACTTGAGAGTTGTATGCAGGATTTTGGAAAGTTTAAACTTTACTTATGGTAGGCTGGGTGTGGTGGCTCATGGCTGTAATCCCAGCACTTTGGGAAGCCGAGGCAGGCAGATCACCTGAGGTTAGGAGTTCCAGACCAGCCTGGCCAACATGGTGAAACCCTGTCTGTACTAAAAATACAAAAATTAGCCAGCCATGGTGGTGCACACCTGTAATCCCAGCTACTCAGGAAGCCGAGGGAGGAAAATTGCTTGAACCCAGGAGGCAGAGTTTGCAGTGAGCCGAGATTGTACCACTGCACTCCAGCCTGGGTGACAGAGTGAGAATCCATCTAAAAATAATAATAAAATAAATAAGCTTTACTTATGGTAGAAATTTAGTAAGATAAAAGAAGAAAAAGAGGTAGTGACTCTTGCTAGGTGGAAAAGAAAGGGCTAGAATTGTTCAGCTAGGGATAGAAATCCCAAAGGAGGTCCTCCATTAGCACACTGGTGTCAGCTGGGAGCTATTTGTCCTTCTCCTCCACAAGATAAGTACAGAAATTCAGAGTAAGCATTTAGGAACTTTTATAGCAGTTTTACAGAGTAATCTAATGTATGTTGAACTTAATAATAAAAAAATCAAGGTGGCTCACCCCTGTAATCCCAGCATTTTGTGAGGCTGAGGTGGTTGGATCACTTGAGGTCAGGAGTTTGAGACCAGCCTGGCCAACATGGTGAAACCCCGTCTCTACTGAAAATTCAAAAATTAGCCGGATGTGATGGCACACTCCTGTAGTCCCAGCTACTCTGGAGGCTGAGCCAGGAGAATCACTTGAACCTGGGAGGCAGAGGTTGCAGTGAGCTGAGATAGTGCCACTGCACTCCAGCCTGGGCAACAGAGCAAGGCTCTATCTCAAAAAAAAAAAAAAAAAAAAAATTGGGTTCCAGTACCAGAGCAGCTAGCAATCCTAAACCTAATGGGAAATGAAGGGGAGCTGGATATGGGTGTTTACAGTGTGACTTTCACAGAATACTTTTTTTTTTTTTTTGAGATGATGTCTCACTCTGTTGCCTAGGCTGGTCTCAAATTCCCAGACTCATGAGATCCTCCCACCTCGGTCTCCCAAAGTGCCGGGATTACAAGTGTGAGCCACCACACCTGGCCTAGAATATTTCTTTTACCTGGTAGACATCCTGACTCTCAGTTGTCCCACCCATGACCAGGGGAAACTTTGTGCAGGAAACTTGTTTATACTGGCAGATGTCCTTGTGGCTCTTGTCTGACCCATGCCCCAGCTCTGACACCGGGAGCCCAGCGTTATGTTCCCTCTCGCATCCTTGGGGAAACCCAGCCTGAGGCAGCCCCTAGTTTTTTAGATGGAAGGTGCAAATCCAACACATTACCACAATAGAAAACAGGTTCAAAGATTTTTTTACTTACAGATCCTGGGCAGGGAAGGCACAGTGAGTCTGGAAGGCAGTCCAGATGTCCCCGGAACATGCAAGGCAGGAATGAAGAGTCAGGTGGCCAGAGAGAAAGAGAGAAGAAACTGGCAGTATATATAAGGGAACAGGGTGTGGATCACTTTAAGTTCACAGGCTTATTTATTTATTTAGAGATGGAGTTTTGTTCTGTCTGATCCCGGCTCACTGCAACCTCTGTCTCCTGCGTTCAAGCAATTCTCCTGCCTCAGCCTCCCAAGTAGCTGAGACTACAGGCGTGCACCAACATGCCTGGCTAATTTTTGTATTTTTAATAGAGCTGGGGTTTCGCCGTGTTGGCCAGGCTGGTCTTGAACTCCTGACCTGAAGTGATCTACCCACCTTGGCCTCCCAAAGTGCTGGGATTACAGGCATGAGCCATCGTGCCTGGCCCATAGGCGAATTATTTTATTTTATTTATTATTTATTATTATTATTATTTATTTAATATAATAAATTTTTTTTTGAGACAGTGTCTTACTCTGTTGCCCAGGCTGGAGTGCAGTGGCACAATCTTGGCTCGCTGCAACCTCTGCCTCCTAGGTTCAAGAGATTCTCCTGCCTCAGCTTCCAAAGTAGCTGGGATTACAGGTGCCCGCCACCATGTCCAGCTAATTTTTTGTATTTTTAGTAGAGACAGGGTTTCACCATGTTGGCCAGGTTGGTCTCGAACTCCTGACCTCAAATGATCCACCCGCCTCAGCCTCCCAGCGTGCTGGGATTACAGGTGTGAGTCATTGCTCCCAGCCGACAAATTATTTTAAAGGAAGCTGTGGAACCGCAGGGAGCCCAGTCTTCTAGGTGGGAGAGATGCCTCTAAGTTCTTATCTCTGGCCACCGTCCTGAGTCCTTTAGGTGTGGTATGGAACTGAAAACTGTGTCAAGGGTGACTGATTCCTGTTTCTTGTATGAGAAAGTTAAACTTGTATTTAAAATTGATACCAAGACAACATTAAATTAAAACAATTGACTATACTGTTTTCCACAGCCACTGCACCATCTGACATTCCCACAAGCAATGTCAGAGGGTACCCATTTCTCCATTTCCTTGCCAACACTTGTTATTTTCCATTAAAAAAAATTAAAGCCATCTTGGTAGATGTGAAGTATCTTATTGAGGTTTTGATTTGCATTTCCCTAATAACCAGTGATGTTGAGCATCTTTTCATGTGGCTCTTAGCCATTTGTATACACACACACACACACACACACACACACACACATATATTTGGAGACGAAATCTGGCTCTCCCAGGCTACAGTGCAGTGGCACGATTTCGGCTCACTGCAACCTCCGCCTCCCAGGTTCAAGGGATTCTCCTGTCTCAGCCTCCCAAATAGCGGGGAGTACAGGTGCATGCCACCACGCCTGGCTCATTTTTGTATTTTTAGTAGAGACAGGGTTTCGCCATGTTGACCAGGCTGATCTCAAACTCCTGACCTCAGGTGATCTGCCTGCCTTGGCCTCCTAAAGTGCTGGGATTATAGGCATGAGCCACCTCACCCAGCCTGTATATATCTTTGTAGTAATTTCTATTCAAATCCTTTGTCCAATTTTTAACTGGGTTATTTGCCTTTTTGTAGTTCAGTTGTAACAGTTCTTTATATATTCAGGATACTAGGCCCGTATTAGATACATGATTTACAAATATTTTCTCTCATTCTGTGGGTTGTCTTTTCACTTTTTCTTTCTTTTTTTTTCCTTTTTCAGCAAATCTTGGACCTGTGTGAAATCTTTCAGTTTTTTTAATAGTGTCCTTTCCTTAGTGCACAAAGGTTTTTAATTTTGATGAAGTCCAGTTTTTTTTTAGTTGCTTATGGTTTGCCATGTCTGCGAAACCGTTGCCTAGTCCAAAGTGACAAAGATTCCTGGTTTTAGTTCTTATATTTAGGTATTTGATCTATTTCGTGCTAATTTTTTTAATGGTTTGAGGTAGAAGTCCAAATTTATTATGCTGCATGTAGATATTCAGTTGTCCCAGCAACATTTGTTGAAACTACATATTTTCTAAGTAATTCTTTCTGGTTTTTTTTTGTTGTTGTTTGTTTTTTTTGTTTGTTTGTTTTTTCATTTTGAGACTGAATCTTGTTCTGTCGCCCAGGTTGGAGTGCAGTGGTCCCATCTCGGCTCACTGCAACCTCTGCCTCCTGGGTTCAAGCGATTCTCCTGCCTCAGCCTCCCAAGTAGCTGAGATTAGAGGCACACACCACTATGCCCAGCTAATTTTTGTATTTCTTAGTAGAGACGGGGTTTCTCCATGCTTGCCAGGCTGGTCTTGAACTCCTGACCTCAAGTGATCCTCTCGCTTCGGCCTCCCAAAGTGCTGGGATAACAGGTGTAAGCCACCACGCCCGGCCTGCTTTTCCCATTTTTGTCCTCCAGGTTCTTCACTGGGTTTTTCTCCCTTGTGTTCTTTCAACTTTTGTCCTTATGCTTGTGATACTTGATTTTTCTTCGATTTCTGCCTGCTCTCTATTTGTTCTTACCCTGTTCTTTCAGCATCTCCTCCCTGGATTTTTATATTTTTGCTTTGTGGTCTTCCATCACAGAGGAAATTGCATCAAGTCTTTTTTTTCATTCACGGCAAAATATTTGGTTATAATTTTTTTTTGTTTTTGAGACAGTGTCTCACTCTGTTGTCCAGGCTGGAGTGCAGTGGTGAGATCATAGCTCACTGCAGCCTCAACCTCCAGGGCTCAAGCAATCTTCCCACCTCAACCTCCTGAGTAGCTGAGACTACAGTAGTATGCCACCACTCCTGGCTAGTTTTTTATTTTTTGTAGAGACGGGGTCTCGCTATGTTGCCCAGGCTGGTCTTGAACTCCTGGGCTGAAGCAATCTTCTCACCTCAGCCTCCTGAAGTGCTGAGATTACAAGCAAAAGCCACCACACCTGGCCTAGTTATAATTTTTATCTGATCCATTGAGGCAGTTTTCCAGTGAAAGCTCTTCATATGTTAGTTTACTTTGTTACTCTTTCCTTCAGAGTTCGTTTTGTAGTTTTGGGTTAATGTAGCTAGTCCCTTTTTTCTTGCAGAACATTGCCTAAGTTGGGTTTTCCTGGATGAGTTTTTCTTTTAAGAGGTTCCTTCTGCCTCACATATGGCTTTTGTAGGAGACTGATCAACTCTGTCTCCTCTGTTTTTGCTTTCCAGTTTCTTACAGTGTAGTTGCAAACAAGAGGTATAGATCCCTACCTGACGGTGGACTCCTCACCTGTAGGAAATTTAATTTCCCAGGTGTTTTCTTTTCCTTTGCTTTTTCTTTTTCTTTCTTTTTTTTTTTTTTTCTTTGTTGAGATGAAGTCTCGCTTTGTCGCCCAGGCTGGAGTGCAGTGGCACGATCTCGGCTCACTGCAACCTCCATCTCCCGGGTTCAAGCAATTTTCCTGCCTCAGCCTCTTGAATAGCTGGGACTACAGGCACACACTTCCACACCCGGCTAATTTTTGTATTTTTAGTAGAGACAAAGTTTCACCATGTTGGCCAGGATGCTCTTGATCTCCTGACCTCATGATCCACCCGCCTCGGCCTCCCAAAGTGCTGGGATTACAGGCGTGAGCCACCACAGGTGTTTTCTTATATCTGCTTCTGTTTGTCTTTCTTTCTGCTCAAATTTCTTTGCATAGTTTCTTGTCTCCACTTCCTCCCTATAGTTGTTCCTCATTTGAGCTGCTTTTCCCAACTTTTACATGTAATTTGTTGTCTACAGATTATACTTCTCCTTGTTTTGCTGAATGTTGAGCTTGCAAAGATTTTTTTTACTCTCCTTATTGCTTTCAGATCATTTTAAGGAACAGAAGCCCATGATACTGTAAAGTTTCTATGTCTTACGTTTTAGATTTTTCTCTTATAAACAGCACGTACTTAATTCATTTAAATATTCAATTTGGTCTCTCTTTTATGTGATGAGTTTAATCTATATTTATTATGATAATGAAAGATTTGTTTCTATCACCTCATTTCTATATATCATACCTCTTTTTCCCTTCTTATTTTATTTCTAATATTGAATTGGTTAATGTTTTCTAATGTTTTCTTTATTTCATACCCCTTTTCCTCAACTGGTAAAATC